>NC_000007.14:64021930-64324960 GCF_000001405.40 Homo sapiens
CTCCTGAGTGTGAGAAAATGTGTGTGACTGTGGTGGGACATTATTCATGTAATTAGGTTACAAAGGTATTGGCTTTCTGTTTATCATAAGAGAGATTATCTTTATTACACCAAACTTAATCAGACATGTTTTTAAGAAAAAGAGCACATCATAGAAAAACACCCCTGCTTCCCTGAAATTAATCAAACTTCTAGGTAAGCCAGGTTGTAAGCTGCTTATGGTGGCCACATGGCAAGGGATATATTTGTATATTGTCTCTATTTTTGCCTTCAACATGTTACTTTCAGAAGGAAGAATAGGAGGATCTCATGGCAGAGGAAAAAGAAGAGATCTTATTAATACAAGAAATAATCACTCCTCATCTGGGACAGCTTAAGAAAAACAGAGACCAGAACATGACCACATCAATGGGAAACAAAGGCAACTTGGTTGAAAGGGCTCACTGGCATTAGGAAGCAATGTTTACACAGCCGAAGTAAATGATCAGCCTCTGGGATACCAATAGTCTACCAACAGTCTACCAATAAGGCTGAATTCATTCTCATTCTGATTAAATTAGCATTTCTGCTCCATTCTGTTAACTCAGTTTTACATTCATGACAAAAATACCAGGCAGACCATTGAGTGTCCTCCTAGAATTGAACTTATCCTGAAAAAGCATACCCAATTATTTAATTTCAACATTGGAAAATGTTGAAAAAAAATGAATTTATTAATAATAATAATCTGACTTTCTAATTTTAGAGAATTCTACTATTCTGTAATACAATATTGAACTTTGAACACCTTAACATGAATATTTCTTGAATGCATAAATTGTTATGTAGGTAGTTTCTCTTTTAGATTAATGCAATAAGACTAAAAATTAGAGAAAACATTTGAAATGAAATAAAAGTCATCAGAACCACATCTTTCAATGGCTTGGCACAATTACCATGCTCTTTGAAATGGTCAAGAAGCAAAGGCAAGGTTTTGTCTTTGCCCAATTATTAAGTCCTTGACCTTTTGAAATCTAATATCCTGGCTAAAAAAAGTAGGAGGGACTATTTTTAAGGTGGCTGCCTAGAGTGTGCAATTCAATATGAGAAGAATTTTGATAATTAGGCAAGAAAATGCATACCACATACACACATTACTCTTCTCTGATTTGCTTTAACATTGAAAGATTGGAAATTGCAAATCTAGTCTCTCAATTTAGGGTAAATTAACAAAAGATTCATGTTTCAGCTGAGCAAGTTATTGTATAAAAGTTATAGGTAACAGATGTCATTGGCTGCAAAAAACAAAATAGTATGACTACATTCAGTAACTGTCTAGCCATGCCAATGATAGACCAATTAGATTAAGATCCTAAGAGGTGCTTGCAGAAAGCATTTACGTGCAATATTGTGACCCTCCCCCAAACACCTTTTTCTGTCTCCTTACAGAGATACCAATTTTTCCTGAATATCTCAGGGTGAATACTGGGAACTGAGATGCTCAGTGTTCGGAGTTGATTACTGGAAACATAGGTAACACATTTCTTCTATATTATAAAGAAATTTTATGAATCTTACTCTGCCTCAGAAAGGCTTTTAGTAAAAGATTGCTCATGTATAACACTCTGTTTGGATTCATAGACATTTTCAATATTCCATTTAAGTCAGAGACACTGAAATGTCAACCAAATTTCATAAAACATATTTGAATGAGATGATGTTAGCTAAGAATTTTATTTCATCAGTAAATTTAGAGGTACATAAGAAATGTGTGTACTTTGGGCCAAATCACAGTGTTTGCCACATGGGAACAATTCAGACAAGTGCTCTTCATCATTACTCTTAAAGTAGCACTAGCAAAACACCCATTTCCTGGCATTAGCTGGCTTGTTTTTCACTGATGTGAAGTGCAGAAGGCATTGAAACAGTGAAGAAGGATGATATACATGGAATAATTATATGAAGTACAATTGTGAATAAAAAGTAGCATTTGATATTGTACAACTATAGATAAGATGACTAGTATGAGATAAAAATATTTTTAATTCTATTGACAGAATAACTTCATTCACAATATTACTATTTCAAATAATTTTTTTGCTTTTTATCCAATATTACCTGAGCTCCATAGGAATCAACAAAATGCATCTTTATTTTACCACAAGAATTTTATTCATGCATATGCTTAATTTGCTGAAAATATGTGAGCCTCCCATGAAAGATTTATACTTTTATTGTGTCATCTTCTGCTGAGAAGTGGCTGTCCTGCCAGAAAACTGCTATTCTCAATTGTCCTCACACTGACTCTGCTCAACATAGTGACTGGAAGTGATGTGTGCATAAAAAGCAAATGTGTCTTCTTTGCATCTTTTTTCATCTATTGGCTGAAGAAAGAGAGAGTGCAGATAGGAAATTTTAAAAAAATCTAATCTCCGAATAATCACAAAGAAGTTCTCTTAACCAGAAATAAGCCAAAGGGGATGGTGATGTAAGCAGAAAATGTATTATTTTGCTAAGCCTTTGAAATTTTAGGGTTTATTAGTATGACAACCTGCATTGCTTTAACAAACCTATTAGTCTTTCAGTTTTAATTCTTCTGAATATGATTCAATGTCCTGATGAATCTGAACTGACAGGAGAATAACTTATTTGTTAAAATTAAAAATGTGAGGAAAAATGTCAATTCTCATAGATAGGCCTAGGGCCATGGGTAAGGTCCTGGGTCTTCTACTTGTATGAAGATCACAGAGGATTATGACACCCATGCGTATTGAATAAATCCCATGGGTGGTACAAAGAGTGTCATAACAGGGCCGAGAACACAGATGAGATTGAGTCTTGTATGAACACACAGCCAAAAGTAGAAATTGTTACATGTCCATGTGTACACAGCTCACAATTGAGGTCCTGAATCTCACACCCAGGGGCAGTTGAGAGCTGGAATTGAGACTCTCATATACAGATCCAGTCCACAGGTGAAGTGGGAACTCTCCAACCAGGATTCAGCACACCATTGATGTTGTGACTCCTCTACTGGAACACAGCTTAGAGAAGGGATTGGGGCTCTCATGGCAGGATGCAATCCACTGTTGAGATTGTGACTCATGTACTTGGGCCTAAGTCTCAGGAGTTGTTGACTCTTACACTTGGAGTGGGAAAATGTGTGGAATTGGGAGTCTCATTCCTGGGCCTTCCTGCAGGTGTCTGTGACATGCACTTCTACGTAGAAACTTCGTAATTTGATAGTCCTTCTGGGCTCAACACACAGATATCTTGTGACTTATACCTGGGCCAAGCACCTAGGTGATGTGACTATTTTGCCTGGCCACTTCCCTCAAAGGAATTGTAATTGTAATATATCTCTTTACTGAGCACCTAGGTGACATAAATCTCTCCTTCCTGGATCCTGCCCACAAGTAAGGTTATGACATATCTAGCATTAAGTCTAGCACTTAATGATGTGACTGTCCTATCTTGTTTGTGCCCTGCCCTGAGGAAGCACTGTGACATTACTGGCCTAAGTAAAAAGGTAATTCAGGTCTTCTGCCTGGGACATGTGCAGAGGGGGGGATTGTGAAATCTCTTGGCTTATCATCATGATGATGTGATTCTCCTCTCTTGTCTGGAAACTTTTTCCAGTTGGGATCACAACATATTGCTGGGCCCAGAACTGGGTGATGTTATTCTTCTCCCAGGGCCCAGCCTACAAATGGCATTGTGGCATCTCTCTGGGCCCACTGGCTAGGTGATGTGACTCTGCTTTTCTGCCTGGACACTTTCCACAAAAGGAATTGTGACATATAGCTGGACCCAGCTCCCTGGTGATGTAACTGTCCTGTATTGGCCCTGTGCAAAGGGTGCATTGTGATATTTCACTTGGCCAAGCAGCTAGGTGATATGACTCTCCTGAATGGGCCCTGCTCTCAGAGAGGATTTTCACCCATCGCTGGGCCAATCATATAGGTGATGTGTCTCTCCTCTGTTGCCTGGACCCTGCCCAAAGTAAGAATTGTAATGTATCACTTACCCAGCACCCAAGTGATATGACTCTCATGTCTGGTTCCTGCCCACAGGTGAAATTGTGACATATACATGGTCACAGCTCACTGGTGAGATGTTGACTCTCATACCTGGATCCAGCTAAGAGAACAGATTTTGACTCTGATATCTAGGCTTAGGGCAACAGGCAAGGTCCTGGGTCTGGATAAAGCCTTCAAGTGATACAATGTCATAACAGGACCAAGAACAAAGGTGACATTGTGACTCTCATATGCACTTCCAGCTGATAGAATTGTCACCCTCACACATAGACAGTGCTTACTGGTGAGGTCCTAAGTCTCATACACAAATGCAATCCAGACTTGGAATTGTGACTGTCATATGTAGATGCAGCCACAGGTGAGATAGTGACTTATTTTGAACTCAGCTCAGGCACAGCAATGAAACTCATACCTGGACCCAATCAATAGCAGAAATTCACAATCCTGGACATTTTCCAGCAAAAGGTGTAAGAGTCAACACCTCTTGTGGGTTGAGTCTCCTATTTTGAGGTATAAGAGTCAACATATTTTTTTGTGGCTAGGTCCAGGTATGAGTGATCACAATGCTCACAATGAACTGAGTCCAAACATAGGTAACAATCACACCTGTGAGCACTAACTAGGTAGGAGGGTCATATCACCTGGGAGCTGGGCCAGGAATATGTACCCATTGTTCTAAGCCTAGCTACAAAAGTCAAAATCTCTCTATTGTCTTGGTCTAGCTATGAGAGTTATTACCTTACCTGTGTTTTGGGCCCAGATATACATCACAATTTGAAGTCTGGGCAGGAACCAGGAAGAAAAATCATATCATCTAGGTGTCCCCTGTGGGAGAGGTCCAGGTAGGAGAGTAACATCTTCTTGGTGCTGAGCCAAGTGAAATGTTCCAATGCCCTCTGTGGGCAGGGCCCAGGCAGAAGAGTAGAGTCACATCACCTAGATGCTGAGTTCACCAACATGTAAAAATATCCCCTTAGGGCAAGGCTCATGCAGGAGTGTCACGTCATCCAGGTGTTTGGTCCAGGCATATGTCATAATCCCTCCTGAAGGCAGCACCTGGGCACAAAAGGAGAATTACACCACCTAAGGGATGGGCCCAGAGATGTCACAGTGCCTCTGTGGGCAGGGCCCAGGCAGGAGAGTCACATCACATGAATATAGGGCCCAGAGATATTTACAATCCCCACTGGGGCAGGGCCCAGGGAAAACGACATGAGCCACATCACCAGGTGCTGGGCCCGGTGATATATTACAATCCCCTCTGAGGACAGCACCAAGGCAAGAGTTACATCACCTAGGTGCCTGTGCCAGGTATATGTCACAATTCTATTTGTGGGATTAGCCCAGGCTAAAGAGGCAAATCGCTCAGGTGCTAGGAAAAGGTATATGTCAAAATCACACCTGTGGGTGTGAACCAGAAAACATGTTACATCACTTGGTGCTGAAGCAGGGATATGAAAAAAGCAGGGATATTTCTGTTGGCAGGGCCTAGGCAGAAGAATAATATTTCTTGGATGCTGGGCCCACTGATATGTCACAATTACTTTTGCGGGCTGGGCCCAGGTAAAAAAAGAGGGTCATGTGGCCTAAGGACTGGGCCCAGGGATATGTCACAATTTTCCTCGTGGGGAGGGCCCAGTCAGGAGAGTCACAGCACTTGGGTGCTGAACTTAGAAATATGTCACACCAGGCACGGGGGCTCACACCTGTAATCCCAGCACTTTGGGAGGCTGAGGATGGCAGATCATTGAGGTCAGGAGTTCAAGACCAGCCTGGACAACATGGTGAAATCCCGTCTCTACTAAAAATACAAAAAAATTAGCTAGGCGTGGTGGTGCATACCTGTAGTCCCAACTACTTGGGAGGCTGAGGCAGGAGAACCACTTGAATCTGGGAGATGGAGGTTGCAGTGAGCTGAGATTGCATCATTGCATTCCAGCCTGGGCAACAGAGCAAGACTCCATCTGGGAAAATAAAAAGGAAATATGTCACAATGTCCTTTGTTGACAAATCCCAGACAAGAGAGTCACATCACCTAATAGTTGGGGCCAGTGATATGTTACAATTATCCATGTGGGCAGGGCCCAGGAAGAAAAATGATAGTCACATCACCCATTGATATGTCACAAGTCTTGCTGTGGGCAGGCCCCATGTAGAAGAAGAGAATCACACCTCTTAGGTGCTGGGTGCAGTGTAATGTCACTATCTTTCTGAAGGCAGGGCCCAGGCACATGAGTCATACCTATTAGGTTCTTGGCCCAGGTATATGGCACAATTTTGTTTGTGAACTGGACCCAGTCTGCAGAGTCAAATCACTCACATGTTGGACAAAGGTATATGTGACAATAACACTGTGGAAAGGTCCAGTGATAAGTTTCACCATCCTGCACATATCTTGACTCCCAGTAAAAGATTCATCATTGTGCTTATAATTTGGACACAGATATATGGCACAATACAACCTGTGGAGAGGGAGAGACCAGAAAAGACACATCACTTGGGTGCTGGTCCAGAGATATGTCACAATCCCCCTTGTAGGCAGTACCCTGGCAGAAGAGTCACATCACCTGGCTGTTGGGCCCAGTGATATATCAAAATCCCCCCTGTAGGCAGAGCTTAGGCAGGAAAGGAGACTCGCTTCACTTAAGTTATTAGCCTAGACAGGTGTCACAGTGGCCCCCATGGGCACAGCCAAGGCAGGAGAGTGACATCACCTTGGCCCTGGGCTCAGCAATGGGTCACAATCTCTCCAGTGGGCAGGAACCAGGCAAGAGAGGAGAATCACATCACCTAGATGCTAGGCTAAGTGATAGGTTCCAACGCTTCCTGTAGGAAGAACTCAGTCAGGAGAGTCACATTATGTGGGTGCAGTACCCAGCTAAATGTCACAATGCACTCTAAGCACAGAGCCAAAGCAGTAGAATGAAGTCACATCACCTACATAATGAACCCAGAAATAAGTCACAATGCTCTTTGTAGGCAGGTACCAGGCAGGAGAGTCACAGCACCTGGGTGGTTGCTGGTCACACTGAAATGTAAAAATGCCCTTGGCAGGCAGGGCCCAGGAAGGAGTTTCACATTATTTAGGTGGGTGGTCCAGGTATATGTCACAATTTTATCTGTGGGCTGGGCCTGGGAAAGAGTCAGATCACTCAGGTTCTGGGCAAAGGTATATTTCCCAATCACACACTTGGGAATGTACAGAAATGAGTTTCACAGTTTCACACGAGTCCTGGCTTCATGTATGAGAGGCAACCCCTCCTGTGAGTGGGGTTCAAGTAAAGGAGTTACAGTCTCAACAATGCACAAAATCCATGCACAACAGCCCCAATCTCACCTGCAGATTGTGTTCTGATAGGGAACTCACAGCCTCACAGGTCTGCTGAATCATGGTTTGAGAGTCACCAAACCACCTGGAAACCAGATCCACATATGAGAGTAACAAATCCAACTTGCAACTGTTTTTATGTGTGAGATTAAGTGCCTCATTCGTAGGCTCTGTTTATGTGTAAGAATGAAGAGCCTGTCGGCTGGGTCTGCATACGAGAGTCACAATCTCAGCTGTTAGCTAGGCCCTGTTAGAAACTCTCTGTATCGCTCTAGGGCTTCCTGTGATCATCCTGAGTGTTGTAATGTTCTGTGAACTTTATACATGTAAGAGATCCAGGACATTACCTGTGGCCTAAGCCTGGCTACAGAAATCAAAATATCTCCCACTGGCTGTGTCCAGGTAAGAGAGTCATTCTTGTGCCTCTGAGCTGGACCCAGGTATATGCCACAATTTTACATTTGGACAGGAACAAGGCATTAAAGTCACATCACCTGGGTGCTAGACCCAGTGATATGTCACAATGCCCACTGTACTCAGGGCACAGGCAGGAGAGTCACATCATCTGAGTTCTTGGTTGAGCAATATGTCACAATCCCTTCTGTATGTAGAACCCAGGCTGCAAGAAGAGTCACATTACCTAGGTGCTGAGCCTGGCAATATGTCACAATGCTCCCTGCTAGCGGGGCCCAGGAAAGAGCACAGAGTCATACCACATACCTGACTGGCCCAGAAATTTGTCATAATCTTCACTGGGACAGAACACAGGAAGAAAAGGAGAGTCACATTACCTAGGTTATAGGCCCAGTGATATGTCACAGTCCCTACTGAGACCAGGGTCCAGAAATGAGAGAAAAGCCATACCACTTCTGTGATGTGCCCAGAGATAGGTCACAATGACCCCTTTGGGCTTGCCCACACAGGCGATGAGAGTCACATCACTTAGGTAATAAACCCAGAGACATATCACAATTTCCCCTGAAGGCAGGGAAAATTTCCCAGAGTCATGTCACAATTTCCCCTGAAGACAGGAGAGTCACACCACCTAGGTTCTTGGCCCAGCAATATGTCACAATCCCTTCTAAGTGCACAAGCAGCGAAGAAGAGTCACATAACTTAGGTATTGGGCCCAGCAATATGTCACAATTCCCAATGGAGGCCAAGATGAGGCAAGAAAGTAGAGTCACATCACATAGGTGAAAAGTCCAAAGATATGTTACAATGCACCCTGTGGTAAGGCCCAGGCTGGAGAGTTACATCACCTAGGTACTTGATCCAGGTATATGTCACAGTCCCAACTGTTGGCTGGGCCCAAGCAAATTAGTAAAATAAATTAGGTGCTGTGTGAAAGTATACGCCACAATCACACCTGCGGGAAGGACCAGGAATAAATTTCACAGTTCTACATATTTCCCAGCTTTAGGTCTGACAGTCAACACCTCTTGTGAGTTGCATCCAAATACACGAGACACAGTCTTAACATTGGACAGGATCCGTCCATGAGAGCTCTATCTCCACTGCAAACAGTGTTCCCATAAGATAGGCACAGCCTCACCAGGGTGCTGAATCTTGGTCTCAGAGTCACTATCCTACCTGTTGACCAGATGCATGTACGTGAGTCAAACTTTCAACTTTTCATTGCCTCTGGGCGTGAGATTCAGAACCTCAACAGTGAGCTGTGTCTATATGGGAGAGTGACCATCCTTATTGTTGGCTGGGTATGCATAGGAGATTCACAATTTCCTCTGTGTTTCTGGCTGTGTTATGACACTCTCTGTACCATCTGAGATTTTCACATAATATGCTTGAGAGTGGAATTCTGCTCTGTGAACTTTGTTTGTATGGCTCTAAGATCTTACCTGTTACCCTAAGCCCAGGCAGAAGTCAACACATTTTCTCTTGCCTGGGTCCAGGTATGAGAGTCATCACCATGTTTGTGAGCTGGGTCCAGAAATGAGTCACAATCTTACCTGTGGTCAGATCTGCATATGACAGTCACAATTTCAACTGTGAACCCTGTCCACAAGGCAAAGTCAGGACCTCACTAATGGGATCTGTCCATGTGTGTGGGTGACAATTCTTACTGTCAGCTGGCTGTGCATATGAGAATAAGTCTCAACTTTGTATTGGGCTGTGTTGACACTCTCTGTACCACCATAGGGCATTATGCTGTATGCATGAGTGTTGTGATTTTTTGTGACATTTGTGTGTGTAGAAAAACCCAGAATCATCCCCATTTCCTAATCCTAACAATGAGAGTCAACATCTCTTCTACTAGCTTGGTCCAAGTATAAGAGACAACACTGTGCCTGTGAGTTAGTCAAGAAATGACTTCCCCTTCGACCTGTGGCCAAATCCACATATGACAGTAACAATTCCAACTGTGGTCTGCATCCATATGTGAGGTTTATAACCTCACCAGTGGGTTGTGTCTAGGTTTAAGAATGATAATACCATTGTTGGCTGGATGTGCCTATGAGAGTCACAAACTCACCTGCTTGTTGGACTGTGTTATGACACAGCTCATACCACCCAAAGGCTTTATAAAATATTTGTGTCATAATCTCCTGTGACATTTTATAAGAAAACCCAGAACTTCACCCACCTCGGCTGGGTGTGGTAGCTCAGAGCTGAGGAAGATGGATCGCCTGAGGTCAGGAGTTCAAGACCAGCCTGGATAATATGGTGAAACCCTGTCTCTACTAAAAATACAGAAAATTAGCCAGGCATGGTGGCGAGTGCCTGTAGTCCCAGCTACTCTGGAGGCTGAGGCAGAAGAATCACTCGAACCTGGGAGGCAGTGGTCGCAGTGAGCTGCAGTCGTGCCACTGCACTCCAGCCTGGGCAACACGAGCAAGACTCTGTCTTGAAAAAAAAAAAAGTGTTTTTACCATTTAGTAGGAGGAAAAAAGTTTTATTTTCATCAATATTTGCATTGTATTTTAATGCACAGCAGGAACTTGTAAAAGAAAACCCAGAAAAATAACTAGGATAAGGCTGGGCACAGTGGCTCATGCCTGTAAACCCAGCATTTTGGGGGACTGAGATGGGTGAATCACCTGAGGTCAGGAGTTCAAGACCAGCCTGGCCAACATAATGAAATCCTGTCTCTACTAAAAATACAAAAAATTGGCTGGGCATCATGGCAGGTGCCTGTAATCCCAGCTGAGCCAGGAGAATCTCTTGAACCTGGGAGGCAGAGGTTGCAGTGAGCCAAGATCTCGGCATTGCATTCCAGCCTTGGCGACAAGAGCAAGACTCCATCCACCTCAAAAAAAAAAAAAAGGATATAAAAATCACACCTGTAAAAAGTAAGTGGATTAACTTTACATAATATACTTTTCAGGTGAGGACTGGCCAGCTTCTGCCAGTTCTTGAGCACACTCAAAAAAACTAACAATTATCAAGGGTAAGTATCAGGGGAACCAGCCCCCCAATATTTTAGTGTAGGTTCTTCTCTATTTTCCCTAAGTGTCAGCTGGTCTGAGAAATAAAGAGAAAGAGTATAAAAGAGAGAAATTTTACAGCTGGGCCTCCAGGGGTGATATCACATGTCAGCAGGTTCCGTGATGCCCCCTGAACCACAAAACCAGCAAGTTTTTATTAGGGATTTCAAAAGGGGAGGGGGGTATGAACAGGGAGTAAATCACAAAGATCACATTCTTCAAGGGGCAATAAAAGATTACAAGGGCAGAAGGGCAGAGTGAGATCACAAGGCCAGGGTGAAATTAGAATTACTGATGAGGTTCCATGTCCCACTGGGCATGCATTGTCTTGATAAACATCTTAACAGGAAGCAGAGTTCGAGACCAGACAACCAGTCTGACTAGAATTTGCCAGGCTAGAATTTCCTAATCCTAGCAAGCCTGAGGGCACTGCAGGAGACCCGGGCATATTTCATCCCTTATCTTCAACCGCATAAGACAGACACTCCCAGAGCGGCCATTTTAGAGACCTCCCCCTGGGAATGCATTCCTTTCCCAGGGCTATTCCTTGCTGGGAAAAGAATTCAGCAATATTTCTCCTATTCACTTTCTGCAAGAAGAGAAATATGACTCTGTTCTGCCTGGCCCCGCAGGCAGTCAGACCTTATGGTTATCTCCCTTGTTCCTTGAAAATTGCTGTTATCCTGTTATATTTCAAGGTGCCCAGATTTCATATTGTTCAAACACACATGTTTTACAAACAATCTGTACAGATAATGCAATCATTACAGCGTCCTGAGGCGACATACATCCTCAGCTTACGAAGATGACAGGATTAAGAGATTAAAGACGGGCATAGGAAATTATAAGTGTATTGATTGGGGAAGTGATAAATGTCCATGAAATCTTCACAATTTACGTTCAGAGATTGCAGTAATGACAGGCATAAGAAATTATAAAAGTATTAATTAGGGGAACTAATAAATATCCATGAAATCTTCACAATTTATGTTCTTCTGCCACGGCTTCAGCAGGTCCCTCCATTCGGGGTCCCTGACTTCCCACAACAGGTAAGAAATAGAAAAGGGAAGGCCCCCCTCCAGCTAGTTTTCTCCCTCACCATGAGGCTATTTTTTTGCCAGTTTTGTATCAACAAGTAGAAAATGGAGTCAGAATGAGATTTGTACTTTTGGGGACTCTGGCAGTGAGAAACAAAGTAGAATATTAGATAGGCTTAGATATCCTAGAGGAAGATTTCTAGGTTACAATTTGAAATGCACCAAAAACTTGTGTGGTGTTAATGAAACGACTCAACCACTCTGGGTGTCAGTTTCCTCACCTGTATAATGGGGATCTATGCCTACTTCATCAAGTTGTTGCCAGAGTTAAATTCACTATCTTTTTTTTTCTTCTTTCAGACAGAGTCTCGCTCTGTCGCCCAGGCTGGAGTGAAGTGGCACAGGCATGGGCCATCATGCCCAGCCTAAATTCACTAATATTTAAAAGTGGCTGTTACTGCAAGGGTCCACATCATTAATAAAATAGTATCAGATGCCAGGCGCAGTGGCTCCTGCCTTTAATCCTAGCACTTTGGGAGGCCAAAATGGGTGGATCACCTGAGGTCACGAGTTTGAGACCAGCCTGGCCAAAATGGGGGAAACCCCATCTCTACCAAAAATACAAAAATTATCCGGGCATGGTGGTGGCAGGCACCTGTAGTCCTAGCTACTCTGGGAGGCTGAGGCAGGAGAATCACTTGAACCTGGGAGGCAGAGGTTGCAGTGAGCCGAGATCCTGCCACTGCACTCCAGCCTGGGCAACAGAGCAAGACTCTATCTCAGAAAAAAAAAGTTATCAGACTTCAAAATACACAACAGAAATAATAATGAGACCAAAGACAAGATTCCCTGCTTCCTAAACAGTCCAGCAATACCCAGATGAGATGACTGACAAGTAAGTTGAATTCTTCACAGCTCCACTGGAGAGAATGAGCATAGGGGCTCCAGCAAGATAAGCACATGGCCAGTGTCCAGTGACTAGTCTGGTGAGGGTAGAATCCCTAAAGACCCTGTGAAATACAGTTACACAACAGCCTAACAGGAAAGAAGTGGAACAAACCAGGCAAGCCAGCAGATACTACCAGGAGTGGGTGAGCAGAGGAGAGTCAGAGCCACAAAATCTAACCAGAAGACACCAAATTGCAAGGAGCTTCTGCTCTATGCATAGCAGCTGTGGCTGCAACAGGACCAATCTTCTCAGATAGCTGCCGTTAGACAGCACACACCAAATATCAGTGCTTCTAAACACAGGTCCAAAGACTCTCCTCTCCATTAATCCTCATTTTAAAATGATGGATAGGCTCACATTACAACATTCCCTTTTGACACTTGTGGGCAAGAGTAATCAGACACCATTACCTAAAGAGGGAACAGGGACTAGGGCGAGAATACTGAGGGACTGGGGAGGGATGCATGCACTTTACCACACAGACCGTCCCTAGAGGCCCTACTGTTAAAAAGAGCAGAGACTGCCAGAGGCGGTGGCTCACGCCTGTAATCCCAGCACTTTGGGAGGCTGAGGCGGGTGGATCATCTGAGGTCAGGAGTTTGAGATCAGCCTGGCCAACATGGTGAAACCCTGTCTCAACTAAATATATAAAAATTAGCCAGGTGTGTTGGTGGGCACCTATAATCCCAGCTACTCAGGAGGCTAAGGCAGGAGAATCACGTGAACCCAGGAGACAGAGGTTGCAGAAAGCCGAGACTGCACCACTGCATTCCAGCCTGGATGACAAAGCAAGACTCCATCTCAAAAAACAAACAAACAAAAAGGGCAAAGCCCTAGTATTCTGCTGTTGTCTCCCTATACTTCCTCATCTTGCCACCTGCATAGATGACACATGGTTTCTCTTCCTTTCTTTACAAAGGCACGATGAACCCAGGTGTAATTAATCCTGAAGTAGTAAATTCTTTATAAGCTTCACAAGTACAGTAATAGAGTTCAATGGTCACAATCATGTTTTCCCTTTTTTGACAGTGTACCACATTCAAAAATCACAAATGAGAAACTATTGGAAGTGTGACATGAATGAACTATTACTTTCATGTAGATTAACAGCCAGATTTTTACAGATTAGATATAAAAACAAGAAAGCTGGTACCAACTTTGTGAAAGTAACTTTCTTCCTTCCTTTTTTTTTTTTTTCCTTCTGTTGCCCAGGCTGGAGTGCAGTGGTGCAATCTCTGCTCACTGCAACCTCTGCCTCCAGGTTCAAGCAACTCTCCTGCCTCAGCCTCCTACGTAGCTGAGATTATGGGCACATGCCACCATGCCCAGCTCATTTTTGTATTTATAGTAGAGACAGGATTTCACCATGTTGGCCAAGCTGGTCTCGAACTCCTGGCCTCAGGTGATCCACCCACCTTGGCCTCCCGAAGTGCTGGGATTACAGGCCTGAGCCACTGCCCTGGCTGAAAGTATCTGTTTCTGAGGACATAGGATTTTAGGGACATCAATTATTAAGAGGCTACATGGAAGCAGAAGTGCTCCTGGATGTTTCCACTATCTAGACAAAAAATTTCAACACATCAGTCCCAGCAAGTTTAGTTACATCCCTGACTGCTGTAGGTGATGAGCATTCCATCCAAAGCAGAGATGTTAAACTTCATAGGTTTCAAATGACTTCCAAGTGATCCACACCTTGAAAGTTTCTCCCACAAAGCTGGAGCGCCATCTGTTCTGGAGAGAGCTGGTCACCATCCACGTCTTTGAGACACTGGCCAGTCAGGTCTAAGGTGAGATGAGGCCCATGGTTACACGTGTAAAATATCAAAACAATCATCATGTTTAGGTTGATTTTTTGGAGGCCTAGATCCGTAAATGGGTAGGTGAAAATGGCCCACCAGACACATGCCTGGAAATATTGGGGCTTTCTCCTCTGCTTTTAGCAGATCCCAGTGTGCCAATAATTACTGTCCCTCATGTCTCAACTTTCACTTCCACGAAAAAGGGGTCAGTGAGGTCGACATTTTCACCAAACCACAGCCCATGTTACCCACTGCAAAGCTCAAGTTGTTTACGGGCGGCCCAGGCAGCAAATTTCTCCCAAATGCTGCTGAACTGGAGCTCTGCCTGGAGTAAGCAGAGGCCAGTGGCACAATGTACAATGTCTCAGACAGACATCAGGCCAGTTTCCGTAGTACTTTAGGAAAGCAGGCGGCTCCCTGGGCTGGAGGCGGCGCGATGTCATGGAAAGACCAGCGGGTAAGGATAAAGAGAGGAAACCGAGCTGCTCAGTCGGAGGTGGGACCTGCCAGATTTAGGCAAAAGCGAGGTGTACTTAGAAGAGTCACACCTTTCTCACTGTCCAGCCCAGATTTATCCCTCATATCCCTCTCCAAACTCACTCCCCATGGAGAGAAAGGCAGCAGGTGGTGAGCGGGCACCACTGCTTTGCCAGGTCCACACCACCCTGCCCCTCCCACTGAGCCCGGTGCCTGCTGGAATTGTAGTCCTGCAGCCAGGCGACCAAAGAGCCGGGAGTCGTTAAGAGACTACAACGCCCCGCATGCCCGGCGAGGTGCGCAGCGCCCTGCCTCTCTCTCTCTAATGGCTGTGCCCCAACCCCGAGCCCGGAGCATGCTGGGATTGTAGTCCTGTAGTCCTGCAAACAAGGGGCTGGGAGCGGTTAAGAGACTACCACTCCCAGGCCAGGCGCGGTGGCTCACGCTTGTAACCCCAGCACTTTGGGAAGCCGAGGCGGGCGGATCATGAGGTTAGGAGATCGAGACCATCGTGGCTAACACGGTGAAACCCCGTCTCTACTAAAAATACAAAAAAGTTAGCCTGGCGTGGTGGCGGGCGCCAGTAGTCCCAGCTACTCGGGAGGCTGAGGCAGGAGAATGACGTGAACTCGGGAGGCGGAGCTTGCAGTAAGCCGAGATCGCGCCACTGCACTCCAGCCTGGGCGACAGAGCTAGACTCCGTCTCAAAAAAAAAAAAAAAAAAAAGAGACTACCACTCCCAGCATGATGCGCGTCCCCAGGGCTTCGCCCGCCCCCAGCCCTGCGAAATAATACTGTCGCTTTGTCACTAAGGGGCTAGGAGCGATTAAGAGAGTACAGCTCCCAGGATGTACGGCGATGGCACCCGTTTCAACTCCGCCCCTCTGAGCGTCTAGAGCGGTTCCCCCATGCGGAGGAGGTCCTGGCTGTTCCGAAATCTCGCCTGCCTGCGGGGAGCAAGCATGGCCTGGGCAGCAGATCTCAACCTGTGATTGTGACATCATCGCCCCTACCTGAAATGCCGGCTTCTTGGGCGGAAGTTTGATTTTTCACAAATCTGCAAGGGGCAAGGAGCCTCTCACAGCCTGCTCATTGTTACGTAGTTAGGTTTACCCTCCCGCAGCTCAGCTCAGCGCACATCTTTTCTTTCCTTATCCCGTCCTTTCCCTCATCCCTGCCTACCCCGCTTCTGACATGCATAGTGCAGCTTCTCCGTAAAGGTGGAGCTAATGACCCGTGGGCCTAGCAGTTGTTAGGCCTTTTGGGAGCTCACGATGGGAGCTCCCTGGTAAGTGAAACCGTCAATTCACTGCCTAAAATGACAATACCCCATCTCTGGTATCTTTGCACTTGCCTCTTCAAAGCCACCTTTTCCTTTTTCTGTGTATGGACTGTCACAAATCCTCTGCACCCCAAGAACACCCCATTGGATTTCCGGGCTGGCTGCTTGGGCTACACACCTGGGTCAGGCCTCTCGCAGGGATGCTCCTGCCACTGTAATAAAGAGGAGAAAACGTCACAGGGGAAAGGCCTGACTCCTTCGTACAGTCAGGAAACTCAGCCTCACAGAGAAGGGACCCCTCTCTTATTTTCGGAGTCCAAAATAAGCCATTTTGGGAGCCACATCCACCACTTTTGTGACTCCCACACAGGTTGGTTCCCAGGAATCAGGTGTCTTAGTGTTAATACGGGCCAATAGGACAAAACAGGACCCTTGGTCCTTCACAAAACATTAGGAATATTTGTGTACTGAGGTAATGTACAATGTCTTTTTGCCCTGAATAGGGCTCCCTTAGAAACTCTTTTAATAATCATTTTTAAATATCACTCTGGAACCACTTTTAGTAATTTGCTGAAGGAACATCACAGTAATATCTTAATTCTTAAATATCTTAATTCATCCCATGTTTTTCTTTTAGTTTTTCAAATTAACTCTAAGTAATTCATACTGTACATTTCCGAAATTGAAGTACACACAGCTTTAATTCTCTGCAGGGAGGATGCAGCAGGAGAGAATATCCTGGGCACATCTTTCTGGAGAATCATTTTTACTATAAGATTTGTAAGAAACAAATTTATTTCCAAAGTAAGAAATTAAAACTCTAAAACAAGGCTAGAAAGTCATCTGCCTTTAATAACCCTTAGTCATCTATGCCTGATATGTGAGACTTTCTCCAAGATAAAAACTCTCAAGAATAACCTATTTTCCATCATTATAAATAGTAAAAATTAGAAATCATAGAAAGTCAATTGAAAGCCCTGTCCTGCCAGTTTCTTAAATCACAATATGGCCTATGGCCTTGGTATGGTTTTACTTGGATTTTTTTTCTGGGATTTGTTGACTTTGCTTGGATATAAAAATTGGGGGTTTTGGCCTGTAATCCCAGCACTTTGGGAGGCCGAGGCAGGCGAATCACGAGGTCAGGAGATCGAGACCATCCTGGCTAACATGGTGAAACCTCATCTCTACTAAAAATACAAAAAATTAGTCGTGTGTGGTGAGGGGCACCTGTAGTCCCAGCTACTCAGGAGACTAGGCAGGAGAATGGTGTCAACCCGGAAGGCAGAGCTTGCAGTGAGCTGAGATCGCACCACTGCACTTCAGCCTGGGCAACAGAGTGAGACTCCATCTCAAAAAAAAACAAAAAAAAAAAACAACAAAAAAAACAAAACTTGGGGGTTTTGACCAATAGTTTTCAGCTATTAGTTGTTACTTTTGTACCGCATTTATTGGTAAGACTGTCCATTTTCTTCAAACTTTTTTTACTCTTTTTTTTCAGATTCAGTAATTTCTATTGTTCTGTCTTTTTCTAATCTATGAATCAACCTAAAAGTACTATTTTAAAATTTCATTATCTTTCTATTTGGTTCTTTTTAATAATGTGCATTTCTTGCTGAGATTCCACATGTATTCATTCATTATGAGAACGTTTTTTCTTCACCCCATGACTATAGTTTTAATGGCTGCTCTCAAATACTTGACTGCTGATAACAACATCTTGGACGTTTTGGGGATAGCTTCTAATGCCTGTGTTTCGTCTTGTGCATGAATTACATTTTGTGTTTCTTCTCATGTCTCTTAAATTTTAAAATTGTATTTTGAAAACTATAAATAATACTTACAAAGACTCTGGATTCTGTTGTATTCCTTTGAAGATTGTTGTTATTTTTTGAAGAGGGAGTTAATTTGGCTGGATTCAAATTCAGATACCCTTCTCCCTTTCAGTGGGCACAGCTAAAATTCTCATTCAGTTCTTATCTGTACATATATCCTATGTATGATATATAGATGTGTGTTTCTATATAACAATATATGACATTGTATCCAGATTTTACCATTGTTATTTGTAAGAGTATTGTTCAACAAGCTACTCCACCATTACTGAAAGCCAAAACTTCAATTTTATATTCTTTTTGGATTTTACATAAATGGCATTATATAGTATGTATATTTTTACATCTACTTTCTTTTGTACATCACATTTGTAATATTCATCAGTGTTGCTGCAGATATTTAAACACTGAGATTACAGGCATAAGCCAACATGTTCAGCCTATAATATTTTAGGAGGCTAAGGTAGGAGGATCACTTGTGGCTGGGAATTTTAGACCAGTCTGGACAATATAGTGAGACCCTCTCTCTACAAAAAAATTAAAAATTAGCCAGGCATGGTGGCATGTGTCTGTCATTCCAGCTACTCAGATGGCTGATGCAGAAAAATCAATTAAGCCCATGAGTTCAAGGCTGCAGGAAGTGATGATTACAATCCTGCACTCCAGTCTGGGTAACAGAGCAAGACTGTCTCCTAAAAAATATATATATAAAAATTTAAAAGAATTTTATACATGATGTTAAATTACACATAAAACTAACTATTTTAACTATTTTAAAGGTTTCAGTTGACATGAATTAAGGACACTCATTAATTTGCTACCATAATTTCCATGTATAAAAAGCATTTTCCATTTTTTGAAACTGAAACTGTACCCATTAAACAACAGCTCCTTGTTATTCTCCCTCTAGCCCCTGGGAAACACTCTCCTACTTCGTGTTTCTATGGATTTACTCTTAAGTACCACACATGAGAGGAATCATATAGTAAAGAAATCATGAGGAAGAATGATAAAAACGTATCACATGCTTATTAATTTTGAATAAAAACACCAACAGAGATCAGTAGTACATGGTGATTATAAATAAACAGATAAATGAGAAAAAGGAATTGGCAGTGTGCATTGTATTTATGACAATGGGGCCTCAAGTACCATAGTAGTGAGTCCTCTGCCCCAGTCACAGGGCTGTTCAGTGGTGGAGCTGGAAGCCCAGTGTAGCTGTCTGACACCCGGATCCCATGCCTAGCCCAAATGTCACTGAGCTCTAAGGTACTTTCCTCCTGCTGGTCCAGGCACTCAGTGTTCCCTAAGATTTATCATGGCATGTTCTCCATGGCCAGGAGGGTGGTGTTGCTGGACTACTGGGATAAGAGATCCAGCTGGCAGGCAGGTTGTAGCTACAGTACAGAGGCAGATGTGAGGCTAGTAGAATCCATATCCCTGGCCTCCTTCCCAGTGCCTGCCCAGCTGGAGTGCTGGGTCCCAGGGGTCATCATGCAGCAGGGCCTGACACTGACCAGGGAGCCATGGCCACAGGCTCTTGGCAGCTGGCCCAAAACAAATATTCTCCATGCCCTCTGACAATCTGCTAGACCCTCACCTCTCAGTCTTACTGAGCCACTCCATTAACTGGAGGCAGACCCAAAATTGCCCCACAGGCTGAAGGTGATAATTGTCTGCAGACAGCTGAAGCAGCTGCATCTCCTGGAAGACTTTGATCTCCTGCAGCTAAAGGGAAGGACAAGTGGAAGATGTGGACAGGAGGTTCCAGGAGACAGGGATTATGAGATTTCAGGGGACAGGCCTTGAATGGACACCCAAAAGTGAGTACTTATCCCCATTACCACCCGATGGCACAGGGTGTTGCCTCCATCCTGGGCACATTTTCCAGTTATCTGGTGATGGGAGACCCTGCCAGAAAGGATTTTGTGGATGGGAGTGAGCCTGGGATGGGCAGGGCTGGAACCAGGATCCTGAGGCTTGGGAGAAGAGAATCCAGGATTACATCCTTAGATCTCAGCACTTGGCAAACCTCCTCTCATGAGAGCCTCACGGCTGCCTCTGTGAACTGAGGCTTCAGGCCTATGAATCTATGAATCTTCCCTATGAATGTTGAAGACTCCACATCAGCCGCCAGTCCCTGTTCTCTAAGTGGTGAAGCTGCAGAGCTGCCTGCTTGCAAAGCCCAGTGAGGTTTGGCCTGAGCTGGACTCAGACTCTCCCTCAGGTGGTGCCAATGGAAGGAGAGTAAACTTCCTACTAACCGGACCTGGGTGAAAAATGTTGAAGGGAACTTGTGGGGAAGAGAGGTAACGGGCTGTTTTCTGGGGCTTTTCTCTTAAGGGCCTCTTCCTGTTCTCTAATGCCAGGCAGCCCCAACCTATTTTCAGAGTTGGATACAGACAGCCCCTCCTCCAGGAACTGGTTTTTGATTTCAGTCCCCTACTCACACCCTCCATTGTGATGGGTCTCTTTATCTGTGTATCAAACCTTTTCAATAAATCTAAGATGCAGAGGATGGAATCTAAATCTGAGATTGCAGAGGCTCCATCCTCTGCATCTTAGATTTACTGAAAAGGTTAAGCTGGGTGCAGTGGCTCATGCCTGTAATCCCAGCGCTTTGGGAGGCCAAGGCAGGTGGATCACTTGAGGTCAGGAGTTCAAGACCAGCCTGGCTAACATGGTGAAAACCCATCTCTACCAAAAATATAAAAAATTAGCCAGATGTGGTGGTATGCACCTGTAATCCCAGCTACTCATGAGGCTGAGGCAGGAGAATCGCTTGAACCCGTGAGGTGAAGGTTGCAGTGAGCAGAGATCATGCCACTGTACTCCAGTCTGGGCAACAGAGCAAGACTCTATATCAAAATAAATAGATAAATAAGTTAGATACACAGAGTATTCTCCCCAGGGGCATCTGTGAGTTTTACCTCTCCACTCTCCCCCAGTGTTGCCCCAGCTACTCACCTTCCTTTTTTTTTTTTTTTTTTTTTGGTGTTATTCACATTTCCCTGGAAGTCAGACAGCCAGTGTTCATTAGAAAGGCCCCTTAGACCCTTAGACTAGGTCCCCTCCCCACTCCCTTCATACTGCATTACTGCCAGGGCCACCAGGGTCAGGGCATGTGCACAAAGCAGGAGTTGGGTCTGCAGCAGGTTCTGGGGTTCAAAGAACAGAACAATGGGAGCTGAGGCTCAGGGACCTCCCGCCCCAACTCTCTCTGATGACAGAAAAACTGGAGGCTCCCATTAAAAAAGTGCTCAGGCTTATATGAGCTGCCTGCCCTTAGAGAGGTCTAAGTTTACTCTCCTTCCATTGGAACCACCTGAGGGAGAGTCTGAGTCCAGCTCAGGCCAAACCTCACTGAGCTTTGCAAGCAGGCAGCTCTGCAGCTTCACCACTCTGGGAACAGGGACTGACGGCTGATGTGGAATCTTCAACATTCATAGGGAAGAGGGGCCTGATGCCTCAGCTCACAGAGGCAGCCGTGAGGCTCTCATGAGAGGAGGTTTGCCAAGTGCTGAGATCTAAGGGTGTAGTCCTGGATTCTCTTTTCCCAAGCCTCAGGATCCTGGTTCCAGCCCTGCCCATCCCAGGCTCACTCCCATCCATATAATCCTTTCTGGCAGGGTCTCCCATCACCAGATAACTGGAAAATGTGCCCAGGATGGAGGCAACACCCTGTGCCATCGGGTGGTGATGGGGATGAGTATCCAATTTTGGGTGTCCATTCAAGGCCTGTCCCCTGAAGTCTCATAATCCCCTGTCTCCTGGACCCTCCTATCTACATCTTCCACTTGAAAAAGCCAAAGACACTCAGCTGCCTCTCCCCAACTCTCTCCCCTCCTCCTAGCTGGCCTCCAAAAACATGAACCCCCATGTTCCCATGTTAACTCTGTGGTGAGATTTTTACAAGTCACAATGTTATGTGGTCCCTGCCCCCACTATTTCCCAAATCCAGCTCTTCCAGGCTTTTACTCAGATTTGTCTTATAGAGGCATTTCAGGGACTGTTGCCACAGGAGGGAAGGGCTACGGGAGAAAGGCCCCTTGCTCTTTTGATGTGGAGGCCTCCGGCTGTGAGGGAGGAGCTCTTCCCTCTGACTCCCTGGAGCTCCTCCCCATCACAGGGACACTGCCTTTTTGCTGCTTTAGCCTCATCTGGCCTCTCTGTGGTTTCGTCTCCAGGGTGGCCAACGTGGATGTCTTCATCTGCCAGAGTCAAAGAAAAGGTCAGTGATACTATGCTCCCTTCACCCAGTTATGCCCAGTTACACTGACCTGGTATCCTGGATAACTGGTGTGAGTAAGCTGGTCCAATGCTCCTGTCATCTCCAGTAAGTTCTGATTCTAGATTGACTCCCTGCTCCAACACTCCCTGTATGTGGAACCTTGGGCATGCAGCCAGGCCTCCCTGAGACTGTTTTCTCAACTTGAAAGTGTGATGGGAACCACCTACCTCACTGGGCCTTGTGAGGACTCAGTTATATGTAGCTGTCACCATTGTTCTCATCATCTCAGGAAGAGCCAGGCACAAGCACTCTCAAAGTTCTTTTCTCCTTTGAAGCTCATCATTAGCCCCTCTCAGTCTCATCATCCCTACATTTTTTGGATAAGAAAACAGAGGCCCAAAGAGGGCAGTGACTTGCCCAGGGCCCTAGAGAAGAGGCCGGCTCCTTCCCACACCTGGAGGCACTGACCCAGCTGACTTTACCCCACAGCCCAGCACTATCCCTGACTAGGGTCCCATCTTCGTTCTCCATGCTTGTTTAGGTCCTCAGGCAGGCTCAGCTTTGGTGGGAAAGAAACAGGGTGTTTTGGGAGGTCTGGGTGAGTGGCACTAACCAATCTGCTAGGCCCTCACCTCTCAGTCTCACTGAGACACTCCATTAATTGGAAGCAGACCCAAAATTGCTTCACAGACTGAAGGTGATAATTGTCTGCAGCCAGCTGGTGCAGCTGCATCTCCTGGAGGACTTTGATCTCCTGCAACTAAAGGGAAAGACAGGATGCTGAGACAGGGCCTGCAGCATACACATAACTATAATTCAGAAATTGATATACACACACGTAAATATAATCAGAAAGTGATATAATCTTATATACAACGTTAAATACAAATGTCCCTCAGGCAGGGCCAGGCCCCCAACACAAGGAGAAATCGCTGCCTGAACATGCTGCAGGCAAAAACCTGTCACTCTTTCCTCATTCAGCCCAGTGTCTCATTACATCTCCTGTCGATCAGGGTCTAAATGTGTGGGGCGGAGAACCCCAGCCAATCAGTGGTGCTAGCGTGAAAACTGCCCAATCAGGTGCGCAGCTAGAGAGGAAGAGGCGGGCTCTTCAATATGGCAAGGCCTTCGTCTCCTAGCTTCTAGGCTCTGAGTCCAGTACCCGTCTGTACTATTCCATCTCTTCCGCTCCATTAGCTCCTCGGTGACTCCACCATAGCCCCTGTTATCCTGTGACCTGCAGGTACTGGGAGATCCATAGGGAAGAAGGCGGAACATCCGGAGGCTGGGAAATGGTGAGTGCGCGGAGTGGGTGTCCCGAGAAGGGGGAAGAGGCTGTTTGAATCCGGTCGGAACTGGCTGCGGTGGGATCTTGGCCTCGCGGTCAGCTCTGCAGCAGCTCCGAGTCCCCGTGGGCACAGTTCAGTCCTCACTTCCCTCCGTCGCAGATTAGGAGCTGAGCCTGCAGCCAAAACCCGAGCGTCTTGTTTTGTCCATAAACGCGAATTTCTTTCCAGCCCAGAGACTTTTTGGGCAGCTCTGTGTCGCAATCCCGAGTCTCCTCCAGATTGTGCGGGGACGTCATAAGACGAGAATCCTCATTCAGGGTCTGGAGTTCCTCCGTGGAAGAAGCAGTGGGCCTTGGGGTCCCCAGTCCCTCCTTTCTCCTTTTAAAAATTGTGGCTTATTTTATTTATTTATTTTGGAGACAGTGTCTCACTCTGTGCCCAGGCTAAAGTGCAGTGGCAAGATTTCGGCTCACTGCAGCCTCCACCTCCTGGGCTCAGATGATCCTCCCACCCCAGCTCCCCAAGTAGCTAGGACTAGGGAGACATGCGCCGCCACCTCGCCTGGTTTTGTGGTTTTGTTTTTTGTTTGTTTGGTAGAGACGGGTTTTTGCAATGTTGCTCAGCCTGGTCTCGAACTCCGGAGCTCAGGTGATCCGCCCCCCTCGGGCCTCCTAAAGTGCCGGGATTACATGCATGAGCCACTGTCGTAGCCTAAATTGAGGCATCTTTAGGATATAGTTTCGAAGTGTTTTCCAGCCCAACTCTCCTATTTAAATGTAATACCCCATGTTGGAGGTGGGGCCTGGTGGAAAGTGTTTGGATTATGGGCGTGAATTTCTCATGAATAGTTTAGCACCATTCCTCTTGGTATTGACCTCTCGATAGTGACTGAGTTCCCTGAAGTTCTTATTTAAAAGTGTATAGCAACCCCCTTGCCTTCTTTTCAAGCTCCTGCTTCACCTTGCACCAGGATTTTAAGCTTCCTGGGTGGGGCCCCCCCAGAAGCAGATGCTGGTGTTATGCTTTCTGTACAGCCTGTGGAACCATGAGCCAGTTAATCCTCTTTCTTATAAATTACCCAGTCTGAGGCATTTATAGTAATGCCAGAACCGATTAATACAAACAGTTTATTTGCACAAACAGCAATTTATGAATCAGAGAATATCCAACTATGGTTTGGGGGCTCAAAGGAGAGACTTGGAACAAAAGGCTTTTGTAAGAGGTATGAGGAAGCAAACCAGATTCAGTATTTGATTGGTTACAGTTATGTATTGCATTTGCACCCATCCGGTGGAAATGTCCTGGTTATGTACTTAGAGCTTTATTGGCAGCTTGTGGTTGGTTAAGCCTAAGTTTTGTGTTTTTTTTTTTTTTCTCAAAGTTAGTAATTTGTAAGAAATTCTTTCGACGTAGTTAGGTTTCCTTAGGCAGAATCCCAGAGCATCATGGCCATTTCAGCCTAATTGCCAGCTATTTAGTTATTTTAATGCTCTACAGGGTCCTTGGTTTTGTCTGCAATTTTCAAATGTTTGGCAAGCAGGGTCTCAAATCCAAAACTTCTCCCAGCCTAACTGTTATAGGGACTGTAGAAAATTCTACATTTCCAATTTCTTTCCCACATTCCCCAATGCCGACTATCCCTGTCCAGATCACATTATCAACTATTAGTCCTTTATTTAATTTCAAAACGGACGTGGCATTTTAATTGTTTATTTTTGTTTAAGAGAGCAGTAGGTGGCTCTTTTTAATTTCGTCTGTTCGTGAACATTTCACATAACAGGAAAGCAGAGAGTAATCACCTGACGCTCTGCGCATCTCCTCTCATCTTCTCTAGGCACGCGCGCCTTCCCAGCATGTCTTTGGATCCTTTGCAGGGTGATGTGTCCTCAGTCACTCTCCTGTATTTTCCTGGTTCCAAGTATTACAGCTTTCTGGGGATGATCCAAGATACCCACAAGGACCATGTCTCTTGGAGTGTCTAGCAAACATTAGCCCCTGGGTCATCTCCTTTCAGAGAAGAGCCTGAGGTATTGGGTGGAGCCTCTCAGGGGAGCAGCTGGATGCCCTCGTGCTGAGAGCAGTTTCCTGATACACCCTTCCTCTAAAAAGCTAACTGCTTTAACATTAAGATTTTTTTCCCTCTCAACCCTAGCTTTCCTTTCTGCAGACACATTGGTGCTCAACCAATCAGGTGCTGGTATTGAGGGAAAA
This sequence comes from Homo sapiens, assembly GCF_000001405.40. Taxonomy (NCBI): domain Eukaryota; kingdom Metazoa; phylum Chordata; class Mammalia; order Primates; family Hominidae; genus Homo; species Homo sapiens. Next base: position 64,047,830 of record NC_000007.14, read on the forward strand.
AGGCACAAATGCATCTTGCCCTCTGGTTTCTCTCAGGCTTGTGAAGGAGAATAACTGTCCCAAAGTATAGGAAAGACCCACCCTAGTGAGGGCGTGTATAAATTTGCAAAGCAAAATACACATCTGCCACACAGGGGGCAAGTGCAGTGTCTTTTGGGAGAGTGATGATCAAGTACTTTAGTGAGCAGAATGGGGGTGGGAGAATCTCTCAAGTGATTGACACATGAGTCTAAAACATCTGTGTTCCAGTCAGCACTACTTCACCCCGTGTTTGTTGCCTTGAATATATATGTTCAGTTATTTCAACTTCAGTTTTTCATTAATTGTAAAATGGATTTTATCATTAGAGCTTGAAAGATTAAAAAAAACCACAAATGTTTTCTAAGAGAAAAGAGGTAGATTTCAGAAAAAAAATAGTTTATATTCCATTGGTTAAAAATTCTCATTTACCTTTTATGTATTGCACAGTGAATGTAGTAAGATTCTGAGGTCTGTTCTGTTTTAGCATGATTTCAAACAGAATCCCAGGGCTTAGCTTTGGGAATGCTACCTGGGAAAAGACAGAGGAAATGTCTGTCTCATGATGGTTGCAGAAAAATAAATACATTTTTACAAGAAAGTGTGGTAGATTAACACGTAAATTACAAACATTCATGAAAACATCAGTTTCTGTCTCGTGCAGAGTGGAGAATTTGTGGTAGTGGGCAACTCATTATTTTTTAGAAAAATTTCTACTTCATAGGAAATATTTATGTGTACACAATAAAAAAGTATTTGCCACTATACATACATATCTTTGCTCAGGTAATACGTAACCTAAAGCAATATGATTGTCTAGTATAATTGTAGCCAGTAAATCAGTAGCTTTTTTTGTTTTTAAGCTGCAATGGATGCAACAATTTTATCAGTAATTCTTTCTAAGCTTATAAAAATATTTTAAATCATATGTTCATGGGAAGTGACACCTCACCAAGGCAAAAGCATTTTTTCCAATAAAATGCATGAAGGTGTTCTTTGAAAGCCAGGCAGATAATTAGCAGATTTTTTTCAAACAGAATCTTCATCTAAAACAGATTGGTGGCCAAGCCTGCAGAAAGTTAGAGAGAATTTGTCCAGTGCTGGGTTTTTGCAGAGCTATGTATGGAGAGGGCGGTGACCAAATATTCTAAAAGATATTGGTCTTCAATTTAGTGGCACAGGTATTGGCCAAGAAAATCTAATATGGTTCCTTCCAACAAATTTGAAGTAAATCTTTTTCTTCATAAAAATCTTGTTTAAAAAAGAAAATCAAATTTTATTCTTGTATTATTATATTATTATTAAAGCTAATTTTAAGAAAACCTTATAAACAGATGTATTCAGTCTCAGTCAGCTGACCATACAAGATAAGATTTCTAGAAACATTTTATAACCCCTTAAAATTTTCTTTATTCTCTTTCTCCAACTTTATATATCCATTGAATTTACCTCATTTTCTTTATCTTTTATTCTTTCAATTTTATGTATTCTTTAACCTCTAAACCCAGCAAGATTGCCTTCTCTTTAAGAAAAACCACATCCTCTTGTCTCTTTCTAAAATAATTTTTTTCACCAAGAAACACATCTTATTTTCCTTGTACACTCTGTATGTAAAATTGTTTCTCTCCTTAACAATAGTTTTAGTTATTATATCTTAGCCAGAATTTTAATTTTTAGTAATCTGAATATATAGTGAAAGCCTGAGAAGTAAGCAATTTTAACTATTAGTCATGTAGTAAACATTTAGAAATATATATTTTATAATTTTTAGAAACATAGGATTTTAAATGGAAACATTTTTAATGTGGAATAGGACATACTAACAGATCTAAATATCTTTTGTTTCTGTGAAGAAACCAAAAATATTTAGCTTAAACTTATATTTAAAAATTAATATCTTAGCATTTTATCTTATTTAGAGATAATCTAGATGTTTAATGAATAGCCATTATTTAATGTAGGTTAGCAACAATCTAAGATTATAGTTTCCATAAAGATTTGAGAAACTATTTAAACACATTACAAAACAATTAGTATTGTAAGTTTTAAGCTTTTGTCCCATTTACATCTGTTTTATTTATTTATTCTTAATTATTTTTGTAAAATCTCATGAAACATTAGACTAATACACTCATCTGAAGTTAAACTTTCTATTATCCATTTTTGTATTACTGTATTGGACAAGTTATAAAAGCAATAAACTTTCTACATATATATATTTTTCTATATATATATATTTCGCTGAGAAGTCAGAAGACACTGTTTTTTATTAAATCAACAAACTAGTCATATTTGCCAAAAGATTTACTCAATTCACATATTCTTGAAAAATATTTGGGCTTTTTTTTTAATTCATGAAAACTTATTTATCTTTAATTTAGTACCATGTAGATAATATACAAACACATTTATAGACATATACATACATGTAGACCCAAAATATAACTTACTCATGTTTGTATCTAACAGCCCTAGAGAGGGAGTTCATTGTAAAAGGGAGTAGAGCTTCAGGCCCCAAAAAAACCTGTTTACCCACAACTTCCGGGGCTTCATGAGGAAAAACAGGTACCCTGCCAAAGAAGGAGAAGCCTGTGGCGCTTTATCTGTGTTCTTCAAGGGGTCCCAGGCTGCTAGAAGTTTCCTTTAGGTGTCCTCCTTAGTGACAAAAGGTTTTAAGTGGAAGATGAGAAAGATAGAAGTAAATGGAAGAATTAATTCTAGATGAGACAGTTTGAGATTTTGTTTTCCAAACAGCCAGTAAAGTTTTACATTATCCTTGGCAAAAATCATGTCAGCAAGAGAAGAAACAGGCACATAGAGATACCAGTTTAGGGAGAGAGAAATTCAGTTGACAAAAGACCTTATATGAAAAAACCATAGGCCTCAAATTTATGTATGTATAATATGTGTGTGTATGTATGCATATGTATGTGTGTGTGTGTGTGTGTGTGTGTGTGTGTGTGTGTATGTATGTATATATAGCCTGATTGTCAATTTTAAATAAATGGACTTTTGACTGTAGAGCTTTTAAGTTTTTTAAATTTAGATTTTACCCACGTAAATAGAAAACATTTCTTTACTTTTTCTTTCTAAAATTTACATCAAGAAGAAATTTTGGAGATGGGACATTTTTGTTTATTGGAGGTATAGAGTGATCACTATTTAAAGCTGTATTTAAAATATTTAAAACTATTTAATATTTGAACATTTATCTTTGGAATTTTTGAGTAAATAGTTTTCTTTTTTCCAAACCACAGTATACAGTTTTATTTAGTCCTGGAGAGGAGACTAAACAAACAAAGCAACAAAAGTTTCCATTACACTCTAAACATAAACTGAAATTTTAAGTTGAAGGCATATCTGAACTAGTGACTAAAAACCAACACATTCATGAGGCCAAATCCAAGAAATCCTGTATGACTTTAAAACTTCAGAGAAAGAACAAAAAAAATTGTAGCTCTGGTATAATCAAAACTTCTCCTAAGCACAGCTTACCGCAAATGGGGTACAATCTATATTTTCAGGTCGTATTTTCTAGTATCTCAGCTTCTCAGCTTACCATCTGCCCACAAAGGCCAGACACAAGATTTTAAGAAATGGTTGGTAAAACAGGAGAAAAAAAGCTGTCTATGGGAGTAGACAAGTTTACAAATGTGTACTCCAAAAGATCAAGAGTAATAATAAAATAATAAAAACAAATACATTATTAATTAATTATTATGTGGGTAATGTTTTTTGCCTAAGCTAGAGATATTCACTGAAATAAAATTTTGAGGTTTGGTCTAAAAAACTTCAATTTTTTTTTCCCAATTTGATCTTAGCTGGAATGCTGTTTTGCTAATTCTCTGGATGTTAACATTTCAAATACATGGTAAGATTTACGTCTCCTAGAGACTGAGAAAAGACTGGAAAAAGTTAAAGTATGTATTGTAAAATGTACTTTGAAATCTCTTACTAGAATTTAGCCAGGCAAAACAGAAAGAAGGCCTTTCATTAAATTTCATTCTAAAACCTGCCTTTTCCAATTGTGCATGGAAATATATTGATTTAGAACTGTCAAAAGACCTTCATTTTTGTCATTGCATTTTGGGGTCATCTGAAGTCATGTCGGTCCATTTACCCAGGCATTTGCAAGGTGAAGCTCCATAGGTATTATACATAAGTTCAGCTTATGTTTCTAAGGGATGTTACCTAGAAGGAAAGGCATGGTTTTGATGATCAGTTTTCCATAATTTAGAAACTTTTCAAAGGTGATCATGGCCAGAGCAGTGTACCAGGTCTAAGTGTGCTGTGTATGAGCATCACTCCTCAAGGTGTCACCCAAGAGTTGGTGATTATAGTGCTGGGTGAGCAATGCTTATGTTTACCTTCCAGCTTAGCTAAAAGTCTCTGCAGGTGTTTTTCTTTTGGGAAGACCCTGTGATACTGGTACACATCACTGAAACTCATCCTAACACCTCCAGATAGTGAATAGGTCTCATGAGATCTGATGGTTTTTTAAACAGGAGTTCCCCTGGACAATTTCTCTCTCTTTTTTTTTTTTTTTTTTTTTGCCTGCTGCCATCCACATAAGATATGACTTGCTCCTTCTTGCCTTCCACCATGATTGTGAGGCCTCCCCAGCCAGATTGCGCAGGCAGAAGTTTGATGCAGGGGTGTGGCCCTCCTCATGGAGAACATCTGCTAGAGCAGTCCAGGAGGGAAATGTGGGGTCAGAGCCCCCACACAAAGTCCCTACTGGGGCACTGCCTAGTGAAGCTGCAAGAAGAGGGCTAGTGCCCTCCAGACCCCAGAATGGCAAATCCACTGCAGCTTGCACCGTGCACCTGGAAAAGCTGCAGACACTGGATGCCAGCCTATGAAAGCAGCCAGGAGGGGGGCTATACCCTGCAAAGCCACAGGGGCGGAGCTGCCCAAGGCCATGGAAGCTCACTTCTTGCATCAGTGTGACCTGGATGTGAGACATGAAGTCAAAGGTGATCATTTTGGAGCTTTAAGATTTGACTGTCCTGCTGGATTTCAAACTTGCGTGAGACCTGTAGCCCCTTTGTTTTGGCCAATTTCTCCCATTTGAAGTGGCTGTATTTACCCAGTGCCTTTACCCCCATTGTAACTAGGAAGTAACTAACTTGCTTTTTGATTTTACAGGCTCGTAGGCAGAAGGGACTTGCCTTGTCTTGGATGAGACTTTGGACTGTGGACTTTTAAGTTAATGCTGAAATTAGTTGAGACTCTGGGAGACTGTTGAGAAGGCATGATTGATTATGAAATGTGAAGATACGAGATTTAGGAAGGGTACGGGGCAGAATGATAGGGTTTGACTGTGTCCCCACCCAAATCTCATCTGGAAGTCCCACATGTAGGAGGGACCTGGTGGGAGGTAATTGAATCATGGGAGCAAGTCTTTCCCATGCTGTTCTCCTGATAGCGAATAAGTCTCATGAGATCTGATAGGTTTTTTGTTGTTGTTGTTGTTGTTGATTTTTCTTTGGAGACAGAATCTCACTCTGTCCCCCAGGCTGGAGTGCAGTGGCACAGTCTCGGCTCACTGCAATCTCCGCCTCCTGGGTTCAAGCGATTCTCCTGCCTCAGCCTCCTGAGTAGCCAGGATTACAGGTGTGTGCCATTATGCCCAGGTAAATTTTGTATTTTTAGTAGAGATGGGGTTTCACCATGTTGGTCAGGCTGGTCTCAAACTCCTGACCTTGTGATCTGCCCACCTCAGCCTCCCAAAGTGCTGGGATTACAGGCGTGAGCCACTGCACTGGGCTGAGATCTGATAGTTTTAAAAAGAGAAGTTCCCCTCCACACATTTTTTTTTGTTTTGCCTGCCACCATCCATGTAAGATGTCACTCATTCCTCCTTGCATTCCGCCATAATTGTCAGGCCTCCCCAGCCATGTGGAACTGTAAGTCCAATTAAACCTTTTTCTTTTGTAAATTGCCCAGTCTCAGGTATGTCTTTACCCGCAGCATGAAAACACACTAATACACGGAGTGGGCGGGACATGACTGCTTCCTCATTCCTGTGTCTCTGGGCCTAATTATTTAGAGGTTAACTCACATTAATCAGATAAAAAAGTTGTGTCTAATTTCTCATTGTTAATAGATTATGTGTATCCAGCACAGGGGTGGAAGCAGTAGGGGGAGAAGGCTGTTCTGGAACACCCATCTGGGCATAAATACCCTAACCATGAGCTGCCAGGCTCTGTGAGGGAGGCACAGATGTACAGCAGGAATTAGTATATGCAGAGGCTCTCTCAGTAAGTAGCTGTTTTGGGCTGGCTTCTGCTTGCAACGAAAGCCATGCCCTGGATGTGAGGGTGGCCTTCCCTCAATGCACACACATGTCTGAAAGCACACCTCAGTTTCTGGTTGGTCTATGCAGTGAAAGAAAAACTCATCTTCAGGTTTGTCTTCAAAAGGAGAGAAAGATGAGGTTGCTTAGAACCTCAGGAATTAAACTTGCTGGGGTAGAGACCAATATATGTTTCTTGCTATAATCGCATCCTCACACTGACACAGCTCTTTACGATATGCTATGACCAAGGCTCCCTACAGGCACATAGAGGTCTCTCTCTTCTATCTTAATAGCTGCTGAGTGTTCTAATATAGATGGTGGCATGAGACTATTCACCCTTTGCCCTGTGAATAAACATAGCTGCTCTGTCTGTTATTTTGCTATGACAAATAAGGTCACAGGGAATAACCTCAGAAATATTTGTTTAATGTTTGTAAAGCTCTGTTGCACGGTATAGTCATAGAATTGAGTTTCCAGGCTTCAAAGTTAATGCTTAGGTATTTTGTATATTCTCTTCTAATTTGATTGCACAGGATTGTCTGTTTTTTACAGCATCACTGAATATTGTGGAATTTTTTATAACTGAGATGTAAAAATAGATATCTCTCTGTAGTCTTAGTGTACATTTCCATTTTTATGATATTATTTTCAAATTTATGAGCCAACTGCCTTTATTCATCAACTTTTTGTCTATTGTGTTAAATACCTAAAATTGTGTTAAAATTGATGTCTCTAGGATGTTACAAAAATTTTTAGGTGATTTTTGTGTCTTTTAAAGTATTTTAAGGTTGTTCTTTTATATGTTTTACATATCTCTTTAAAATTTTCTCCTAGATGTATTTATTGTAGCTTTGGTAATGTCATCTTTTCCCCCTCATTATATTTGCTAAATTTTCACTGGTTTTCTATATGAAAATTATTAAAAATAATATTGTAAAATATGCATAACATAGAATATATTATTTTAATCCATTATTAAGTGTACATAGGCCGGGTATGGTGGCTCAGGCCTGTAATCCCAGCACTTTGGGAGGCTGAGGTTCGCGGATCACAAGGTCAGGAGTTTGAGACCACCCTGGCCAATATGGTGAAACTCCATATCTACTAAAAAATACAAAGATTAGCTGGATTTGGTGGTGTGTACCTGTAGTCTCAGCTACTCAGGAGGCTAAGGCAGGAGAATCACTTGAACCCAGGAGCCAGAGGTTGCAGTGAGCCAAGATCACACCACTGCACTCCAGCCTGGCAACGGAGTGAGACTTCATCTCAAAAAAAAAAAGTGTACATAAAGTGACAATAAAGTATATTCACACTGTTTTGCAACCATAACCACCATTGATGTTCATAATTCTTTTTGTCTTGCAAAGTTGAAACTCTATGTATTTCCCATTGTCCACTGTCTTATAACCACCATTCTACTTTCCTTCTCTCTGAATTCTACCATTCTCGGTCAGTTATGTAAGTGGAGTCATACAGTATTTGTTCTTTTGGAAATGGCTTGTTTTAGTTAGCATAATGTCCTCAAGGTTCAGCATGTGTCAAATTTATTTTCCCCTTTAAGGGTTAATAATATTTCATTGCATGTAAATAACGCATTTTGTTTATTCATTGCTGAAGACATGGGTTGCTTCCAGCTTTTGGCTATTGTGAATAGTGCTGCCATAAACACAAGCATACGAATATTTCTTCAATCCCCTGCTTTTAATTCTTTTGGATATATATTTAGTAATGAAATAGCTGGATCATATAATTCTATGTTCTAAATAGAAGAATGTTCATTTTATGTTTGTTTTTTTCAAGAAATGTCCACATTGTTTTTATAGTGGCTGCACCATTTTACATTTGCACCAGGAGTTAAAAAACATTCTAATTTCTCCCTCCTCTTTACACCACTTGCTCTTTTAGGGATTATGTTGTTTTTTGTGTAATAGCCATTGTCATGTGTGTGAAGTGGTATTTCAATATGATAGAGCATTGATTTTTATATTTATTTTATAAACAGGTTTATTTTATATCCTGCCACTATGCTAAATCTTGGTATTTGTTGAATCTCTTGGGTTGCTAGGTATATTGATATCATCTAAAAGTAGAAATTATGTTTTTATTTTTTTCCTTTGGGAATCATGTTTGATAAGGCTATGTACGATATGCCAGGCACTATTCTAAGAAGTGCTAAGATAGTAACTCGTGACATCAAAATACAGTGTGAGCAGGAGTGAAGATATAGACATTTCTAAAATTACAGCTGAGAATGTGACAAAAGACATCTAATAGAGAAAAAAGTTGGCTTTAAAAATGGCCTGAAACTTATCCCAACAATTAAAAAGTCAACTTTTATAAGTTACACAGGCTCTTTGTGTCTCACAGCTCTCATTTGTGAAACAGAAATAATAACATATTATTTATTTTATTGTTGAGTATGTTAAGAGGCAGTAATATCCTGACTTGAAAATTAAAATATTTATCAGTGTAGTTAACTGAGTAACAGTAATAAGAATATGTCAATTATTGGAATAGATTAGATAATAGTTTATTTAGTAGGAGCATCAACATTTTCATCCTACAAAAAATGTACATCTTTCTGTTTACTCTTTACAAAACTACTTAGTCACTCTCTATTAATTACTAAAACCTCCTAATTCTTAGTAAGGCCTTTCTAGGGCCACCTAAACTTACAGTCTTTAACCACACTGTTTATCAGGATTCCCTTCTTTAGCTCCTTTTTTCCTTATCTTGCCTGGTGCAAACCACAGTTTTGCTCTGCTTTTCTGTTGTATGTGTTTGTATAAAGACATCTGCCTTTGTGTAAATTCTAACCAATTATAGCTATGACATTTTCCTCAAAACATGTAAATTCTGTGAGTTCTTTTTTATTTGAAATCTCCTATATCTTTACCATATTATGAGCACTCATTTGAAGTAATAAGCATTTAAAAAATACTAGATAAGAAATGTTGAAACAGCCCCCAAAGAATTATTTATAACAAATATTAAACTACAGTTTGTTGAGCATGAAACACTTATGATTACATTTCAATAGGTTCAGTGCTCTCTAAGTATGTTTTTACAATGTATTTTTTAATTAACCTTAGGCAGTATACTGTTTTAAAAAGTAAAACAAAAATCTATTCACAATGGCAAAGACATGGAATTAACCCAAATGCCTTTCAACAGTGGACTGGATAAAGAAAATGTGGTACATATGTACCATGGAATACCATGCAGCCGTAAGAAGGAAAAGGATCATGTTCTTGACAAGGACATGGATGGAGCTGGAAGCTGCTATTCTCAGCAAACTAACACAGGAAGAGAAAACCAAACACTGCATGCTCTCATACTAATAAGTCGAAGCTGAATGATGAGTTACATGGACACCTTGGGGGAACAACACACCCTGGGGCCTGTCAGGGGGCGGGGAGAGCATCAGGAAGAACAGCGAATGGGTGCTGGGCTTAATACCTGGGTGATGGGTTGATCTATGCAGCAAACTACCATGACATACATTTACCTATGTAACAAACCTGCCCATCCTGCATATGTGACCCAGGACTTCAAATAAAAGTTGATTTTTTTAAAAAAGTAAAAAAAAAAAATACCTAAAAGCAGGGGTATTTGTGGTACAAAAATTCATAGTAAACACATACCCACAAACTATTTGAAAACATCATAATCTGATCTCTTAATGCAGTTATATTCTCCTTTATTACTTAATAAAGTATAGATTCATGGCATAATTGTCAAAGGCTTCCATCTATTCCTACCACATATCCATTGTTGCTGATTTTGTTCATTTTCTTTTTTTGTTTTTGATTTGTTAATTTTCCAACAAAGCTGGGATAAAAGCATCTTCATGCTCATGCTATAATAACTTCTCACAATATGCCCTGGGTTACTCAAAAGAAAATGGAGTTGTTTTGCTCATGTTTTTGACACTTGGGTCAATCATCAACAAGTAACAGAAGCCAAGGACATGTGCGTGCCTGTGAGTTACTCAGCATGTGTCAGGCAGGCCCTGGGCTGAAGGGAGACTCCAGGTGTCTCAGAAAAGGGAGGTTCTGCTCTAGTGCACACAGACTGTCACACTGTAAATTGTTCTGTGATGCCATGTTTCTCCCAAGGTCAACAGGAACTGAGGACACATAGGAAGTGAGTTATGAGGTCAGACTCCTTCTCCCATTTAGCTACCAGTATGTGATTCTGCCCACCTGGACACATGCACACTATATAATAATTTGCTCACAACCCTCTTAGGACTAATCTCCATGCTCACAAATTGCATCTACATTTTCTTTGCTCCTAGAGTTTTCAGCCAAATACAAGGGCCTAGAGGACTTTAGACTTATCCCTGTCCCCAGACCCTAAACCTGGTGCATCCACTCAACTGGGCTTCTGAGTCACCTGATCATAGTCTCTTCTACCTGCATAGACACAGAAATAAGCCAGAGCCTAACCCTTTCTGAGCCACCATCTGTGTAGCACAAGTTAGTCTTTCTACTAACTCTGGATTTTCCCCTGCCCATAGGTCCTGTAAAACTAAATAATTCAAAATTTAAGCTGTTTGATATTCTAAATTATTCCAGGCCTCAAAGGAATGTAAACACAAGATCTGGGTAATACGACAGGCAGCAGTAACAAGGCAGCTGTAACCTTTGTTTTTCTGTTTATGGATTATACCTACGTCTACATCTGTATTCTTTTGTCAGGTGTTGTAAACGGCTGAAGTGCCCCATGGAAGACCTCTTTACCCTTCACTATTGACTTTCATTATAGATTAACCTATTGCTTATGGCTATTGCATTGTCTTTTTTTTTTTTGAGACGGAGTCTCGATCAGTTGCCCAGGCTGGAGTGTAGTGGCACGATCTACGCTCACTGCAACCTCCGCCTCCCGGGTTCAAGTGATTCTCCTGCCTCAACCTCTTGAGTAGCTGGGATTACATGTGCATGCCACCACACCCTGCTAATTTTTGTATTTTTAATAGAGACGGGGTTTCACCATATTGGTCAGGCTGGTGTCAAACTCCTGACCTTGTGATCTGCCTGCCTCAGTCTCCCAAAGTGCTGGGATTACAGGCATGAGCCGCCGCACCTGGCTGGCTATTGCATTGTCTTAAGATGAAAATGTTAAATACACTCTTAGGTTGAAAAGGAAAGAAAAACCAGTTGTAAAAAAAAGGTAGAAAAAATACAGTGTAACTGATTAATTTTTTTGTAAATCTTTAACCAGCCTTGTATAGAAACTTGTAGTCTTCTTAAATTTCTTTGTTTTTCGCCTGTAGAAATAAGAACTTAACTTTCAGCTATGAAGCACTCATCTCATTTCACTAGAGCCTTTGTCTCCTGGATGACTGTTTCTAGCTTTTCACTTGAATAAACTCTCTAAAACTGGATGTTGAGGCCTTATTGATTATTCAGATTATTTCAGATTAACAGTTCTTCATAACATCTTTCTTCTGCCTTTACTTCCTGACTAAACCCTCTTTCATGAGAACAAATTGTACCCAATGCCACTCCTCAGGTGCCTGATTCAAATGCCTACTGGAAATCAGATGTCCATGAGTTCAAGGTCATGGCCTTAGACTTGGCTGTTATAAGGGCAAATACAAATTATAAATACCAGACTTAATTATCCAACTTGAAGATAAAAGACATTTTGCTCTCCTCTTTAAAAATAATTTTAGAAAATTTTTATATGTAAATTTGTTTTGTCTCTATTAAATATATGTAAATCATTTAAATAGGTAAATAGGACTTTGTCAGTCTCTTTAAATTAGAAATGTCTTTCTCTAGGACCTGGAAACCATTGCTTTGAAATGTAAATGGTTTACATTTCTGTTGGACAGTAGGTAACTTCATAAAATATTATGAAGCCAAGGAAAGCTTATTTTGCTTTTGAATATAGCCAATTTAAATTTTCATTGAATATACCCAATATATAGATAGGCTTCTCAATTAATAGTTTTATTTAGGATAAACTATATATGACAGAGTATGCTGTTAAGTCTTCTACTTAAAGACTAAATATGGTGATTTTTATTTCTGCTTTTGTAATCTGAGCAGATTGCCTATGATGCATATCACATTCTGGTTTAATTATGTAATAAAACAATTTTCTTCTACCATTTTAGAGTGTCTCTGAGGTTGGAGATAATTTTGTTTTTAATTATGCTTTCCAAACACTGTACAGAATTACCAGACAGGATATAAACACAGAGATACGCACAAGGCTTTAGTTCAGAGAGGCTTTTCTCTCTTTGGCTTGCCCCAAAATCTGCAGGCAGAATATTTCTGTGCCTATTTGTGATACACAGTCCCTTCCAGAGCAGTTCAGCCAGATTTGTAGAAAAATAGCTTCACAGCAGAGCAATCAGCCATTCCAGCCCCATCTTTCAATGCACTTGGCACCTTCAGACCTGAAAGTAATTCCAACACCATGGGAACCTGAATCCCAGATCTTTAGCCAGTGGGCTAACGTTTTGTAAATTTTGTTTATCTTTTCAAAAAACTAACTTTTCATTACGTTTATCTTTTGATATTTTGTTTTGTATTCATTTATTTCTGCTGTAATTTTTATTTTTTTCTTCTAATTTTGGGTTTGGTTTGCTCTTTTCTAGTTCTATATGATACATCAATAGTTTATTTGGAGTTTTTTTTTAAACTTTTTTTGATGTAGGCACTTATTGCTATAAACCTTCTTAGTACTTCTTTCACTTATTCATAGCTATGTTTTTCATTTCTTTCAAGAACATTTTAAATTTTTTTCTTAACTTCTGTATTGGCCCACCAGTCATTCAGGAGCATATTTTAATTTCTCTGTGTTTGTATAGTTTCCAAAGTTTTTTCTGTTAGTGATTTCTAGTTTTATTCTATTATCGTCAGAGAAAATACCTGATATAATTTTATTTGGGGAGAGCTTATTTTAAGAGTTATTTTGTGACCTAACATATGGTCTATCCTTGAGAATAACCCAGGGGCTGAGGTGTAGAATTTGTATTCTGTGGCTTTTTGATGAAATTCTTTGTAAATATCTATTAGGTCTATTTGGTCCATAGTGCAGATTAAGTCCAATGTTTATTTGTTGATTTTACTATCTGGATTATGTGTCTGCTGCTGAAAGTGGGTTGCTGAAGTCTCTAGCTATTATTGTATTGGGGTTGATCTCTCTCTCTTTAGCTCTAATATTTACTTCATGTATCTGAGTTCTCCAGTGTTAGGTGCATATAAACTTGCAATTGTTATATTCTCTTGCTGAATTGACCACTTTTTTATAATATAACTTTTGTTTTCTCTTTTTATAGTTTTTTTTTTCTTGAAATCTGTTTGGTTTAATATAAGTATAGCTATCCCTGCTCTTTTTTTTGTTTCCATTTGCATGGAGTATCTTTTTCTATCCCTTTATTTTCAGTCTTTCTGTGTCTTTATTGGTGAAGTATGTATCTTGTAGGAAACAGATTGTTGGGTCTCGTTTTTATTTTTACCCATTTGGCCAATCTGTGTCTTTTGATTGAGGAGTTAACTTAATTTACATTCAGTGTTATTATTAATAAATAAAGACACATCTGCCATTCTGTTATCTGATTTCTTGTTTTGTAGTATCTTCTCTCTCTTTTTCTCTCCTTTTCTCTCTCCCATTTATCCTGTCTTTATTTTAGTAAAGATGATTTATCTAGTGGTGTGTTTTATTTTTTATTTTTTGATTTTATGTATGTGTGTCTATTATAAGTTTTTTTATTTGAGGTTACCATGAGGCTTGCAAATAACATCTTATAACCCATTATTTTAAACTGATGGCAACTTAACACTTATAAAAATGAACAAACAAGCAAAGAGAAAACTAATAAAAAATACAGCTTAACTTTATCTCCCAACTTTTTAACATTTTGTCGTTTCTATTTATATCTTATTATGCTGTCTATGTCTTAAACTTGTGTAGTTAGTATTTTGAATAACTAAGCCTCAAAAGTAGAAATATAAGAGTTATGGCCTTAAGGAGGTAGAGAAAGAGTTATTTTTTTTAATAATTATAAGTATGGACTAATCTTTTAGTCTTCTCAAAATATGAATAGTTTACATACCATATTTACAGTGCTAGAAAATTTTGTGTTTGTCTGTGTCCTTCATATTACCAGTGAGTTTTGTCCCACATGTTTTCTTATTGCTCATTAATGTTCTATTCTTTTAGATTGAAGAACTGCCTTTAGCATTTTTGTAGGACAGGTCTGGGGGTGTTAATAAAATCTCTCAGCTTGTTAGTTTTTTTAATGGTTGAAGGATATTTTTGCTGGATGTATTATTCTAGGATAAAAGTTTTTTCCTTCAGTACATTAAGTATGTCATGTCACCATCTCCTTGACTGTAAGATTTCCACTGAAGAGTCCATGGTCAAACATATTGGTGCTTGTTTGAATGTTGTTTCTTTTCTCTTGCTGCTTTTAGAAACCTTTATCTTTGACCTTTGAAAGTTTTATTATTAAAGACCTTCAGGTGGTCATATTTAAGTGAATTGTACTTGGCATTCTATAACCTTCTTGTACTTGAATATATATATATATATATGAAGTTCTCATTATCCCTTTGAATAAACTTTCTACCCAGAACTTTTTCTCTACCTCCTCTTGAAGGCCATAACTTTTAGAATTGCCCTCTTGAGGCTATTTTTTTTTTGTCTCATCTGACTGTATCTTTTCAAATAGCCTGTGTTCAAATTCACTAATTCTTTCTTCTGCTTGATCAGTTCTGCTGTTGAGAGACTCTGATGCACTCTTCAATGTCATTTGAATTTTCAGCACCAGAATTTTTGCCTGATTCTTCAAAATGATTTTAATCAATTTATTAAGTTTATTGGATCAGATTCCGAATTTCTTATTTTTTTTGTTGTTATTTTGAATTTTGCTGAGCTTTTTCAAAACAGCTGTTTTGAATTTCCTGTCTGAAAGGTTACATATCTCTGTCTCAGGATTTGCACACTAGTGCCTTATTTAGTTTTATGAGGTTGCGTTTTCCTGAATAGTCTTAATTTTTGTGGATGTTCATTGATGTCTGGGCATTAATGAGTTAGGTATTTATTTTAGTTTTTGCATTCTGGGCTTTTTAATACCTGTCCTTCTTAGAAAGGCTTTCCAAGTATTCAAAGGGAATCGAGTGTTGTAATCTAAGTCTTTGATCATTGCAGTCATATCTGCATTAGGGGACACCCCAACCTGAATAACACTGTGATGCTTGCAGACTTGTAGAGGTACCACTTTGGTGGTCATAGGTAAGATCCAAGAGAGTCTCTGGGTTACCAGGCAGACTCTTTTTCTATTTTTTTACATTCTGCCAAATAAATGGAATCTCTCTCTCTCTGCATGCTGAGCTGCCTGGAGCTGGAGTGGGTGTAACACTAGCACCCCTGTGGCCACCATCACTAGGACTACACTAAGTCAGACCCAAAGCCAGCACAGGACTGGCTCTCACATAAGGCCCACAGTGACCTAGCTACTACTGATGTTCACTCAAGAACCAAGTTCTCTTCAGTCAGTAGTTGGTGGATCAAGCCAGGCTCATATCCTTTCCTTCAGGGCAGTGAGCTCTTACCCACCCTGGGCTGGGGGTAGCAAAATGCAATTTGGTAGGAAGAACATGGAGTCAGAAGCCTTAGGAATCTACTTGGTGCCCTATTCTGCTGTGGCTTAGCTGGCACCGAAGCCATGAGACAATATCCTTCCTACTCTTTTCTCTCCTTTCTCAAGCGTAAGAAGCCATTCCCCATTGTCACCACCACCCAGAGCCCACAGTAAGTACTTCCAGGCTACTGCTGATATCCAGTGAGGACCCAAGGGATCTTGTGTCAGCTTGTGGTGAACTCTGCTGGGCCTGCTTCTTTTGCTTCAGGGCAGTGGGTTCTTCTCTGGCTCAGGGTGGTTCCAGAAATGTCATCCAGGAGCCAAGGCCTGAAATCAGTGACCTCAGGAGCTATCTTGTTACTGCTACCTCACTATGACTGAGCTGGTAATCAAGCTTCAAGACAAAGTCTCTTTTACTCTTCCCTCTCTTTTCCTCAAGCAGCAGTCTCTCCACATGGCTGCCACAGCTTGGATTGCACTGCACTAGGCCTCAACCCCCAAGGGCTGCAAGAAGTACTACTTGGTTACTGCTGATGTTTATTCAAGGTCGAAGGTGATGAATCCTGCCAGAACTGGTACCTTCCCTTCAAGGCAGTGTGTTCTCTTCTGGCCCAGGGTATGTCTAGAACTGTCACCCAGGAACTAAGTCCTAGAAAGGGGGCCTCAGAGCTTTTTCTGATGTTGTATTCTACTGTGGCTGAGATGATGTCCAAGCTGCGGGACAAAGTCTTCTTTACTCTTCTCTCCCCTTTCCTCAAGTAGAAAGAAAGATTTTCTCCTGGAGCTGTGAACTGCACTGCCTGTGCCTGGGGTAAGGATGATGCAGGCACTTTCTTGGCCATCCCAGCTGGCATCTCACAAAGCACCAGGATTTGCCCAGAAATTGCAGTCCCAGTGGCTTACCTTTTAAGTTTATTTAGAACCCCAGAGTGCTTTAGCCCATGTGATGCGGCTACCTGAAACTAAAGTTTTGATTACTGAAATGGACACTTCCTCTCTGACTACGGCTAGTCTGAGTGCTCCCTCTGCAGGCTCTGGCTGAATTCTGCCCCATGTTGCTTTCTGCTGTGACAGGCAGCACTGAGTTTTACTGCTAAGTCTCACAATTACTGCACTCTCCCTTTTGTAAGCCCATGGATTTTCTGCCTCTGCCAAGGTGCATTTCCAGGGAATGGAGGAGGGCTGCTATTGGCAATTAACAGCTTTGTTACCCTCTTCAGTGCCTCTTTCATGTGATGCTAAAACTAGGTCCTGTGATCGCTCCCCAGAGTTTTGGTTCTTAGGAAGATGCTTCTTATTTGGATAGTCATTCTACTTGGTGTTTTATCTGGGGGATGGTTGCTGGAGGGTGCTATTTAGTCATCTTGCTCCACTTCCCCCCTGCAGCCATGTTGTTTGAATTAAGTGCCACATGTGAGGCTAAGGTGAGCCCAGGGTCAACCACGAGTGCTTTCAGATACTTTCACGAGAGGTGAGTTTAGTTTTAGTCCCAGATAAAGATCATAGAGACTGCTCTGCTTAGGTTTGGTAGGGGCAGGTCACTGCGGCCCATATTCTCATTGCTGCAGTAGAAATTTCTGGCATCTGTGGCAGAGAAGGGCAACTGAGTGTTGGAAAGGGGAAACTCATATTTTGGTTTTTATTTAGGAGTTTACTGGTTCCAAACCTCCCCTGTGATAAAAGACAAACAAAGGCAGACTTTATCTGCAATTCTAGGGCCTTCTGCCTGTGAGTGTGGTGATTTCAAGGGAAGGAGTTTTGCTCATGCTTCAAAGGCATATTCTCAAGAAACAGGTTTAATTTGTGCAGATAATCACACCTGGAAGGGATCACAGAGAAGGAGAAGAAAAATAAAGAAATGGCTTATTCTGAGGTGAATGTGTCTGAAGTCAGAGACTGTGTCCACTTTTTCTTCTGAAATATCACGTGTGTAGAACTTGCAAATGTTAACTTCTCCACTTGTGATGTTCTTGCCTAATCAGTTTAACTCCTTTTCCACTTTTTATTCTCCTGATAGTCAAGGGGCTCTGAGAAATACTTCTTTCTTGTGTACCAGAGCCTTCTCTTTATTTTCCACATTGTAGCTTTTAATAAGCCGTGAAAAAATTGTCACCATGAATTTATAACCTGCAGCATTACAAATGTTCCTTTTGTGGCTGTTGAACATGGAAAGGTGTGGATGCCCAAGATTCCTGTTTGAGATTGTATCAGGTCCTTGGTTATCACTGAAGAAGGAGACCATGTTCTGTTTAGCTTCCATTAAATCTGTGCAAAACTGCTTATAAAAATGCACATTTAATGAGAATGGTCTTTATTGCCCAGGATAAGTCAGAAAGTTCTGAATAAAAAATAATTAGAAGAGACTTCCTCTCTAGGATGCTAAAGCAAGGAAATAAGAGAGGACACAAACAAATTGAAAAAAAAATTCATGCTCATGGATAGGAAGAATCAGTATCATGAAAATGGCCATACTGTCCAAAGTAATTTATAGATTCAATGCTATTCCCGTCAAGTTACCATTAACTTTCTTTGCAGAATTAGAAAAAAGTACTTTAAATTTTATATGGAACCAAAAAAGTGCATATAGCCAACACAATCCTAAGCAAAAAGAACAAAGCTGGAGGCATCATGCTACCTGACTTCAAACTATTCTACAAGGCTACAGTAACCAAAACAGCATGGTACTGGTACCAAAACAGATATATAGACCAATGGAACAGAACAGAGGCCTCAGAAATAATACCGCATATCTGCAGCCATCTGATCTTCGATAAACCTGACAAAAACAAGCAATGAGGAAAGGATTCCCTAGGTAATAAATGGTGCTGGGAAAACTGTCTCGCCATATGCAGAAAACAGAAACTGGACCCCTTCCTTACACCTTACACAAAAATTAAATCAAGATGGATTAAAGACTTAAAGGTAAAACCTAAAACCATAAAAACCCTAGAAGAAAACTGAGGCAGTACTATTCAGGACATAGTCGTGGGCAAAGACTTCATGACTAAAACACCAAAAGCAATAACAACAAAAGCCAAAATTGACAAATGCGATCTAATTAAACTAAAGAGCTTCTGCACTGCAAAAGAAACTATCCTCAGAGTGAACAGGCAGCCTACAGAATGGGAGAAAAATTTTGCAATCTATCCATCTGACAAAGGGCTAATATCCAGAATCTATAAGAAACAAACAAATTTACCAGAAAAAACTAAACAAACAGAATGAGAGAAAATTTTTGCAATCTATCCATCTGACAAAAGGCTAATATCCAGAATCTGCAAGGAACTTAAACAAATTTACCAGAAGAAAACAACCCCATCAAAAAGTGGGCAAAGGATACAAACAGTCACTTTTCAAAAGAAGACATTTATGCAGCCAACAAACATGAAAAAAAACTCATCATCACTGATCATTAGAGAAATGTAAATCAAAACCACAATGAGATAGTATCTCATGTCAGTTAGAATGGTGATTATTAAAATGTCAGGAAACATGATGGTGAGGATGTGGAGAAATAGGAACACTTTTACACTGTTCTTGGGAGTGTAAATTAGTTCAACCATTGTGGAGGACAGTGTGGCAATTCCTCAAGGGTATAGAACCAGAAATATTGACCCAGCAATCCCGTAACTGGGTATATACCCAAAGGATTATAAATTATTCTACTATAAAGGCACATGCACATGTATGTTTATTGCAGCACCATTTACAATAGCAAAGGCATGGAACCAACCCAAATGCCCATCAGTGATAGACTGGATAAAGAAAATGTGGCACATAAACACCATGGAATACTATGCAGCCATAAAAAAGAATGAGTTCATGTTCTTTGCTGGGATATGGATGAATCTGGAAACCATCATTCTCAGCAAACTAACACAGGAACAGAAAACCAAACACCGCATGTTCTCACTCATAAGTGGGAGTCGAACAATGAGAACATGTGGACACAGGGAGGGGAACATCTCACACTGAGACCTGTCAGGGGATTGGGGGCAAGGGGAGGGAGAGCATTAGGACAAATACCTAACACATGTAGAGCTTAAAACCTCGACGACAGGTTGATAGGTGCAGCAAACCACCTTGACACATGTATACCTATGTAACAAACCCACGTGTTCTGCACATGTATCCCAGAACTTAAAGCTTTTAAAAAAAAGTTTAACTAAAAAAGAGAAAGACTTATTTATATACACCATTAGAGATTACAGAACATGAGAGATATTTGTAGCTTAAATTTTGCTTAAAACTGATGTTTCTTCATGACTAGGCTCAGATTAAGTTGACCCTTTTTTGTGTTAATGTTAATCATAGCACAGTAGTGTCATATCCTTTGTTAATCAGCACCGGATACAAATTTCTTTTAATATAGTTGATCTTCATTTATTTACTTGGTAAAAATGCTCTCTGACAGATATTTTTTCACTCGAGTTAATTATTATACTCTTTATTTTTAATAGGTACCTTGAGGAGTTTTATCAAGTGATGTGCAAAAACAAGATTAAGCCACATTTAATCTGACAGCTCTTCTTTCTTCTTACCTTCTCTTTGCATATCGCTTCCTATGGAAAGTGAAGGCTCTCATCTTTCTTTACTGGTCAGATAAACTAAAAACCTAGGCTGTGCCACTTACTGAATTTTTGACAAAATATTCTCCTTGGGCCAGAAGCAATGATACCACTGGCAAACTTCTTATCAATTCAAAAACTCAAGCTTTACCCTAGATCTTCAGAGTCAAAATCTGCTTTTTAACAAGATCTCCTGTTTATTGCTATGCACAATAAGATTTGAGAAGTATGCTTTTAACTCACCATGAAGTTTCCATGTGGGAAGTATAGACAGCTCATCTTGTATTATGTAAATATAGCATTAAGTAATGTTCATGCCTGTGTTAATGTCCTTCATTTTATACTGTATCATCAAGAAAAGTATTGTATATACACTGGTTTCGTGATCTTATGCCATTTTTTCTCAGAGTTAAAAATACATTAGAGAATATTTCTGTGCTAGAAAGTATCCTATTGGATAACTCCAGTAACTCATATAAGTCAGAACCAGCTCTCTTTACTCTCATTTTACCTGATGTCAAATCAAGAATTATTTCTTTGGTCACTTGGTAAATATGTTTTGTTTTTCAGCGAGTGCTAACATT
Source organism: Homo sapiens (assembly GCF_000001405.40). Taxonomy (NCBI): domain Eukaryota; kingdom Metazoa; phylum Chordata; class Mammalia; order Primates; family Hominidae; genus Homo; species Homo sapiens. Next base: position 64,068,905 of record NC_000007.14, read on the forward strand.
CAGGGATGTGGCTGTAGAATTCTCCCCAGAAGAGTGGGAATGCCTGGACTCTGCTCAGCAGCGTTTGTATAGGGATGTGATGTTAGAGAACTACGGAAACCTGTTCTCCTTGGGTGAGAATAACTTCAATATACAACTCATATTCTACATTAAATATTTTATTTCCTCTTTTTTTTTTTGAAGTTCTGCTTTGCATAAATGAGTTTCAGAATCCTGCTTCAAAAAGAAAAAATTGGGTATCTGTTTAGGTAGTAAATATAATCTTTAAGATGTTTCATCTTAACATTAATCTTTCCCTTTTTTGAGCTCATCTGTATATTTCAGTCTAAATTATGGTAATATCAGAAATTTGATAGCATAAAATATTGTTACCCACTCCTAAAAATGCAATTTTCACAACTGATTTTTGATGCAATATTACTGGGTAATAGAGCTAATAACCCACAAATTTACTTTCTAAATATTCTGAAGTTTCTGTTACAAAACAGTAGATTGGAATTAATTTTCTAGAGTCTTCTATAATGTTCTCTCTTCTCTACTGAGCATAGTACTAGATTGGTAATCAGATTATCCTAGCAAGAGTCATGTTATTTTTTTCTAATAAAACAGGTCTTGCTATCTTTAAGCCAGACTTGATTACCTATCTGGAGCAAAGAAAAGAGCCTTGGAATGCGAGGAGACAGAAGACAGTAGCCAAACACCCAGGTAGGTGGGAGTGAGTGAAGCAAATGACATAAATGACGGTTCCCAATGTCAAGGAGGAAGCCAGACCTTGAAACATGCTTCCAGAAGCTCTGCTCCAGTGGAAATCGTTTCTGAGAAGCCTTCATTTCTTTCTCTTGCTTTAACATAGGGGAATTTTTTGTCCCATTCTTGTGAATTTTCTAAGCACTGTACATCCCCTTCAGTAATGTGTGTTGTTGTTGCTGCTGTTGTTGTTTTTTTTGTTTTTTGTGGGTTTTTTGAGTTTACAGTGATAAAGTCTTTTTCATGCCTTAAAAGAAAATGTGTGATTTGACTGCTTTTCCATTGCTTGGGGGAAACAGCAGTATCTATTTTTGAGAAACTATATTAAACCATTTTTTTAAGTTCTGTTTTTGGATAATGTCTAAATGTAGAAGTTTTGGTGATATTGCAATTTGGATCAGAAATCCCAGGAACACCACAAAAAGATGTGTGCTTCCTGCTTTATAATTTTCTATTCTATGGAGGCTTCAAATGTGATTTTACAGAAATTTATACTCAGTAATTATATTAAAACACTAAGCATCTCCCTAAATGAAACAAACTCTAAAATAGTATTACTTCAAATGTTATTCTTTTCATATAAACAAATGTTGGCAAATGTGGCCAAATTCCTCAACTGTAATATAGTTCAGTGTATCTACTTCATACATTTATTAAATATACTGTGTCATTGGGGAGCTTGCAACATTGTTGAGTACATATTAAACTCCCAATCTTTATTTTAAATGACATCATTTTGTGATTTTATTTAGTATAAAGCTTACTGTGACTGTGTCATTCATATGTATGTATATAAACATGTGTATATATGAATGTGTATGACAGAGACATATAATACCAGTAACGTCAATTTTTTCACAAATAATAATTGAATACCTATATATTATATATAATGTATTGATTTTATATCTGTATACATAATGAAATGATTAATACAATCAAATTAATGAACAATTTTATAACCTTACATACTTACTTTTTTGTAGTGAGAACAGTTAAGATCTCTCAGCAAATATTCAGCATACCTAACAGTATTACTTTCTATAATCATAAAGCTATACCTTAGGTTACCATAACTTATGTCTTTTCACTGAAAATTTGTACCATTTGAACAACATATCCCACTTTCCCCACCTCTAGGGCCTAGCACTCACCTCTATACTCTCTTCTTCTAGGAGTCCAACCTTATTATATTCTCCATAGAGGTGAGATCATACAGTATTTGTCTTTCTGTTTCTGTGATGTTTCACTCGGCATAACGTCATCTAGGTCCACCCATGTTGTAGAATGTCAGGGTTTTATTATTTTTTATGGCTGAATAATATTCTGTTTTGTATATATACCATGTTTTTTTTTTGTGCAGTCAGTTTCCACAAACACTTTAGATTGCTTTTGTATCTTGACAATTGTGAAAAATGCTTCAATGAACATGGAGGTGCAGGTATTTCTTTGAGATAGTAAATTTATTGTATATGCAGAAATGAGATAGCTAAATTGTACAATAGTACTATTAAAAATTTTTTTAAAGAACCTTCATACTGGTTTTCATAATGTCTCTAAGAAATTACACATCACCAAGAATGTACATCATTTTTTTTCTTTAATATATTCTTGTCAACACTTGTTATAAATCTTCTTTTTGGTGTTAGCAGTCCTAACAGGTATAAAGTAATATCTCACCATGAATTTAATTTGCATCTGCCAGATTGGTGACATTGAGCACCTTTCTACATACCTGTTGCCCAACTATATGTTTTCATTAATTAACATTTATTTAGTCCTTGACTTATTTTTAAATCTTGTTATTATTACTGCTATTATCATTATAGTTGCCTTTTATTTATATGAGTTTCTTATGTTTCTTATGTGTTTTTGATACTAACCACTTATCGGATATGGTTTTCTTATACTATTTTTTCTTGGTTATGCAGAAGCGTTTTAGTTTGATGCAGTTTAATTTGTTTATATTTGCTTTCATTGCTGTACTTTTCTGTTGTATCCCAAAATTCATTTTCAAAACCAATATTAAGGTTTTAAACTATGTTTTCTTTTAAGATTATTAAGAATTTTGTCATAGAGTCCTTATTTTATATTTAGTTAATTTTAAATACAGTGTAAGAAAAGTGGTCTAATTTTATTCTTTTACTTCTGGGTATTCCCTTTTCCCAGCCCCAAGCATGGAAGAGACTGTACTTTCTGCACTGTGTGTTCTCTGTGGCTCAGTGTCAAAGATGAGTTGATCTTACATGATTTGTTTCTGGGCTCTCCATTCTGCTCCACTGATATCGGTGTGCATTTTTATCCACAGAGCATCCTGTTTTTATTACAATAGCCTTCAAATGTAGTTTAAAATTAGAAAGTATAATGCCCCTAGCTTTGTTTTTAATTCTCAAAACTGCTTTGGCTATTTAAAGTTTCTTGTAATTACATATAAATTTTAAGATTGAATTTTCTATTACTTCGAAAAATTGTACTAAAATTTTAATAGGGGATTTATTGAATCTAAATTTTCCAATTTTATAGACTGATTTCAGCAGGTACAAATCTTCTCTTGGGTCAGTTAGCTGATAGAATCTTTTTGGGTATGCAGTGGAGAGGGGTTATACGTGGGTCACATGGCTGCTTCTTGGTCTGTTGTGGAGTTTGCCTTTAGTGAGTTTGTTACCAGGAGCCTGGGTAGTTGTTAATCCTGTCTTATTTCTTGGCAGACTGAATTGCCTTTAGGACTTTGATCTGTAGGGCTAGCACTAGGGCAGAGTTCTGCAGTAGGTTTGGCATATGGTGTGCCTGATGTGTGTTTCTTACTGAGTATGTGGCAGGATTTCCTCAGGTCACTCTCTGGGCACCTAGATTGGCAGAACTGGCCACAAACTGTGACTATCGGTGCTGAAACTGAGTCACTGAACTGTTTCAGAGAGCACAGTAAAGGCCAAGGTCTGCAGACCTACTGCTGTAACCACAAATAGGCATCTTTCTTTGGGTCTCTGGATGTGCAGAACCACTCCTTGACTATGGCTGGAAGGAGCCGGAGATAGTTATAGAGTCACTGCAGAATTTTAAGTGGGTCAAAATAGGTGAACCATTTCTTGGTCTGTAGCTAAGACCAAGCATTTTCAAGTTTGCCGCCTGAATGAGGGCCTGCCTTTTCAAAATGACTCCAATCAATCTTTAGTTCTAGCAGGTTTTAAAACCCTCTCCCTGAAAAACAAAATTATGATAAAAGTCTCTTCTTTGATAAGGGGTCTCACCGTATCACCCAGGCTGGTCTCAAACTCCTGGCCTAAAATGATTCTTCTTCTGCCTCACCCTACAGAGTTGCTAGGATTACAGGTGTGAACCACCAAGTCTGTCTATTTCTTATAAGACTGTTCTAGGGGTAATGAACACCCTTACCTTTTGTTCATATTAGAAAGTCTTTATTTTTTTCTTATTTTTTAAAGTAAATTTCTCCCAGATTAAGTATCCTTGATTGGTAGCATTTTTTTTTCATCACCTTGAAATTTGGGAAGTTCTTAGGCCCTTTTTTTGTTTAAATAACCTCTGTATGACTTTTCCCCTGCATTCTTCTTCAAAGACTGCTTTCATGAATATATTGGTCTCCTTAATGGTATCTAATAAGTTACATATTCCATGTTGATGTTTTTCAATTTTTTGTGTGTTTTTTTTTTTCATGACTCAATATTTATAAGTAACATGTCTTTAGTTTTCTGATTTTTGTTTTCTGGTCAATTATTCTATTGTGACTCTACAAAATTTTTCAACAATTATTTTTCTGTTCCACGATTTCTACTGGGTTCTTTTTTTTCTTTGTTCTATTTTTGAGTTATTGAGCATACTTAGTATCATTATTTTGACATCTTTGTCGGATAATGCAAAGATCTTCTTTTCTTAAGGATTGAGTTTTGGAAATTTATTTCTTTAAGTGGGGTACGTTTTCTGTCTTTTTTATGTCATGTCATCCTTTTTTGAAATTTGGAAACTTAAAAACAGCCATCTAATCTAATATTTAAAGACTTGCTTAAAGACTGGCTATAGCAATGGGCCGGGCTATAGATTTTCAGTGCTTCACAAACATGTTCTCAGTTGTCTTTGGATTTTTGTGTGTAATTTCTAAGATAAAGAGACTTTTCCTCATTTTCTTTTCAGATTCTATAATCTTTTGCTTCCCTAGTTGACTGTGGCATTGCAATTCCTCTAGTATTGTAACAAGCATTCACCTTTCTTCTAGCACATACAAACTATAATTCTCATTACTCCATCATTTTCATATTAAGGGAGACAGACTCTATTAATTGGACAGTCTCCTATAATTTCATAACTTTAAACAGACCCACTGTTCTAGATCTCTCCTGAGGGTAGTACTGGGAGTTGATTGTGCTTTACTTAGCCTAATTGGTGTTGAGGGAAAGAAAGGTTGGGTTGGAAAGTCTTTAAGCTAGACCTGGTTACCTTCTGCATCATAGAAAATATTACTGGAGTGTGAAAAGAGTGGAAAGAATAGTTTACACTCAGAATGATTTGGTAGATAACACATGTGAAATGTCCAAAGGCGAAGGAGAAAACAAGAGTTTAAATTGTGGATTGGGAAGCTGTTCTCCAATGGAATTGATTCTTGAAAAACCTCTTACTGTCATGGAAGAAAATTTTTTGATGCATACTTATTAGGCTTTTGAATTCTCTAAATCTTCAGTTTATTTAATAATCTGCTGGTGCCTTCACAGTGAGAGACAAACTCATATTTTTGCTGTGAGGATCTAAATAATGTAACTGCTCTTCTGTTGCTTTGAGGGATTTGGAAAATTTGTGCAGATTTTTGGAGACCACTATGTTAAGCTGTTTTTAAAAATCTGTTTGTGCCTTATGTTAGACATCTGTGAGAGGAGTAGGGGAGACATTGAGATTTGGTCGAGATTTGAGAGAGGCCAGGGACAGATGTCATATGTTTTCTGCTTTATAATTTCCAGTCAACTGATCATACAGAAAATGAAAGTGATAACTTTTATCAGAGTACAAAGCATCTGATTAAGTACAAGAAAATCTAAACATCTATTTCACTTCGAAAGTATCTTTATTTTAGTAGGAACTAAGCTTAGAAATTTAAATGCTGTATGAGAAATGCCTGTACTGTGGAATAGTTGATTTGATCTACTCAGCTCACAGAACGCATGAAAACACTAATACCATAGGACACTGTCCAGCATATAATAAACTCGAAATTGTTACCTCTTTCTTAATAACCATTATTTTTAAATTTTATCTTCTTTACTATGAAGATTACTAGGGCTGTGTCCTATATATATTTTTTTCTTTCTTTCTGATTTGCTGTATACCAACTATGCCTGTAATTTCACAGGTTCTGAGCTAATGTACTCAAATGTATATGTTATATAAAAAGTGAATTAGATAATTAATAGGCACACCATATATTAAAATCTTTGATTTATATGTCTAAGTTTACTGCATACAAAATGTTATCAGCATTTTCATCAACTTTTCTCAGACTTTGTCTATATAATTGTATAAATTTATTTCTAATTGTTCATTTTATTTTATATCATATTGTACTGTATTTATATTGTTTATATTATTTAGTAATATAATGCTTTGCTTCCAAAGGTCACCTTATTGCCTTTACATTTTGTGCAAAAATAGTAGCTATATATTAATGACATAATAAATATGTCCAGTATTATTTAAGTGCCTATTTCATCATATTTTCTCATCAAAGCTTTTTATAAATGATTATAATGCATTTTCTATAACATGTTATTGCTGTCACTATATACTAGTGATTCAAACTTCATTGTCTTCAATAGCAACAACCTGAAATCAATCTAGTTGCCTATCAGTGGTGGATTGGATAAAGAATATGTGGTGCCTATACACTATGAAATAGTACACAGCCAAAAAAAAATTATGCTCTTTGTAGCAACACTGATGCAGCTGAAAGCCATTATCTTAAGTAAATTAATGCAAAAACAGAAAGCCAAATACTACATGTTCTTACTTACAAGTGAGAGCTAAATATTGGGTATACATGGATATAAAGATGGAAACAATAGATGCTGGAGACCACTAGTGGAGGAAGGGAGGAAAGAGACAAGGCCTGAAAAGCTACCTATGGGGTACTGTGCCGTCTACCTGAGTAGTAGTAGCAATATCCCAAAACTTTGCAGTACATAATATACCAATGTAACAGACCTAGCCATGTAGCCTCTGAACATGTAGGAAAAGTTCAAATTGAACAAAAATACCAAAATATGTGCTCTTTATAAATGTGCAGTCACATTTAAAATGCATGGCTATCTAGAATAATTATTTTTTAGTAGTACACTATGTTGATTCAATATTTTTTGGTTAATTTTTTTGTTAAATTTTGTTTACTATTTTATATTTTAGTGGCTCATGTTTTAGTTGGCTATGTCATTAATTAATTGTGCTTTTAGTTTTTATTTGTGTATAATTTTTTATGCCAATATTCAACTCTGTACACATTAAAACAATATTCGGACAGAAGTCAGATATGAATCAGTCATACATATATTGCCATTATAATTATTTATGTGTTTGTTTGCCTGTGTAAAATATTACTCCTATTTTATGACTTGTATATTTACTTTTTTATTTTTTGGTTATTAGTCAATGATTGTTTTATTCTTAATTGTAAAAACTACAAGGGTCAGGCGTGGTGGCTCACACCTGTATTCCCTGCATTTTGAGTGGTCCAGGCGGGCGGATCACCCAAGGTCAGAAGTTCAAGATTAGCCTGGCCAACACGGTGAAACCCCATCTCTAGTAAACATACAAAATTAGCCAGGTGAGGCACGCCTATAATCTTAGCTACTCCGGAGGCTGAGGCAGGAGAATTGCCTGAACCCTGGAGATGGAGGTTGGATTGCACCACTGCACTCCAGTCTGGGCGACAGAGAGAGAATTTGTCTCAAAAAAAAAATTATGGAGACTTCTTTTATGTGTTGTATGGTCTCTTCTGAGAATGTGCCATATGTACTTGAGAAGAATGTGTGTTCTAGTATTGTTGAGTAGAGAGTTCTAGATGGTTTGCAATTCTGTTCCAGTTTCTATTTCTTTACTTCTTTGATCTTCTGCCTGTAGTCACTTGCTATACCCATTCTCTGTCTATGACACTGAAGTGTCTCTGCTGTCTGAAACTGTCAAAGTATACCACCTTTATTTTCAACACTGTCATGGAATACAGAAATTAGTCTTTGGTAAGGTCTCAAAAAGCCAGAAACATGAACACATGTACCACTGTTTTATTTATTTTTGGAGGGGGAAGACAGGAATTGGGAGTCTATATTTAAAGTCATCATGGGATGAAGAATGGCTGTGGTGGGTAAATATGAAATACTTTTATTACACTTCTATGTGGTTCTTGGCATTTTTCTCACGAGGTGCTACAAATGCTTAACTGGTTCTTACACTTCTCACAAAGGCATTTTGGTCAGTATATTTCTGTTAAGCTTATATGTCTATAAAGGAAGTAGAGCCTGTGGTATTTTATTATGTCACCTTGTTAATGTGCTTTGTATAATTATATATTTGTAAAGTGTATTCACCTAAGTCTGATGAGGGAGAAATTTTGTGGTTCTTTTTTTTTTTTCAGCTGGCTCTTTGCATTTTACTGCAGAGATATTGCTGGAGCACGACATAAACGATTCATTTCAAAAAGTGATCCTGAGAAAATCTGGAAGCTGTGACCTTAATACTTTACGTTTAAAGAAAGACTACCAACGTGTGGGTAATTGCAAGGGGCAGAAAAGCAGTTATAATGGCATTCATCAATGTTTGTCAGCTACCCGTAGCAAAACCTGTCAATATAATAAATGTGGCAAAGCTTTTGGGTTGTGCTCAATCTTCACTGAACATAAGAAAATTTTTAGCAGAGAGAAATGCTACAAATGTGAAGAATGTGGCAAAGACTGTAGGTTGTCAGATTTTACCATACAGAAGAGAATTCATACTGCAGATAGAAGTTACAAATGTGAAGAATGTGGCAAAGCCTGTAAAAAGTTCTCAAACCTTACTGAACATAATAGAGTTCATACTGGAAAGAAACCCTACAAATGTGAAGAATGTGGCAAAACATTTACCTGTTCCTCAGCCCTTACTAAACACAAGAGAAATCATACTGGAGACAGACCCTACAAATGCGAAGAATGTCACAAAGCCTTTAGGTGTTGCTCAGACCTTACTAAACATAAGAGAATTCATACTGGAGAGAAACCCTACAAATGTAAAGAATGTCACAAAGCCTTTAGGTGTTGCTCAGACCTTACTAAACATAAGAGAATTCATACTGGAGAGAAACCCTACAAATGTAATGAATGTGGAAAAGCTTTTATGTGGATCTCGGCCCTTAGTCAACATAACAGAATTCATACTGGAGAGAAACCCTACATTTGTGAAGAATGTGGCAAAGCCTTTACCTACTCCTCAACCCTTATTAGCCACAAGAGAATTCATATGGAATTGAGACCTTACAAATGTGAAGAATGTGGCAAAACCTTTAAGTGGTTCTCAGACCTGACTAATCATAAGAGAATTCACACTGGAGAGAAACCCTACAAATGTGAAGAATGTGGCAAAAGCTTTACCTGCTCCTCAAACCTTATTAAACACAAGAGAATTCATATGGAAGTGAGACCTTACAAATGTGAAGAATGTGGCAAAACCTTTAAGTGGTTCCCAGACCTGACTAATCATAAGAGAATTCACACTGGAGAGAAGCCCTACAAATGTGAAGAATGTGGCAAAACCTTTACCTGCTCCTCAAGCCTTATTAAACACAAGAGAAGTCATACTGGAGACAGACCTACAAGTGCAAAGAATGTGGCAAAGCCTTTAGGTGGTTCTCAGACCTTACTAAACATAAGGTAATTCATACTGGAGATAAACCTTACAAATGTAATGAATGTGGAAAAGCTTTTACGTGGATCTTGGCCCTTAGTAAACACAAGAGAATTCATACTGGAGAGAAACCCTACATTTGTGAAGAATGTGGCAAAGCCTTTATCCGCTCCTCAACCCTTACAAGCCACAAGAGAATTCATATGGAAGAGAGACCTTACAAATGTGAAGAATGCGGCAAAACCTGTGTTTCTCAGACCTGACTAATCAAAAGAGAATTCACCCTGGAGAGAATCCCTACAAATCTGAAGAATGTAACAAAGGCTATAGGTGGTTCTGAGACCTTGCTAAACATAAGATAATTCATATTGGAGAGAAACCCTACAAATGTAATGAATGTGGAAAAGGTTTTATGTGGATCTCGGCCCTTAGAAAACATAAGAGAATTCATACTGGAGAGACACCCTACATCCATGAAGAATGTGGCAAGGCCTTTACCTACTCCTCAATCCTTATTAACCACAAGAGAATTCATATGGAAGAGGGACCTTACAAATGCGAAGAATGTGGCAAAACCTTTATGTGGCTCTCAGACTTTACTAATCATAAGAGAATTCACCCTGGTGAGAAACCCTACAAATGTGAAGAATGTGGCAAAGTATTGAGCTCGTTCTCACACGTCATTAGACATAAGACAATTCATAGTAGAGAGAAGCTCCACAAGTGTTAAAAATGTGGAAAAGCCTTTAACAATTCGTCATATTGTGTTCAACATCAGAGACTTACTACTGAACAAATGTAGTATAAAGGTAATGACTTGAAGAACATTTAATAACATCTTAGAGGGTCTCTAAGAACTTGCTTCATAACTGGGTGCTTTTGTGTTGGATGCATATATAGCCCTTTACTATTATGTAATGCCATTTTTTGTCTTTTTAAAAAAATCTGTTGATTTAAAGTCTGTTTTGTCAGAAACTAGGATTGTAATCCTTGCTTTTTTACTGTTTTCTATTTGCTTGGTAGACTTTTCCCTTTATTTTGAGCTTATTTGAAATGGGTATCTCAATTACAGCATACCATTAGATCTTGGTTCTTTATTTGCCACTCTGTTTTTTAATTTGGGCATTTAACCCATGTACATTTAAGGTTTGTATTCATATGTGTGGATTTGATTCTGTCATGATCATCTTAGCTGGCTATTTTGCACATTTGTTTATGTGGTGGCTTTATCATGTCAGTGGTTTGTGTACTTTAGTGTGTTTTTGTAGTGACTGTTTATAGTCTTTTTCTTATTTAGGGCTTTCTTCAGAAGATCTTTTAAGGCAGGTCTTGTGGTAACAGATTTCCTCAGCATTTGCTTATCTGAATACGATCATATTTATTTTTTGCTTCTGAAGCTTACTTTGGCCGGATGTGAACTTCTGGATTAGAATTCTTTTTTAAAGAAAGTTGAATATTGGCCATTAATCTCTTTTGACTTGAGGGATCTCAGCTGCAAGGTTCATTGTTGTCTGAGCTTCTTTTTAGAGGTGACCTGGTCTTTCTCTCTAGCTGCCTTTAACATATTTTTTTCTCTCATTTTGACCTTGGAGAATCTCATGATTATGTATCTTGGGGATGACCTTCTCGTGGGGTATATTATTGGGGTTCTCCACATTTCTTGCCTTTGAATGTTGGCCTCTCTAGTTTGGGGAAATTCTCATGGATGGTATCCCGAAATATGTATTTCAAGTTGTTTTCATTCTCTCCATCACTTTCAAGCACTCTCTTTAATTATAGATTTGGTTTATTTACATAATCTGTTATTTCTTGGAGGTTTTGTTCATTCCTCTTTATACTTTTTTCACTATTCTTGTCTGTCTTATTTCAGAAAGCCAGTCTTGAAGCTCTGAGATTCTTCCCTCTGCTTGGCCTATTCTTCTATTAACACTTGTGATTACATTATAAAGGTTTTGTATTGTGTTTTTCAGTTCTATCATGTTGGCCATATTTTTCTCTAGACTGGCTGTTTTTTCCATCACTTCCTGCAATTATTTTTTTCTTCTTTGCATTGGGTTGCAACTTACCTTTGTAGATCAATGAAGTTTGCTTCTACCCATATTCTGAATTCTGCTTCTGTCATCTTAGGCCTTGCTGGTAATGTAATTTGGTCATTTGGATGAAAGAAGTCACTCTGGCTTTTTGTGTTTTCAACATTTTTGCACTGATTTTGTCTCATCTTTGTGGGCGTATCTTTAAAGTTGCTGAACTTTGAATGGGGTTTGGTTTTTTGGATCCTATTTGATGGTCTTGAGTATTTGATTGTGGTAAAAGGTGGATTCAGCCAACAGGCTTTGTTCCTGGGAGTTTTTTGTTTTTTGTTTTTTGTTTTTGTTTTTTTTTTTGTGGTGGTGGAGGGGGCAATGCTCAGCTCACAACTCAGAGGCTGCATACTCTAAATGCTCAGCTCACAACTTAGAGTCTGCATACTCTAACTCTGGGGGAGTTGTATTGAGCCCCAACTGTGTTCTGTGGCTCCTTGTGATTTGGAGTCTGCCACTCTGTGGGACTAAGGTGCCACAGCTGCTGCAGAGTGCTAGTGGATATGGGGTTTCTGCCTGTCTTTGGGTATTCACTTCAGTGGCAGGAGCAAAGCAGCTGGGAGGGGAGTGGGGGTTACCTGCTGGAGACTGTGTGCTATTTCACTAAAGGTGGTGTTGGCTTGGGGCAGGATACTGGCCAGTAAAGGTTTTGATGCCTTCTCTGTGCCCCCCAAGAAGGAATGATTGTTCAGAGTGTGGGAGGATACCCTGTTCTCCGCACAGTTTTACCACAAAGGCCAGGGTGGGGCTTTCTGGCTCTCTACCCGCCAAAGCTTCATCTACAATAGCAATTGCTGGGAGTGGCAGGGGCATACTACATTTCCATTTTCTGGTGGGGCAAGCAAAGCCAAACTCACCTTTGCAGACATGTGCCAGCAAAGTAATATGGGGAGTTGCCATGGTCTTGGGGGAAGCTGGAGTATAGGGAAGAAACATGTGAGCTGGTGCAGTCACAGGGGCTGCCTTGCCGGAGCTCTTCATGGGTCAGGCATGGCCCACCAGTGCAGATGCTATGGTATGGGCTCCTAGGGTACCTGAGACTGCCCTGTAAGCAGTTGTGGCCAGACTGGATCCCTGGGAGAGGCCAGCAGACCAAGGAGTGCTCAGTTGGATCAGCTTCTTCTGATTTGCAAGACCATCCTGCAGAAATTAGGTCCAACAGTTCCCCTAGGGCTAAAGTCTCTTATGGGAGAAAGTTGAGCCTATGGAAATGGCCGTCAATGGCCACACTCTACTACAGGTGCTCTTGCACTAAACCCTCTGGGTACCACATGAGCTGGGTTGCTGCCCCACCTCTTTGCCTGTCTTCTGGTTGCTGCATCTCAGAGACGTGTAGGCCAGCAATCACTCAGTGCAGTCCGACCAGGATGGAGGATCTGTGCTTTTGGCCAAATTAGGGGTTCACTGGTAATGAGCAGTGGGTAGTTTGTGGGACCCATGGAGGATGGACTGGCCCTCTCTCCTTGGGTAAACTACAGCTCGTTTGAGGTGTGAATAAGGCACTTAGGGTGTTGGATTTTTCATTAGTCTGAGGGTAGCAAGGACAGTTCTACTGCAGAGGCAATGGCAAAAATATTTTCAGTTGCTCTTGGAGGCTCTGTCTAGGGAGTTGCGAAGTTGCTACTGGCTCAATAGCTCTGGCAATGATTGGCTAGTGGCCCAGGCCTGGAGAACTTGCCCAGTGAGAATATATGAGAACAGGCACTCACGTAACAGTCTGGCCACTTTTCTGAAGGGCTGCTGCAGTATGCTGGGTGTCCACTGCAGTTTCTAGTCACCTCAGATTTTCCAGTACCTGACAACATTATCACCAGTGAATACTGTAAAACAGCAACAATGGCAGCATGCCCTTTTTTCTAAGAGCTCCATCTAAGGGAGGTATAGACCGGTTTCCAGCCCCAAAGCAACTGTAGGAGGTAGCTGGAAACCCCTGTTGAAAGGTCTTACCCAGTGAGGAGAACATGACTGGGGACCCACTTAAGAAAGCAGTGTAGGCTGGGCGCAGTGGCTCATGCCTGTAACCCTAGCACTTTGGGAGGCCGAGGCAGGTGGATTGCCTGAGCTCAGGAGTTCAAGACCAGCCTGGGCAACATGGTGAAATCCCACCTCTACTAAAATACAAAAAAAGAAAATTAGCCAGGTGTGGCGGCATGCACCAGTAGTCTCAGCTAATCGGGAGGCTGAGGCAGGAGAATTGCTTGAACCCAGGAGGCAGATGTTGCTGTGAGCGGAGATTGTGCCACTGCACTCCAGCCTGGTGAGAGAGCGAGACTCCGTCTCAAAAAAAAAAAAGAAAGAATGCAGTCTAGCCACATTTTTGTAGGACAGCTCTGCTGTGCAGAAGTACCACTTCCACCCCCAGTTTATTTGGACTCTTCAAAGCCAGAAGGCTGGAACAGCTAAGTCACACAAACAGCAAAAATGGCCGCTCACTCTTCCCTTTAGGAGCTGTATCCCAAAGAGGATTCAAAACTCCACTGATCAAAGAGCACCTGTGGTGGTAGCTGGAGACCCTGGTTGGGAACTGCTTTGCAGTGAGGAGGAATGAGATTGGGGACCTGCTTTAACAGACAGTCTGGCCATGTCTTTTTAGAGCGCCTGTACTGTGCTAGGAGATCCTTTCTGTCCCCGATCAGCTTGGGCTCTTCAACACATGAAGGTTGGAATGGCTAAGTTGCCCAAGAAGCAAAGATGGCGGCCCACTCCTCTTTCTGGTAGCTCCATCCCAGGGAGGTACCGTACTGCTACCAATGGTTGGCTGGAATTTTAAGCCAGTAGTTCTTACCCTGTGGGGCACTGTGGAAGTGGGTCCTGCAGACCATCACTGCTCAGCCCCCTGGATTTCGCCTCTTGCCTATGGGTATGTACAAGGTTATAACCTCCTGTTTGCTGAGTTGCAGCTACTTTTTCTGGGAAGCCTGGAAAGCCAGAGTATCTGAGGCTCTTGAATCTCTGCACAGGCCTCAGTGGCTGCTCTGCTGAGACTCCACATAGCTCTGTGTGTTAAATTGAAGGCCTTGGTGAAGTGGGTTCCTGAGGGTATCTCCTCACCCGAAGGTTGCAGAGATCTGTGGGAGAATCATGGGTTTCTAGGGTCACACATGCACTCACTGCTTTACTGGGTGGGGAGGTTCCTTTGGCTCCATGTTGTTCCCTGGTGGCCCATTGTCCTGCCTTGCTTTACTCCATTCTCCGTAAGTTAAGTTGTTTCTTTCATTAGTTCCAATGCAAGTACCTGGATGTTTCAGTTGAAGGTGCTGTATCTATGCACACCTTGCATTCTTCTCTGTGAGAGCTACACAGTCTAGCTCCTTCTACTTTTTTATATTAAAATAATTTATTTTCAAAGGCAAATATTGATGTAATTTAACTCTTACATTTGATGCTATGTCTTCATTCTAGAATTTATGTGAAAGAACATGGTCAATGGTTGCTGCACCAGAGTTAGGAGAAGTTCTTCCGTATCAGATGAAAAGATTTATATACTTTCCTATGGAAGATTAAGAGAAATGAAATCTAAGATACATGAAGAAATTCTAAGTGGAAAGGCCACTTAGTGGTTGATTTACAACAGCATTATAAGTGACAGGGTGATAGAAGTGTGGTAAGTGATTAGGATAATATTCTGCATAGTAAGAGAAACAATTTGAATTTTAGAAGGAAATTGCTTTACCATTTGCAAACTAAGGTAATTAAAATACAGTGAGTTTCAAAATGCCTTTTTAATGACAATGTATGAACTTAATTTATTTTAATAAACCAAAATTATTGTTATTGAGTTAAGGCTATTTTACACTGAATGTGTATCTTGCCACTGATGTTAACTTATCCCATCTTACCCAAGGTTGTAGGTCAACAGATGGTAACAATATACTATTGTGTGACTGTGGAATAACATCTCTAGTGATTTCTTTGTCAGTGGTCTTTAACTTACCATAATTTGGAGAATATGATTCCTACAAATTAACATTTTTGTTTTTCTTGTAACTACAGGTTATTATGATGTTTGTAATGAAGATGAGTATAATGGAGCTATATGTTTCTGAATTCTGAACAACTATTTACAAAATTTTATCCTACTTTTTTCTGTTGAAAATATGACTTCTCTCGTCTGCTAAACACGTACAGACCTTTAGTTTTGATTTACATCAATTTAAATATACAAATGTATCACTGTAAAATAAACTTTAAGTGTAACAGATTTATAGAGAAAATATTCGTATTTGTTTATGGTTGTATACCTATTTTGAGAAGAAAAGAAAAATATTAGAGTGAAACAGATAATTTTACATGTGTTGATATCTTGCCAGCAAACCAGTAATTTCAAAGATTTTGAAAGAAAATCTGTTTTCTCTGCTTTGTATTAAATTCATTTATCTGAAATGTTATTGCTCCTGACTTAGAATCATCTTTTGCAAATTCTTTTTTTGTTTGTTTGTCTGTTTTCTTGTTGTTCACCATAGGCATAATATATCATTTTCTTGTCATCTAATTTCAGAAAACATTATTTGTACTATCCCCTCAGAGATTATGAAAGTGACTGATAAAATTTAATGGTGTTCATAAAATAATTTTCACATGTAATTTCACACTGAGTGTATTATTGTATGTTATTTAGTATATTTTACATTTTGTTTCAATTAGAGAATGCTATTTAATCCAATTTTCATTTAGTTATTGATCATTTTACTTTGTAAAATTGATATAATTGATTTTATTAAATTTATTGGGTCAATTTATTCAAGTAGAGTTGAACATTTTATTTTGGCATATACATGAAATAAACCAACAAAAGTAATACTAGCTATGTAATAGAAGCTACATAATTAGAAATAACTTCTTTTTGAAATCAGCCTGTTGTCTCAGGTGAAAAATTGAAAGTATCTATAGTGGTGACATTCTGCATATGAAGAGAGTATAATCGTATCCATGCTGCACAATTGACTCTCACAATTGAAACAAGATAAAGAGATGGACATTTTAGCAAAACTAAGTGAAAACCTTGTAAAATTTTTGGATTATGTTTCTACATTTAAACATCTACTGGGGGAGGTAGAGGCCAATTCTATGCAGTTCAAACCTGGAATTGCTGACAGATGTTAAGGGTATGCTCCACAGGTATTGATGCCTAAAATGCCCTGAACTCTTTTCATTTAGATTAACAAAAATATGGTTTTAGTTTTCCTCCTCTATATTCTGGCTTAGACAGAATTATCAAGCTATTTCAAGTGGATTTGATTCTAGATCTTTTTTTTTTTTTTTTTTTTCCTGAAATGGAGTCTCACTCTGTTGCCCAGGCTGGAGTGCAGTGGCACAGTCTTGGCTCACTGCAACCTACACCTCCTAGGTTCAAGCAATTCTTTTGCCTCAGTCTCCCAAGTAGCTGGGACTACAGGCGCCCACCACCACACCTGGCTAATTGTTTGCATTTTTAGTAGGGACGGGGTTCACCATGTTAGCCAGGATGGTCTCAATCTCCTAACCTCATGATCTGCCCGACTCAACCTTCCAAAGTGCTGGGATTACAGGTGTGAGCCACTGCACCCAGCCTTGGTTCTAGATCTTGACACAGCACATCCTCAACTTACTGTCTCCGAGAATAGAAAAGCTGTGTGATATGGAAGAACAAAACCAAACATTTGTTATAGCTCAAGGAGATTTTATTTCTGCCCTGCTGTCCTGGGCTGTCAGAAGTGTAGTTCTGGCAGAAATTACTAGAAGGTAGAAGTGGGAAACGATCCTAAATGAAAATTGGGTGTGTGTTAAGACTGTCTTCTTAGGAACTGGCAGAATCGGCCTTCAGTTCTGGGTAGATTTTGGGCAATTGGGTGATATATAGATAGAGTGGTTATGTTGCATCAGGTCCTAAGGCAACTCAGCTTCTGCTAGTAGTAAAATCCAGTAAGATTGGTATTTTTTTGGACTATGAATTGGGTGATTTTTTAAAATAATAATTTTTAAAATATGTCAATTTTGAATTGCATACCTAGCTAAAAAATTTTAAGTTGAAGATGTAAAAATAATTCAGACAAGTAATATAAACTATGTTTTCTTAAATTATTTATTTAACAAATCTAATTACATTTTAAATAAATTGCTGTCACCTGTTAGTATTTGTGAAGCATATATATTTTTAAGATTTTGCCTCTAAAACAGGTAACAATTTGAACAAAGAGGAAAACAAAAATTCAATGATTGGCATGAAAATAAATCTCAGGAAAATAAAAGGTTTGTATGATGACCTAATTAAAATAATGTAAAGGATAAAAATCTTAATATTTGTTTTTACACATTTTTGCACAAAAGTAGCACTGAGATAGTAATGTGCAGAAAGTACTATTAATTATATTCTTGAGACTTTCTTATTGACTTTGGCACTTAGAGAACCTCCAGCACAGGCCCAGGATTCCCTAGGCATTTCTTCCAGGAGAACATCAATGGAAATGAAGCAGAAGGCCATGTCCACAAAGATAAATGGGTGCTCACCTCCTAGAGACCAGTGGGTGCAGGTTGCAGAAAGAGTGGGCCCTTCTTGGAGGTCCAGGAAGGGGCCATGGGCACCATCCTAGAAAAGGGGCCTGGAGCTCCATTGAGCCCTCCTGCCTGCATGGGGCCTCAGAGGGCCCTGGGTGAGGCCAGCCTAGGTGCTCTGTCCTGTCCCTGGCCCTTAAGTCCTGCCTCACCTGCTAGCTTTTTCCACAGAAATCAGGATGGCAATCCTCAGTGCAGCCCCACTAGAGGAAGGAGATCAAGAGTGTCAAGGCCCACACTCATCTTGGCACATTAAGTGACTTAATGATTAACTAGTCAATAAATAAGAGCAGAATGTGTGGCTGTGACCCCCCGAGATCACATTCTAGGAGGTACCCTGGGTGGCACCTGCCTGAGGCTGTGCATTGGAAGAAGGATGGACAGGTCAACTGGGCTTCAGTGAGCATGTACCCCTAGCCAGTCTGGGGAGACATGGACTTGGCAAGAGCAGGCAATAAGGGTGGCATACAGCAGACATGCTGAGCTGTCAGGTAGGCACAGAGGGGTAGGCATGAGCGGTCCCTGAAGGGGAGAACCCTCTCAGGGCCCTGAGCTCAGCCCAGAGATCCCCCAGCCTTTTGAAGCACAGGCTGTACCTGGAGCTGCACAAGTCGGGAGGGGCAAAAGCACTGGGCTGAGGCATCACCTTTTTTCTTCACTGGCTCCCATAAGCCTCAGGCTTCCCTAGGCATGCCTTGAGGAAGAAGATCCTTCTTCCTTGTGAGTGTAGGCGTAGAAGCAGCCAATCATGTGAGGTAAGCCCACCCACAGCCACTTTTGTGGGCCCACCTGGGCAACCTCACTCCAGTGGCCTGTGAAACCCAGCTGGAATTCCAGGGTCCAGAATTCACATTTGGTTCTAGAACCAAAGAGTTCAGCACCCAGGCCAGAACAGAAGTGGGCCTGTTAATTCCATGGCACAAGGCCCAAATCAGAAAACTGGCTTAACTGTTCAGCTGCACCCAGGCAGTGTGTGTATTGTCCCAAGCAAGTCCTGTTCTCTTCCTGGCTCCAATTATTTCACCTGCAACTTGTTATTTGTACCAGCTCTTTCTCTACCCCCCACATCCTGTGGTTTTTGAAATTCCTCTGAAGACTGCATGAACTAAGCTTTAAGGGTCACAGTGCTCTAGCCTATTCAGGCTTTGCCAGGAAGAGAGATCTCTCAACCTACCTTGACTCTTAAGAGTCATGTATAAATAGTACCAAGTCTAGCAGGAGGGCTGTCACATACTCAGACTCTTTTTCTGGTCTCCATACCAAAAGATACATTAGAATGACAAGGCAAATAAGACATAGACCTGGCAGTTCTGTCTTTTAAAAGGCAGCCTCAGCCTGGTCACCCTGAACCACAATTTCAGGGTCTGTTTCAGCCTCCCAAAGTGCTGGGATTACAGGCGTGAGCACTCACACCTGCTCAGTGGTAATTTTGGATTTGCTAAATTTCAAAGATTAATCAGGGAGATGTGAGAAGGTGCCGAGACCAGCTCAGGTGGGGAGACCCTAACCCAGCTGTGCTAGAGGAATTAAAGACACATACACAGAAATATAGTGTGTGGAGTGGGGAATCGGGGGACTCAAAGCCTTCGTAGCTGAGAGCCCTGAATAGAGATTTGCCCACATATAAACCAGTGATAAGCATTGTTTCTACAGATTATAGATTAACCAAAAGAATTCCTTACGGGAAACAAAGGGATGGGCCGAAACAAAGGGATTGGCCTGGCTAGTTATCTGCAGCAGGAACATGTCCTTAAGGCACAGATCCTTCATGCTATTGTTTGTGGTTTAGGAACGCCTTAAAGCGGTTTTCCACCCTGGGTGGGCCAGGTGTTCCTTGCCCTCATTCCAGTAAACCCACAACCTTCCAGCGTGGGCATCATGGTCATCACGAACATGTCATGGTGCTGCAGAGACTTCTTTATGGCCAGTTTTGGGGCCAGTTTATGGCCAAATTTGGGGGCCCATCTCCAGCAGAAGTTGAGTGGAACACGTGCTAATTTATTTTTTTAGAGACAGTGTCTTACTCTGTCACCCAGGCTGGAGTGCAGTGGTGTGATCTCAGCTTACTGCAGCCTCAGTCTGGGCTCAAGATCCTTGTGCCTGAGCCTCATAAGTAGCTGGGACCACAGGTGTACACCAGCATTCCTGGCTAGTTTTTGTATTTTTTGTAGAGACGGGATCTTGCTATGCTGCCCAGGTTACAGATACAAATTTATATCAGGTGAAACCGAGAAACACATTATGTGCCCCTCATTCCTCCTGTTTGTAATTCCCTTCTTGCCTTTTCCCTTTTCATATGTTAGGTTTTGAGCTCCTTGGCCTTCTCTCTCTCTTTTTTTTTCTGCTTATGGAAAACTGTTACTGAGCTTGGGAATGTTGTGGGAGAAAGGTAATTTCAGGGGGACAAGAAAGAGAGGCTGGGCACGTGGCTCACGCCTGTAATCCCAGCACTTTGGGAGGCCGAGGTGGGTGAATCACCTGACGTCAGGAGTTTGAGATCAACCTGGTCAACATGGTGAAACCTTGTCTCTACTAAAAATACAAAAATTAGCCAGGTATGGTGGCGCATGCCTGTATCCCAGCTACTCAGGTGGCTGTGGCAGGAGAATCGCTTGAATCCAGGAGGTGGAGGTTGCAGTGAGCCGAGATCGTGTCATTGCACTTAAGCATGGACAATAAGAGTGAAACTCCATCTCAAAAGGAAAAAAAAAAAAAAAAAGAGGATATGTTTCTTCTTTTCAGAAGCTGCAAAGTGGTAGACACCATTTCATGTCATAAAATTGGTTCAAATAATCTTATCTGAATAAGGTGTGTAATTCAAATACTCATGAAATTTGTTCTGTTTTCTGTTGCTAAAAACGGTACTTGGGAACAAGATACTGAAACATGCAGGAAATGGATGAATCTCAAAAACATGCTGTGTGGAAGAAGCCAGACCCAAAAGAACATTCCATATCATTCTATTGATGTGAAATTCTAGAAACACCAAACCTAATCCACAGTGACACAGAGCAGATCGGTGGTTGCCTGGGTCAGGGCTGGAAGGTGGATTGACTGGGAGGGGTCAGAGGGAACTCCCTGGAGTAATGGGAAAGTTTTTTTTTTTCTTTTTTTTTTTTTTTTTTTTGAGACAGGGTCTCGCTTTATCGCCCAGGCTGGAGTGCAGTGGCTCGATCTCAGCTCACTGCAACCTCTGCCTCCCAGGTTCAAGAAATTCTCCTGCCTCAGCATCCTGAGTAGCTGGGACTACAGGTGTGCACCACCACACCTGGCTGATTTTTATATTTTTAGTAGACACGGGGTTTCACAATGTAGTCCAGGGCGGTCTCGATCTCCTGACCTCAGGTGATCAGCCTGCCTCGGCCTCCCAAAGTGCTGGGATTACAGGCACAAGCCACCACAGCAGCCTAGGGAAAGTTTTTTTTTGTTGATTTGTTTGTATTTTTGTATTGAGACAGGGTCTCATTGTGTTGCTCAGCCTGGAGTGCAGTGGCTCTGCCTCAACTCACTACAGCCTTCCTGACCTGAGCCTAAGTGATCCTTCCACCTCAGCCTCCCAGGTAGCTGGGACCACAGGCCTTTGCCAACATGCTTGGCTAAATTTTTAAATATTCTTTGTAGAGATGATATATGACTATATTGCCCAGGCTGGTCTGGAACTCCTGGGGTCAACAATGCTTCCACCTTGGCTTCTCAAAGTGTTGGGAGTATAGGCATGGGCCATCGCACCTGGCCTTAAATTTTGTTTGTTTGTTTGTTTGTGACAGCATCTTGATCTGTCGCCCAGGCTGGAGTGCAGTTTTGCAGTCATAGCTCACTGCTGCCCTCAACTCCTGGCTCACGTGATCCTCCTGCCTCAGCCTCCTGAGAAGCTGGGACCACAGGTGCATGCCACCATGCCTGGCTAATTTTTTTTTAAAAATTGCAGCCACGTATCTCCTCTGTTGCCCAGGCTGTCCTGGAACTCCTGGCCTCAAGCTGTCCTCCCGGTTCAGCCTCCCAAAGTTGGGATTACAGGCATGAGCCACTGCACCCAGTAGAAAGTTCTGTATCTTGATAGTGGCAGTGGGTACTGAGGTATATCCATTTGCTAAGCCTCATCAAACTGCACAAAGTGAGACCCTGTCTCAAAAAAAACCTATGCACTTAAAATGATGCATTTTATTGTATGTATACTTCAATAAAGTTTATTTTAAGTAATGAAACAACAGTCCATGGAAGTATTTATACAAAGGGGAGGGCGGTCTTTGAAGACATTCAGAATTAAGAGATTAGTTTTAGACCTTGCCAAAAAAAAAAACACCCCAAAACCAAAAAACCTTTAACCTCAAAAACCACGCAGGAGGGCGGCTGAGGCCAGAGGATCGGAAATGCCTGTTACTCTAATTGGATATTGTGCTTGATAATTGTTGTCATGGTATTGATATTAAAATATTAAATAGCAATTAAAATATCAAGTGACATCTCTGTAGATATAAACACGTGTGTGTGTGTGTGTGTGTGTGTATATATATATATATGGGCTGAGCATGGTGGCTCACACCTGTAATCCTAGCACTTTGAGAGGCAAAGACGGGAGGATCTCTTGAGGCCAGGAGTTCGAGAGCAGCCTGGTCAATATAGCAACACCCCATCTCTATTTTAAAAAAATCTGCGGTGAAACCCCGTCTCTACTAAAAATACAAAAAATTAGCCGGGCGTGGTGGCGGGTGCCTGTAGTCCCAGCTACTAGAGAGGCGGAGCTTGCAGTGAGCCAAGATCGTGCCACTCCACTCCAGCCTGGGCGACAGAGCGAGGCTCTGTCTCAAAAAAAAAAAAAAAAAAATCTGGCCGGATACGGTGGCTCACACTGGTATACCCAGCACTTTGGGAGGCTGAGGCAGGAAGATCATGAGGTCAGGAGATTGAGACCATGCTGGCTAACTCGGTGAAACCCTGTCTCTACTAAAAATACAAAAAATTAGCCGGGCATGGTGGCACACGTCTGTAGTCCACCCGCCTCGGCCTCCCAAAGTGCTAGGATTACAGGCATGAGCCACTGCACCTGGCCCTATATCCAGATAATTTTAAAAACATTTTGTTTTAAAACAAGACAGGCAGATCACCTGAGCTCAGGAGTTTGAGACCAGCCTGGCCAACATGGTGAAACCCCATCTCTACTAAAAATACAAAAATCAGCCAGGCATGGTGGCGCGTACCTGTAATCCCACCTATTCAGGAAGCTGAGGCAGGAAAATCACTTGAATTTGGGAGGCGGAGGTTGCAGTGAGCTGAGATTGTGCCAATGCACTCCAGCTTGGGCGACAGAGTGAGACTCCGTCTCAAAAAAAAAAAAAAAAAAAATAGCTGGGAGTGATGGCATGTGCTTTTAGTCCCAGCTACTTGGGAGGCTAAGGCAGGAGAATCACCTGAGCCCAGGTGGTTGAGGCTACAGTGAACTGTGATCCAGCCTGGGTGACAGAGCATGACACTATCTCAAGAAAAGTCTTTTCTTTTTATTATTTATTTATTTATTATACTTTAAGTTCTAGGGTACATGTGCACAACGTGCAGGTTCGTTACATATGTATACATGTGCCTGCCATATTGGTTTGCTGCACCCACTAACTCGTCATTTACATTAGGTATTTCTCCTAATGGTGGCACATATACACCATGGAATACTATGCAGCCATAAAAAAGGATGAGTTCATGTCCTTTGTAGCGACATGGATGAAGCTGGAAACCATTATTCTGAGCAAACTAGCGCAAGGACAGAATACCAAACACCGCATGTTCTCACTCAGGTGGGAATTGAACAATGAGAACACTTGGACACAGGGCGGAGAGTATCACACACCAGGGCTTGTTGTAGGGTTGGGGGATGGGGGAGGGATAGCATTAGGATAGCATTAGTAGAAGAAAAGTCTTTTCGAGTTAGTATGGCAGAGTGATTTAGAGTGACAGCATAAGCACTTGGAAACAGATTGATTAGGTCAAATTCCCAGTTCTGCATCTTACCAGCTCTGTGGTGTCAGAAAAGTTACTGAACCTTCATGTGTCTCAGTTTCCACATTTGAGAAATGGGAATAATAATAGTCCCTATCCTGTGGTTTGGTTATGGTTTGTTGTGTGGAAATTTGGTTCTCAGTGTTGGAGGTGGGGCCTGGTGGGAGGTGTTTAGGTCATAGGGGCAGATCTCTCATGAACGGCTTAGTGTCATTCTTGTGGCACTTAGTAATTCTCACTTTTTTTCTTTTTTTTTTTCTTTTAATTTTTTGAGATGGAATCTTGCTCTGTTGTCCAGGCTGGAGTGCAGTGGTATGATCTTGGCTCACTGCGACCTCCACCTCCCAGGTTCAAGCAATTCTCCTGCCACAGCCTCCCAAGTAGCTGGGATTACAGGTGCCTGCCACCACGCCTGGCTAATTTTTTTATTTTTATTTATTTATTTTGTTTGTTTGTTTTGTTTTTTGAGACGGAGTTTTGCTCTTGTTCCCCAGGGTGGAGTGCAATGGCACGATCTCGGCTCACCACAACCTCCACCTCCTGGGTTCAAGCAATTCTCCTGCCTCAGGCTCCCGAGTAGCTAGGATTGCAGGCATGCACCACCACGCCCGGCTTTTTGAGCCAAGGCATTTGAGACAAGAGCCAAGGAGTTTGAGACAGACCAGCCTGAACAACGTAGTGAGACTCCAAAATGTCACCAAAAATTTTAAAAATGAGCAGGGTATGGTGGTGCATGCTTGTGGTCTCAGCTACCTGGGAGGCTGAGATGGGAGGATCACTTGAGCCTAGAAGGTCAAGGCTGCAGTGAGACATGGTGGTGCCACTGTACTCCAGTCAGGGCACAGGTTGAGATCCTGTCTCCAAAAAACAAAAACAAAAAAGTAGGTTGGGTGTGGTGGTTCATGCCTGTAATCCCAGCACCGTGGGAGGCTGAAGCGGGTGGATCACTTGAGGTCAGGAGTTCGAGACCAGCCTGGCCAACGTGGTGAAACACGGTCTCTACTAAAAATACAAAAATTAGCCGAGCATGATGGTGTGCACTTGTGGTCCCAGCTGCTCTGGTGGCTGATGCAGGACAGTCACTTGAGCCCAGGAGGTCAAGGCTGCAGTGAGCTTTGATGATGCCAGTGCACTCCAGCCTGGGCAACAGAGTGAGACCCTGCCTCAAAAAGCTGCTACACTGGTACTAAACTACATAATTATGTAATCAAATTATTCTTTCTCAACACACATTGATATATTGATGAATATATGTGGGAGTTTTATTACTGAAGCATTTGTTTCTTTAGTCTGTTTGCTGTGGAACCACATAGCCTTCCTGGTGTGCTAAGATGTGAACTGAAGGCTGCGCGCAGTGGCTCATGCCTGTAATCCCAGCTACTCAGGAGGCTGAGACAGGAGAATCACTTGAACCCAGGAGGCGGAGGTTGCAGTGAGCCGAGATCGCGCTATTGCACTCCAGCCTGGGAGAAAAAGTGGGACTCCGTCTCAAAAAAACAAAACAAAACAAAACAAAACAAAACGAACAAACAAACAAAAAAAAAACGTGAACTGATACATTGGGCTGTGACTTCATGAAAAGATATTATCATTGTTTATAAACACAACAATTGTAATAACTTCTAGTGCATATAATTCTCATAAAAATGCAAACTCTATTTTTAAAAAGTTAGCCAGGTGTGGTGGCACGCACCTGTGTCTAACTACTCAGGAGGCTGTGGCAGGAGGGTTGCCTGAGTCCAGGAATTGGAGGCTGCAGTGAGCTAAGATCGTGCCACTGCTCTCCAGCCTGGGTGCCAAAGCACATCCCTGTCTCTAAAACAAGCAAACAAAAAAAAAATGCATATACCAAATGATTGAGGCCGTTCTGTTAGGAGTGATGCTACATTATAACTAGGTATCAACAAGAATGGAATTATATGCTTATAATTGCA
Source organism: Homo sapiens (assembly GCF_000001405.40). Taxonomy (NCBI): domain Eukaryota; kingdom Metazoa; phylum Chordata; class Mammalia; order Primates; family Hominidae; genus Homo; species Homo sapiens. The sequence goes on from NC_000007.14 coordinate 64,095,054, forward strand.
CTTCTCTGATGACTGGAATTACTTTACACACATTAGCTTCTAGGTCCATACATATCAAACGTTATTTCTCTTTTCTCTTTTTCTTTTCTTTTCTTTTCTTTTTTTTTTTGAGACAGTCTTGCTCTGTCACCCAGGCTAGAGTGCAGTGGTGCAGTCTCAGTTCACGGCAACCTCTGCCTCGGGTTCAAGCAATTCCCCTGCTTCAGCCTCCCCAGTAGCCAGGATTAGGTGCATGCCACCACGCCTGGCTAATTTTTTCTATTTTTAGTAGAGACAGGGTTTCGCCATGTTGGCCAGGCTGGTCTCAAACTCCTGATCTCAGGTGATCTGCCTGCCTCAGCCTCCCAAAGTGCTGGGATTATGGGTGTGAGCCACTGCACCCGGCCTTCAAACGTTATTTCTCCTCTACTACCCATATATATACATTTTTTTTAGACAAGGTCTTTCTGTGTCCTCCAGGCTGCATGCAGCAGTGTGATGACAGCTTACTGCAGCCTCAACCTCTCATGCTCAAGCGACCCTCCCACATCAGCCTCCTGAGTAGCTGGGACTACAGGTATGTGCCACCATGCCTGGCTAATTTTTGTATTTTTTGTAGAGATAGGGTTTTGCTGTGTTGCCTAGGTTGGTTTAGAATTCCTGAGCTCAAGCAATCTGCCCGTCTTGTCCTCCCAAAGTGCTGAGATTACAGATGTGAGCCACTACACCTGGCAAAAAAAAAAGGTAATTAAAAAAACAAAAAGAAAGTATTCTGCTTACCATGATCCTGGGAACTGGGACCCCTAAGTCCATCAGACCCTAATGTTATAAAGATTGGGAACACATTACAAAACTTAGCCAGGTATGGTGGCACATGCTTGGAGTCCCAGCTACTTGGGAGACTGAGGTAGAAAGATCATTTGAGGGCTGGGTGCGGTGGCTCACGCCTGTAATTTCAGCACTTTGGGAGGCCAAGGCAGGTGGATCACCTGAGGTCAGGAGTTTGAGACCACCCTAATCAACATAGTGAAGCCTTGTCTCTACTAAGAATACAAAAATTAGCTGGGTGTTGTGGCACATGCCTGTAATCCCAACTACTCAGGAGGCTGAGGCAGGATAATCGCTTGAACCCAGGAGGCGGGGGTTGCAGTGAGCAGAGATCAAGCCATTGCATTCCAGCCTGGGCGACAGAGCAAGACTCCATCTCAAAAAACAACAACAACAACAAAAAAAAAAACCATTTGAGCCCAGAAGTTTGAGACCAGACTGAGTAATAGTGAGACCCCATTTCTAAAATAAGTGTTTTTAAAAATTAGCTGGGCGTGGCAGGAGGATTACTTGAACCCAGGAGTTCACGGTTATAGTGAGCTATGATTGTGCCACTACACTCCAGCCTGAGCAGGAGACCAAAACTCTGAAAATGGTTCACCAGAAGAGATGCTCAGAGGACGCCTTTCCAGTTTTTTTTTTTTTCTTGGAGACAGAGTCTTGCTCTGTCACCCAGGTTGGAGTGCAGTGGCACAATCTCGGCTCACTGCAACCTTCCGCCTCCTGGGTTCAAACAATTCTAGTGCCTCAGACTCCCAAGTAAGTGGGACTCCAGGCATGCACCACCATGCCCGCCTAATTCTGTATTTTTAGTAGAGATGGAGTTTCACCATGTTGTCTAGGCTAGTGTTGAACTCCTGGCCTCAAGTGATATGCACACCTCAGCCTCCCAAAATGCTGGGATTCCAGGCATGAGCCACCACTCCTGGCCTCTACTTTTCTATTTCTACTCTCTTTGATTCCGGGTCTGTGTGATCCAGCTACCAGGGACACCAGTTGTCAGTGTGTACCACATCTTGGAGGGCAGCATCCCAGATCTGCAGAGGGTTAGCTTCAGGCTGGTGCATTCACCGAGCCTTTCAGGGCTGCCCCATCTTCCTACCAGGCTGCCCACTTCTTTTTCTTTTTTCTTTTCTTTTTTTTTTTTTTTTTTTTGAGACAGAGTCACCTCTGTGGCCCAGGCTGGAGTGCAGTGGCGCGATCTTGGCTCACTGCAACCTCTGCCTCCTGGGTTCAAGTGAGTCTCCTCTCTCAGCCTCCTGAGTAGCTGGGATTACAGGTACATGCCACCATGTCCGGCTAATTTTTTGTATTTTTAGTAGAGACGGGGTTTCACCATATTGATCAGGCTGGTCTCGAACTCCTGACCTTATGATCTGCCTGTCTCGGCCTCCCAAAGTGCTGGGATTACAGGTATGACCCACCGTGCCTGGCCTTAATTTTATTTTTTGTAGAGATGGGATCTCATCATGTTTCCCAGGTTGGTCTCAAATTCCTGTCTTTAAGTGATCCTCCCAGCTTGGCCTCCCAAAGTGCTGAGATTACCCATGCCCAGCCTTAATTTTTATATTTTGGTATTTAGTATTTTTGTATTTTTATTAGAGACAGGGTTTCGCCATGGTCTCGAACTCCTGGCCTCACGCAATCTGCCTGCGTCGGCCTCCCAAAGTGCTGGGATTGTATAGGCGTGAGCCACTGTGCCTGGCCAAATAAAGGGAAATCTTGAGTCTCTTTGTATTAGTCCTTTCTTTATTGCACTCAAAGAATAACTGGAATTGGGTAATTTATAAAGGAAAGAGATGTATTTGCTCACGGTTCTGCAGGCTGTACAGGAAGCATAGTGTTGGCATTTGTTTCTGGTGAGGCCTCAGGAAGCTTCCAATCATAGCAGAAGGTATAAACCAAAAAGTATCTGAGACAGGTCTTGATCAATTTAGACAATTTATTTTGGGCTGGGCGCTATGGCTTATGCCTGTAATTCCAGCACTGGGAGGCTGAGGCAGGTGGATCACTTGAGGCCAGGAGTTTGAGACTGGCCTGGCCAATGTTGTGAAACCCTGTCTCTACAAAAAATACAAAAATTAGCCGTCATCCTAGCTACTCAGGAGGCTGAGGCAGGAGAACTGCTTGATCCTGGGAGGCGAGATTGCAGTGAGGCAAGATCACACCACTGCATTCCAGTCTGGGCAACAGAGTAAGTGAGACTCCATCTTAAAAAAAAGTTTGTTTTGCCAACATGAAGGATGCATGCCTGGGAGGCAGGTCTGTATCTTTCTCCAAAGATTACTTTGAGAGGTTCAATATTTAAAGGAGAAAAGACAGATATTGGGGAAGGAAGAAGACATTTTAAAAAGGTGTGGGTAGATAAGAGACAAACGGTCGCATTCTTTTAAGTCTTCGATCAGACTTTCTTTTTTTTGTTTGTTTTTTTGGGTTTTTTTTTGAGGTGGAGTTTTGCTCTTATTGCCCAGGCTGGATTGCAATGGCGCCATTTCGGCTTACTGCAACCTTGGACTCCTGGGTTCAAGCGATACTCTTGCCTCAGCCTCCCAAGTAGCTGGGATTACAGGCCACTGACACCTTGCCCAGCTAATTTTTGTATTTTTAGTAGAGATGGGGTTTCACCATCTTGGCCAGGCTGGTCTTGAACTTAAGACCTAAGGTGATCCACCTGCCTCAGGCTTCCAAAGTGGTGGAATTATAGGCATGAGCCACCATGCCAGCCTTTAATCAGACTTTCGCCAAATACACAATGTACATCTGGGGGAAGGGTAGAGGAATACTCACTTAGGCCATTTCTTATCTTTTTTGAGACATAGTTTCAGTCTTGTTGCCCAGGCTGGAGTGCAATGGCGCAATCTCGGCTCATGGCAAGCCTCTGCCTCCCAGGTTCAAGCGATACTCCTGCCTCAGCCTCCCGAGTAGCTGGGATTATGGGTGCCTGCCACCACACCCGGCTAATTTTTGTATTTTTAGTAGAAATGGGATTTCACCGGGCGTGGTGGCTCACGCCTGTAATCCTAACACTTTTGGAGGCTGAGGCAGGTGGATCACCTGAGGTCAGGAGTTTGAGACCAGCCTGGCCAACATGGCGAAACCCCATCTCTACTAAAAATACAAAAATTAGCCGGGCAGTAGTGGCCTGTGCCTATAATCCCAGCTACTTGGGAGGCTGAGGCAGGAGAATTGCTTGAACTCGTGAGGCAGAGGTTGCAGTGTGTGGAGGTCACATCACTGCACCCAGCCTGGGTGACAGAGCAAGACTCCGTCTCAAAAAAAAAAAAAAAAAAATTTGCTCGGGGTTTCACCACGTTGGTGAGGCCAGTCGTGAACTCCTGACCTCAGGTGATCCACCTGCCTCGCCTCCCAAAGTGCTGGGATTTCAGGCGTGAGCCACCGCCCCCAGCCATCACTTTTGCCTTTGTCTAGTTCAGGGAATCTGAATTTTTCTAGCAGAGGAAGCAAACAAATACGCATTTGTCTTAGGTGAGCAGAGGGATGACTTAAGAGGTCACTAAAATTCTTGGTGCTCACAAGGAATTTCCTAGCAGGCAAACTGGGTGACAGGTATGTAGCTTTTTTTTTTTTTTTTTTTTTTTTTTTTTTTTTTTGAGACAGTCTAACTCTGTTGCCCAGGCTGGAATGCAGTGGCATGATCTCGGCTCACTGCAACTTCTTCCTCCAGGGTTCAGACGATTCTCCTGCCTCAGCCTCCCGAGCAGCTAGGATTACAGGTGTGCACCACCACGCCCAGTTAATTTTTTGTATTTTCAGTAGAGACGGGTATATCACCAGGTTGGCCAGCCTGGTCTCCAAATCCTGACTTCAGGTGATCCGCCCACCTCAGCCTCCCAAAGTGTTGGGATTACAGGCTTGAGCCACTTGGCCTCTCTCCTTGCATATTCATGTGCCTGCAACCCCAAGAGGGAGCTCCTGGCCCCTTGGTTAGGGTCGGGGCCCCAGAGGCCCAGGGTCAAGGCTATGGCCCCATCCAAAGGACGTGCATCCATGCAAGAGGCTGCATCCGACAGGAATAGAAGAGGCTTCGCTGGGGCCTGCTGGAATTCCTGCTGTGGAAAGCAAGAGGAGGTGCTCCTTGAAGAAACGGGGATACCACGATCTCAGGGGTTCTGTCCTGGCCTGCGTCCCTGGATCATCCAGCCTGTGTTGGGGTGGGGAGCCGACCTCGCCCTTCTTAGCCGGGGCTGACGGTGAGCGTCCCACTTCCCCAAAGGCCTAACCCAGGGTTCCAGCCGCAGGCCCCACTGGGCAGTGCGGGGCCCCGCCCGCCCCTCCAGGCCTGGCACTCGCCCTCAGCAAAGATGGCGCGGACGGTCTCAGGCGCCTCACGCGACCCACCCGCCGGGCTCCTCCGGCGCTGCTCTTAGCCCCGCAGACGGCTGCCGAGCGGTGGAGAGGAAAGTGTGATCCGAGGCACGGCGGTGGCTGCGCCCTGGCGCTGCAGGGCTGGACGCTGTATCCCCGGGAGAGCCCGTCGCGGGAGTCCAAGGAGCTGGGCGGCCTCTGGAGCTTCCGCGCCGACTTGGACAGTCGACGCCAGGGCTTCGAGGAGCAGTGGTACCCGCGGCCGCTGCGGGAGCTGCGGGGCAGGGGCGGGAGGCGCCCGGAAGCCCGGCGGTGGGAGGGGGGGAGCCCTGGTCCCTGCAGGCTCCTTCCCCTGAGCGCCCCGGAGCTGGCGCCCTACAGGAAGTTAAAGGTCAATGGGCTTAGGGGCGCAGGCTTGGGGGACGGGGAGACCGGGGGAACTGGGGAGGGCCGAGGCGGGAGAAGAAGGAAGCGCTGCTGCCGAACCCTCTCACGAGACGAAGGGTGAGTCTGGGCAGTGTCTTTCTTTTTAATGTTTATTTTAAATTTTAAAAATTGTTTTGAGACTGGGTTTGGCCCTGTCGCCCAAGCTGGAGCAGAGTGGTGTAATACTAACTTCTGAGCTCAAGGGATTCTCCCGCCCCAGGCTTGCAAGTTAGCTGGGGCCACCACGCCTGGCTATTAAAAAAAACAAAACAAAACTTTGACCAGGCTTGGTGGCTCACGCCTGTAATCCCAGCACTTTGGGAGGCCAAGACAGGTGGATCACTTGAGGCCAGGAGTTCAAGACCAGACTGGTGAAACCCCGTCTCTATTAAAAATACGAAAATTTGCTGGGCATGATGGTACACACCTGTAATCCCAGCTACTCGGGAGTCAGAGGCAGGAGAAGTGCTTGAACCCGGGAGGCGGAGGGTGCAATGAGCCGAGATCACAGAGCCACTGGACTGCACTCCAGCCTGGGTGACAGAGTGAGACTCCGTCTCAAAAAAAATAAATAAATAAAATAGATAAATAAATTTTTTTTTCTTTTTTAAAGATATAGGTCTCACTGCATTGCCCAGGCTGGTCTCGAACTCTTGGCCTCAAGCCATCCTCCCACGTTGACCTCCCAAAGCGCTGATTACAGGCATGAGCCACACAGACACTGGTCTGGCCAGAGCGGCATGTGCTGCACAGAGCTGGGAGGAGGGAGACAGTTTAGACCTCCTGAGGTCAGCTCTGCTGAGGCAGGAAGGTCCCTTGGTTTTCAAGGTTCAGGTTGAGGACAGGACATGATATCAGGCCAAGGACACCACCCCTGTTTTCCTCCTGACTTGGATATGGTCAGCAGAGAAGTGGGACCGGGTGAGGTCTGGGCCGCGTTTTCCTCGCTTGCATCCCCTTAGAAAAACTTTGCAGCATTCAGTACAGGAGGAAGAGAGAAGAGGGCTGGGTGCCTGCGTGCGTCCCACTCACAGTGTCCTAAGCAAAGCCCCGCATCCCCCCAAACAGTCTTCCTCCCTGTGACAGGCAGTGGGTCATCTGTCTTGGGAGATATTGGGCCCCATCCACTCCGAAGGGGAACTCTTGGCCCCGCTAGTCCAGGTGCACAAACCGCCTTGGCGATTGATCTGTCCTCAGCAAGTTGTCTGTCCGTTCCGCCAAGAGTCCCCGCTATGTGTCAGGACTTGCACTAGGCCTGGGGGCACAGCTCTGCAGCACACTGGCCCGGGATCTTTTTGGGGACCTAGGAGGTGAGCGCGGCTCTTCTCTCCACCATCGGGCCCCACCCTGGGCGTGCTGGTTCCCTCCAGCTTCAACGACATCTGTCAGGACTGGTGGCTGCGGCAGTTTGTTGGCTGGGTGTTGTACGAACAGGAGGTGACCCTGCCGGAGCAATGGACCCAGCACCTGCGCACAAGAGTGGTGCTGAGGATTGCCAGTGCCCACTCCTATGCCACTGTGGTCAGTGCAGCCAGGAGCAGGCAGGGTAGGTGGGTGGGCATGGCTGCTGAACAGCATGGGACCCCCAGCAGCCACCTACAGCCTGTCTCCTGGGGTGGGATGGTGGGGGGCCCTGCCCTGCCCTGGGGGCTGTGCCCTGTGTAGGGGGATAGGTGGCCTGATCTACACCCTTGGGATGCCATTCTTCCTGTCTGGCTGGCAGGTCCCTGAGCCCCATGCTGCGGGTTATGTGAGGGAGTGCCTGATAGCAGGGCCCCTCCTCATGCCCCAACCTGCTGCCCCCTCCTCATATCTCCTGTGTCTGCAGTGGGTGAATGGGGTCGACACGCTAGAGCATGAGGGGCCGACAGCAGCAGTCTGGTCCAGGTGGGGCCCCTGTCCTCCTGCCCCTGCATCACTATCACCATCAATAATACGCTCACCCCCTCCACCCTGCCACCAGGGACCATCTGCTACATGATCAACACCTCCAAGTGGATACCATCTTGTCTCCACCGCATGCACCTACCTTCCCATCCCACCCTGTGGTCTTCCTGCTAGGGACAGGGTGGCCTTGGCAGAGTGGAGGACCTGGATCTGAGGAGACCTGTGAGCTGAGGTCAAGGGACTCAGGGCAAGGGCCCAGCGAACCACTGTCCTCCGACCCTAGGTATCCCAAGGGTTACTTTGTCCAGAACACAGACTTTGACTTCTTCAACTACGCGGGACTGCAGCGGTCTGTGCTTCTGTACACGACACCTACCACCTACATCGATGACATCACCATCACCACCGGCGTGGAGCATGACAGTGCTGGTAGGATCCTCCCTCAGTGGGGCCCAGGGTGGCTCTGTTTGTTTCCTGTTTGGAAAGCTCTCCCAGGGAAAAGGTTCTCCCAGCATCTCTGAACCCTCATAGTTTCCTATCTACCTATGAAGGTAAAATCCAGGCTGACTGGGGCACAGGCTCCCGAAATCACCCATGTGGTTGACCTCACTTGGAGAAGAGGGGTCTGGCCTAATGTCACACAGCTCAGGGTGGCAATCCTGTCCCTTCCCCACGGTGCTGCTGTCACTCCAGCTCCCCTTGCTACACATCGTGCTCAAGGAACAGGCAGCTTCGGGGGGCCGGGCATGGTGGCTCATGCCTGTCCTCTCAGCTCTTTGCAAGGAGGCCCTGGTAGGAGGATCACTTGAGGCCAGGAGTTCAAGACCAGCCTGGGCAACATAGCAAGACCATCACTACAAAAAATTAAAAAATTAGCCAGGCATGGTGATGCATGCTGATAGTCCCAGCTGCTGAGGCAGGAGAATCACTTGAGCCTGGGAGGTCAAGGGTGCAGTGAGCTATGACTGTGCCACCACACTCCAGTCTGGGTAACAGAGGGAGACCCTGCCTTTTTTTTTTTTTTTTTTTTTTTTTTTGAGACAGAGTCTTGTTCTCTCGCCCAGGCTGGATGGCAGTGGTGCGATCTCAGCTCACTGCAACCTCCGCCTCCCGGATTCAAAGGATTCTCCTGCCTCAGCCTCCTGAGTAGCTGGGATTATGGGCACCTGCCACCATGCCTGGTTAGTTTTGTATTTTTTTAGTAGAGGCAGGGTTTCACCATGTTGGCCTGGTTGGACTTGAACTCCTGACCTGAGGTGATCCACCCGCCTTGGCCTCCCAGAGTGTAAGGATTTTTTAAGTTTTTTTTTCATTTTTAAAATATATCTTTTTCTTTTTCTGAGATGAGGCCTTGCACGGTTGCCTAGGCTGGAGTGCAGTGGCGAGATTATTGACAGTGTTTTGTGGCCGCAGTTCCAAATTTAAAAGAATTTAGGCTGGGTGCGGTGGTTAATGCCTGTCATTCCAGCACTTTGGAAGGCCGAGGTGGACAGATTGCTTGAGCTCAAAAGTTCGAGACCCACCTGGGCAACATAGTGAGACCCTGTCTCAAAATAAATAAATTAATTAAATAAATAAATAAGAACTTAAACAAGAATAAAGGGCTGTGATTAATATATTAAGTCCTATAAGCATATGGTGATGTTTGATCAGGAGAATGAAGCCACCATTACAGAGTTCTCCTATTAATGGTGGGGGGTAAGGCAAGGTTAGTAAGATTTGCTATAAGTCTTCAAAAGGCTATTAGTGGGAGTAGTGTTTGAAGCTCTCGAGAGAGTAATATGATTCGGCTATGGATTCGCTCATAGTTTGAATTTGCTAGGCAGAATAGTAAGGACAAAGTAAGTCCATGGGCAATTATGAGGGTAATTGCACCAGTAAAGCTTCAGGGGGTTTGAATGAAGATAGCCATAGTAACAAGTGCTGTATGACTTACGGAGGAATATGCAATAAGTGATTTTAGATCAGCTTGTCGTAGACAAATAGAGCTTATCATAACTATCCCTCATAAGGATAACATGTGGAAGGGGTAGGCTATATATTCTGTCAGGAGGCTGAGGATAAGGGTAAGCCGTATTATGCTGTAGCCGCCTGGTTTTAGGAGAACCGCTGCAAGTACTATTGAGCCAGCAATAGGGGCTTCTATGTGGGCTTTAGGAAGTCATAGGTGAAATCGTATAGGGGTATTTTTACTATAAAAGCCATAATACATGCTAATCATATAAGGTTATTGGATCAGAAAATTAATAGTTCTTGGGTGTTAAATATTATTATGTTCAGTGAACCTAAGGTATTTCGAGTATAAATAAGTATAATAGGTAGGGGGAGAGATCCCATTAGTGTATAAAATAAGAAATACGAGCTTGCATTGAGGCGTTCTGGTTGGTTACCTCAGGGGGTGATAATAATTAAGGTAGGGATAAGCGTAGCTTCAAAGAGTATATAAAATATAATTAGTTCTGTGACTGTGAATGCTATAATTTAAAAAAAATTATAGGGAAATCAATATGGAAATATAGAGCTTTTTCCATAGGGGTGACTCATTGGAGAGGTGGTACTGGCTTGCTATAATTATAAGAGGTAGTAGTCAGGCTGTTAAGATTAGAAGGGGTGATGTCAGCGATCAGAAGAGAAAGTTAATGAGAAGTTGAATAGATTGCTGAATTGATTAAAAAATAATAGGGCAATGAAGCTGATGATTAGGCTGTGAATAGTCATATTGATTTAGATTATTGAGTTTTTAGAGAGTCATGTTATTGATAGCAGTATAATTGTTGGAATAATAATTTTTAGCATTGAAGTAAATTTAGGTTATGTACATAATCTAGGCCATACGTGTTGGAGATTGAAACTAGTAAGGCGAGGCCCACTGCAGCTTTGCAGGCAGCAAATACTGGGAGGGTAATGGGTATTATGAATGCTAGGGTGAAATGTATATTTAAAGTTATAAGGGTATTTATGATGAATAATGATAATATTATTCCTTCTAGGCATATTAGGGATGCTATCAGGTGGGATCGATAGGTTAATATCCCCAGAAGTGATATGGTATATGCTAATATGATATTGATATAAATAGAAAGCATTTGGTAAATATGTTCTATTATAATCTAATGAGTCAGAATCATTTATTTTGGCTTAAACTATCTACCAATTCAGTTCAGTCTAATCCTTTTTGAGTTCATTCATAAGTTAACCCTAGTACTAAAATGATAACTAGTATAAGGGCTGTGCTGATTGTTAGTGTCAGGTTGTTTGTTTGAAGAGCTCATGGCAAGGGTAATAGGGCGATTTCTAAGTCAAATAGGAGGAATGTGATGGCTACTAGAAAAAATTTTATGGGGGAGGGAATGCAGGCGGAGGATAATGGGTCAAATCTGCATTTGTAGGGGCTGGATTTTTCTATATAAATATTAAGTTGTGGGAGCCATAATGTAATAACTATTAGTGATAAGGCTAATAGGGTGTTGATTACTAGGGCTAGTATTAGGTTAATTACTCTTTTTCAGATGTCAAAACTAATTGATTGGAAGTCAGTAGTACTCTTTATACTAAAAGAGTAAGATCCTCATCAGTAAATAGAGATATACAAGAATAGTCATACTACATCTACAGAGTGTCAATATCAGGCAGCAGCTTCGAAGCCAAAGTGATGGCTAGATGTAAAGTGATATTTTAATTGGCAGAAGAGACAGATAGTGAGGAATGTTGATCCAATAATGACGTGAAGTCCGTGAAAGGCTGTAGCTATAAAGAATGTTGAGCCATAAATTCATCAGAAATAGCAAAGGGAGCCTCAAAGTATTCTGAGACTTGTAGGAGGGTGAAGTAAATACCTGAGGTAATTGTGATAAGTAGTGCTTCAGTTATTTGTTTTTGATTATTTTCTAGTAGGCTGTGATAGGCTCAAGTAATTGAAATCCCTGATGCAAGAGGGGTACTTCCAGAGGGTTGAGGGGAGAAATGCCTGTTGGGGGTCAGTGTCCTCCTAGTTCTGGAGTTGGGGCTAGACTGGAATGGTAGAATGCCCAGAAGAATCCAGCAAAGAAAAATGCTTCTGAGATAATAAATAAATTCCATATCAGAGGCCTTTCGGACAATTGTTGTATGGTGGCCTTGAAATGTACTTTCTCGGATAATATCACGTCACCATTGATATATAGTCAGTGTATTGGTTAGTAGGCCTAAAGTTAAAAGAGTAATAGAGTTAAAGTGAGATCATATAGCTAGGCCAGATGTTATTAGGAGAGCTGAGAGAGCCCCTGTTAATGGCCAAGGGCTGAGTTTGACTAAATGAGAGGTGTGTGTTTGGTGGGTCATTATGTGTTGTCATATAAATAAAGGCTTACTAATAGCGTAAAGACATAAGCTTGGATAAGGGCCACAGCGAATTCGAGAGTGGTCAATAGAATTAGAATAATAAGGGTAATTGAAGCTGTGGGAAGGTTAATAGTTGATAATACTAGTGTGGCTCCTCCAATAAGTGTATGAGTAAGTGACTGGCCGTAATATTGGCTGTTAAATGTACAACTAGTGCCATTGGTTGAATAAGTAGACTAATGGTTTCGTTGATTACTAGTATAGGGGTAAGTGGTATGGGCGTGCCTTGCAGGAAGAGAGCTAAGGAGTTTTTAGTTTTAAAGTGGAACCTGTGATTACTGTTCCTGCTCATAAGCGGATTGCTATACCGAGATTTATTGATAGTTGAGTAGTTGGTGTAAATGAGTGGGGTAGAAGCCCAAGGAGATTGGTTAAGGCAATAAAGAGAATTAGGGATATTAGTATAAGGGATCAGGTTCGTCCTTTAATATTATGTGTGATTATTATTTGTTTTAGAACAAGTTGAACTAGTCATTGTTGAATAGAAATCAATCTTGTATTAATTATATTAATATTAATTAGATAGTTATTAGATGATACTAATTAGATAATTAATTAATATTAATTAGAGAGTATATTAATTAAATAGTTGGAGGTTGGAAGGAGTGTGGCGGGAAACAAGATGATTAGTGCTGCTGCGGGTAAACCTAGGATTGTCGGGGCAGTAAATGAGGTGAACAGATTTTCGTTCACTTTAGTTCTCAAGGGTTGTTATGTTTTTGTGTTTCAATTATTTTTGGTGTAGCGGGTGTATGGTAAATGAAATTTGATAGTTTTAATTGAATAATCGAGAATAAAGTTATGATTGTTGATATAATAATAATAGGTCATGTGGAAGTATCTCGTTGAGGAATTCACTGTAGAGAGGTGTGATTTCTGTCAGAAGAAGTCTTTAAAAGGTTAACGCTGGGGTAGCTTTACAGTGAGATTATAGTGTGGATATAGACCAAGTTTTGAAAGTTTTTAATGGGACTAATTTTAAAACAATAGATATAAAGCTGTGGTTAGATCCACACATTTCTGAGCATTGTCCATAGTAGAGGCCTGGTCATGTAGTGGTTAAGGCAAATTGGTTTAAGCGTCCAGGGATTGCATCTGTTTTTAACCCTAATGAGGGAATAGTTCATGAGTGCAGGATATCTTTGGATGAGATTAACATGCGGATGAGAATTTCTATTGAGAGGATGTTTGGTTATCGAATTCGAGGAGTTGAAGTTCTTCTGGTTTTAAGTTGGCTGTTGGAAGTATATAAGAATCGAAACTTAATTCTTCATAATCTATATACTCGTAGCTTCAATACCATTGATGTCCAATTGTTTTAATGGTGAGAGGGGGATTATTGATTTCATCTGTTATGTACAGAATACATAGGGATGGGAGGGCAATTAAGATTAAGCTGATGGCAGGCAAGATAGTTCAGACAGTCTTTATTTCTTGGGCATCTATAGTGCTAGTATGAATCAGCTTTGTTGTATTAGAGAAATAATGTATAGAACCAGGAAACTAATTAGGAAAATAATTATAAGAGTGTGGTCATGGAAGGTAAGTAGTTCTTCTATAGTAGGGGATGAAGCATCTTGAAGACCTAATTGAACTGGATGGGCCATTAAGATATATAGGGCTTAACCTATAACTTTGACAAAGTTATGAAATAATTTTATTAATATCTTATTGAGAAAGTCATAGAGGTTATGGGATTGACTTGAAACAGTCTCTGGAGGTTCGATTCCTTCCTTTTTCGCTTAGGTCTTCATGTAGGTTGGTTCTTCGAATGTGTGATAGGGTGGTGGACAGCCATATAGTCATTCTAAGTTGGTAGATGGTTGCACAATTGTTAGAACTTTTCGTTTTGAAGCGAAGCCTTCTCAGATCATGAAAATTATTAGCGTTACTGCTGTTAGGGAAATAAATGAGCCTACGAATGAAATAGTATCTCATGCGGTGTATGCACCGGGATAATTGGAGTAATGGCGAGGCATACTGGATAGGCTGCGGAAATGCTGCGGGGAAAAAAGTTAAATTGACACCTATAAATATGATGGCAAAGTGAGTTTTAGCATAGATTTGATTGAGTGTATAACCTGAAAATAGGGGGAATCAGTGGACAAAGCCTTCTATAACAGCAAATATGGCTTCTATTGATAAGACATAATGGAAATGGGCTACAACATAATATGTATCATGTAAAACAATATCTAGTTATGAATTGGCTAGTACAATGCCGGTTAAACCTCCTACTGTAAAAAGGAAAATAAATCCCAGGGCTCAGAGTATTGCGGGAGATCATTTGATGTTACCGCCATGTAATGTAGCTAATCAGCTAAAGACTTTGACATGAGTAGGAATAGCAATAATTATAGTAGCAGAGGTGAAGTATGCTCATGTATCTACATCTGTTCCTACTGTAAATATGTGGTGAGCCCATACGATAAACCCTAAGAAGCCAATTGATATTATGGCCTACACTATGCCCATATACCCAAATGGCTCTTTTTTCCCAGAGTAGTATGTTACGATATGGGAAATTATCCTGAAGCCCAGTAGGATGAGGATATAGACTTCAGGGTGATCAAAGAATCAGAATAAGTGCTGATATAAGATAGGATCACCTCCACCAGCTGGGTCGAAAAAAGTAGTATTAAGATTGCCGTCTGTTAATAGTATAATAATGCTGGCGGCTAGGACTGGGAGAGAAAGGAGTAGAACTGCTGTAGTTAGGACTGATCAGACCAAAAGGGGTGTGTGATATTGGGACGTGGCTGGAGGTTTTATATTAATAATTGTGGTAATAAAGTTAATGGCCCCTAAAATAGAAGAGACACCTGCCAAATGGAGTGAGAAGATGGTTAAATCTACAGGGGCTCCCGCATGTGTTAGGTTTCCTGCTAAGGCGGGGTAGACTGTTAGCCGGTTCCAGTGCTGGCCTCTACTATAGTGGATGCAAGTAATAGCAGGAAAGAGGGTGGGAGGAGTCAGAAACTCATATTATTTATCCGGGGAAATGCTATGTCAGGGGCGCCAATTATCAGAGGGATTAACCTCCAGTTATTATTGGTATTACTATAAAGAAAATTATAAGAAATGCATGAGCGGTAATGATGACATTGTAAATTTGATCATCACCTAGTAGAGTACCTGGTTGGCCCAGTTCCGCTCAAATAAGGAGGCTTAAGGCTGTACCTGCTATCCCTGCTCAGGCACCGAATAGCAAGTATAATGTCCTGATATCTTTATGGTTGGTTGAGAACGATCAACAGTTGGTGAACATAAGTGAAGTGAGAAAAGGTAAAATGGCTGAGTAAGCATTAGACTGTAAATCTAAAGACAGAGGTCAAGGCCTCTTTTTTCCTGTCCCGAGGTGATTTTCATGTTGAATTGCAAACTCAAAGGAGCAGCTTGAATCCTGCTGGGGCTTGTATGCCATTTTTCCCCCAACTGCGGGAGAAGTAGATTGAAGCCAGTTGATTAGGGTGTTTAGCTGTTAACTAAATTTTCGTGGTTTAAGTCCCACCAATCTAGCAAGGGCTTAGCTTAATTAAAGTGATTGATTTGCATTCAATTGATACAGAATAGAGTTTTTCAGTCCTTAGGGATTTTTTAGAAATTAAGTATAATTTACTTGCTAAGAGCTTTGAAGGCTCTTGGTCTTACTTAACCTAAATTTCTAGATTATGGATAGTGTTAGTGGAGAGATTGGTAGGAGGATGGTAGAGAAGATGATAAGTGTGGGGAGAAGTAATATGAAATATTTTTGAACTGTCATTTTATTTTTATATTATTGGATGTGGGGAATATTGTCACTGAAATGGAGTAAACTAAGCATATGTAAATATACAGATTGAGTAGAGTTATGATAGCTATAATGGTTGGGATAATAAGACTTATTTTTTGTAAACTCTTGAATGGTGATTCATTTAGGCAGGAATCCTGTTCATGGAGGTAAACCTCCTAGGGATAATAAAATTGATAGAATTATAGATACTGACCATGTTAATTTGTTTCAGGCATGGGATAGTGATAGGGTTGTAGTGCTTGAATTCAGGCTGAGTGCTAGGAATGCAGTGGTTGTTAGGTTAAAAATGGTAATGTTTGGGTTATATATTAGTACTGCTGTTATTCAACCTATATGAATAATTGAGGAGTAGGCTAGAATTTTACATAGTTGTGTTTGGTTAAGTCCTCCTCAACTGCCCACTATAATAGATAAGATCAAGAGAGATAGGAGGATGTTCGTGTTTACTGATGGAAAAATTTGATATATAATTGAAATAGGGCCAGTTTTTGTCATGTGAGGAGTGGTATACCGAATGTTAGGGAAGTTCCTTGGGTTACTTCTGGAACTCAGAAGTGAAAAGGGGCTATCCCTAGTTTTATTACTAAGCTGTTATTATTTTTAAGGATGAAAGTTGATTAATAGTATTTATTGTTCACTGGAGAACAGGTTATTGAAGAGAATACTTATTATGAGGAATATAGATGCGGTTGCCCGTATAAGGAAATATTTAGTGACTGCTTCTGTAGAGCGGGTTTTTTTTTTAAATTGAGATTGGGATGAGGGCTAGTATATTTATTTCTAGGCCTGTTCAGATGAAAAATCAGTGTGAGCCTAGCGTTGTGATAAGTACCTGTAAAAACAGTAAGGTAAATAATAAGTTGAGCTAATGGGTTAATTAGGATGGGAAGGGTATAACCAACATTTTTGGGGTATGGGCCAGATAGCTTATTTAGCTGACCTTACTTTAGGACATGGTGTGATAGGTAGCATGGGGAATTTTGGATTCTCGGGGTGAGTTCAATTCCTATAGTTCTAGAAATAAGAGGATTTCAACCTCTATTGTTTACTCTATCAAAGTAATTCTTTTGTCACACATATTATGTTTGGGGTGGGATGCTGGAGATTAGGATGGGTATTGAGATATGTCATATACAGAATACTAGTGTAAGTGGTAGAAAGTTTTTTTTGTAAGAGGTGTATGAGTTGATCGTTGCGGAAACAGGGATATGCTGTTTGAATTCATAAAAATAGGTTAAGAGGAAGGTCTTGGTAATGAAATATGTAGTATAGAGTTTGGTGAATATATAGTGTGTAATGTTCCTAGAAAAAATGTAGTAGTTAGGGCATTTATTACGATAATATTCATATATTCTGTTATAAAGAAGAGGGCAAATGGACCTGCAGTATATTCGATGTTGAAACCTGAGACTAACTCTGATTCTCCTTCTGTTAGGTCAGAAGGGGCTCAGTTAGTTTCTGCTAATGTGGAGATAAATCATATTATGGCTAGGGGTCATGATGGTAGGAGCAGTCAGAGGGACTCTTGTGTTGTGATGAGTGTATATAAATTGAATGAGCCGCTTCTCAGTAGGACTGATAACAGGATGATGGTTAGGGTGACTTCATATGAAATTGTTCGGGCGACAGCTTGTAATGCACCGATTAGTGCATAGTTTGAATTGGATGCCCATCCTGATCATCAAATAGAGTAGATGGCTAGGCTTGATGTGGCTAGAATAAATAGGAGGCCTATATTAAAATTAATTAAAGGGTCTGGAATAGGGAGGGGAGTTCACAAAAGAAGGGCGATAGAAAGGGCTAGGGTTGGAGCAGTAATATAGAGGGCAATAGTAGATGTTGAGGGTTGTAAGGGTTCTTTGGTGAAAAGTTGTATTGCATCAGCAGATGGTTGAAATAAATAGTCCGTAGGGTGTTAGATTGAGATTAACATCATCTATAGTGCGAGGGCACTTTATGAAGTAGGCCCTATTTTTCTTGTCCTTTCGTACAGGGAGAAAAACAAAATAGAGAGAAACCTGTTGGAGACCAGCCTGGCCAACATGGCAAAACCCCGACTCTACTAAAAATACAAAAATTCACCAGACGAGGTGGTACACGCCTATGATCCCAGGTAGTCGGAAGGCTGAGGCAGGAGAATCACCTGAACCCCAGAGGTGGAGGTTGCAGTGGGCCAAGATCACGCCACTGCACTCCAGCCTGGGGGACAGAGTGACACTTTGTCTCAAAAAATATGTATGTGTGTGTGTGTGTGTTCATATATGTGTGTATATATATATATATATATATGTATATAAAATTTTAAAAAAACAATAGAAACAAATGGCTGCCTGGGAGTGGTGGCTGCGGGGCACTCCCGTTTGTGTGGCCCAGGTCATGTCCCTCCCTCAGCCCTGGTCTCTCTTGCCTCCTGCAGGGCTGGTGAATTACCAGATCTCCTCAAGTGCAGCAACCAGATCCAGTTGGAAGTGCATCTTTTGGAGGCAGAAAACAAAGCCATGGCCACTGGGGCCTTTACTCAGGGCCAGCTGAAGGTACCGGGTACAGGCAGGAGCCTCTGGTGGCCTTACCTGATGCACGAACACCCCCCGGTCTGTACTCATTGGAGATAATGGTGGTTTGGAACTTGGTTAAGGGAGGTCTTTTGCCCCCATCTGGGCTTCAGCAGGAGCCCAGGACAGATGAACGGCCAGGCGTGGTCCTCTGAGCTTTCTGATATTTCCCACCCTTGGTGGGAGGCCCAGTTTTTGTGTTTTTTTTTGAGATGGTCTCACTGTGTCACCCAGGCTGAAGTGCAATGGCCTGTTCACAGCTCACTGCAGCTTTGAGCTCCCAGGCTGCAGCAATCCTCCTACCTTGGCCTCCTTAGTAGCTGGGACTACAGGCACATGCCACCATGCCTGGCTAATTAAAAAAACTGTTTTGGTAAGCCAGGCGTGGTGGCTTACACCTGTAATCCCAGGACTTTGGGAGGCTGAGGTGGGTGGATCACATGAGGCCAGGAGTTCGAGACCAGCCCATCCAACATGGTGAAACCCTGTCTCTACTAAAAATATGATAATTTGCTGGGCATGGTGGTGCATGCCTGTAATCCCAGCTACTTGGGAGGCTGAGGCAAGAATTGCTTGAACTTGGGAGGCAGAGGCTGCAATGAGTTGAGATCACGCCACTGCACTCCAGCCTGGGCGACAGAGTGAGACTGTCTCCAAAAAAAAAAAAAAATTTTTTTTTTATAGAGATGGGGTCTCACTCTGTTGCCAGGCTGGTCTTGAACTCCTGGACTCAAGTGATCCTCCTGCCTTAGCCTCCCAAAGCGTGGGAACTCCAGGCATGAGCCACCTCATCTGGTCAAGGGGAAGGCCCAGTTTTGAAGGGCAGGTCCCGGGGTCAGCCAGGGAAGGGCAGAGCCTCTGATTGCTGCATCTCTGCTTGCAGGCCCAAGGCGGCTGCTGGGGTGCACGAGGGGCCTTCCTGCCAGAGGGAGGGCCGGATGGGGCTCAGGCTGTCGGGGTGCTCACACCTGGCGCTTTGGCTATCTTAGGTGCGGCTGACTGCACAGACGTCACTGGGGCCTTTGTCTGACTTCTACACACTCCCTGTGGGGATCCGCACTGTGGCTGTCACTGAGAGCCAGTTCTTCATCAACGGGAAACCTTTTTATTTCCACAGCATCAACAAGCACGAGGATGCGGACCTGCGTTTGTGCTCCTGGGTCCTCGTTGGGGCTGCTTCTGGTCACCTTCCACTTTTGCCTTCCGTATGTCCCACAGTTGAGGGCAGCTCAGGGCAATAAGGCAAATGGCTCCAAACTGCCCCATGGTGGAGCCGGTGCTTGGGCTGGAGAGGGGGCTCATGGGGTGGCTCTCCAGGGTCCTGGCTCTCAGAGGAAGTGCAGCTTCGACAGGGGCAGGGGTCACTCCACTCTGCTGTCTCCTAGATCCTAGGGAAGGGCTTCAACTGGCTGCTGCTGGTGAAGGACTTCAACCTGCTTCACTGGCTTGGTGCCAACGCCTTCTGCACCAGCCACTACCCCTACGCGGGGGAAGTGCTGCAGATGTGTGACCGCTATGGGATTGTGGTCATTGATGAGTGTCCCGCTGTGGGCCTGGTGCTGGTGTGAGTCCCCACCACGCACCCGCTCCACCTGCCCAGCCCGCAGACCGCACCATGACCCTCTGTCCCTTCCCTCCTGGCCCACAGGCAGCTTTTCAACAATGTGTCTGTGCATCAACACATGTGGGTGATGGAGGAACTGGTGTGCAGGGACAAGAACCACCCCGCCGTGGTGATGTGGTCTGTGGCCAACAAGCCTGCATCCTACCTGGAACCTGCCGGCTACTACTTCAGGTGAGTGCCCCCTGGCTGCCCTGGGCTGGATCGGGAAGGAGACCCTGGCAGGTGGCAGGCTGGGGTGGGTTTGTGCTGTTTGAGACCAGCCTCCTGTCCCAGCCTGATGGGAGTGCCGTCCATACCCAGACACTTCAGGGGACCAAATATCTACCCACCCAAGTTGTGGTTTTCTTTTTCTTTGTTTTGTTTTGTTTTTTTTTTGAGACGTGGTCTCGCTGTGTCTCCTAGGCTGGAGATCAGTGACATGATCTTGGCTCTCTACAACCTCCGCTTCCCGGGTTTAAGTGATTATTTTGCCTCAGGCTCCTGAGTACCTGGGATTACAGGCATGCGTGAGCCACTGCACCTGGCCTGTTTTTTTGATTTTTTTTGTTTTTTTCGAAACGGGGTCTCACTTTGGTCTCCCAGGCTACAGTGCAGTGGTGTGATCTCGGATCACTGCAGCCTCGACTTCCCAGGCTTAGGTGATCTTCCTGCCTCAGCCTCCCAAGCAGCTGGGATTATAGATGTGTGTCATCACACCCAGCTACTTTATACTTATTTTTTATTTTTTTGAGATGGAGTCTCACTCTGTTGCCAGGCTGGAGTACAGGGGCACGATCTCGACTCACTGCAACCTCTGCCTCCTGAGTTCAAGTGATTCTCCAGCCTCAGCTTCCCGAATAGCTAGGATTACAGGTGTGTGCCACCACACCCAACTAACTTGCATTTTTGTTTGTTTGTTTGTTTTGAGATGGAGTCTCACTCTGTTGCCAGGCTGGAGTGCAGTGGCACAATCTCAGCTCACTGCAACCTTCACCTCCCAGGTTCAAGTGATTCTTCTGCCTCAGCCTCCTGAATAGCTGGGACTACAGGCTTGCGCCACCACACCTGGCTAAAATTTTTTTTTTTTTTGTGATGGAGTCTCACACCGGGCTAATTTTTGTATTTTCAGTAGAGACAGGGTTTCACTATGTTGGCCAGGATGGTCTCAATCTCTTGGCCTCATGATCCGCCCGCCTTGGCCTCCCAAGTGGTGGGATTACAGGCGTGAGCCACTGTGCCTGGCCAACTTTTGTGTTTTTTAGTAGAGACAGGGTTTCACCATGTTGGCAAGGCTGGTCTTGGACTGCTGACCTCAGGTGATCCGCCTGCCTCAGCCTCCCAGAGTGCTGGGATTACAGGCGTGAGCCACCGTGCCCAGCTAATTTTTGTATTTTTAGTAGAGACAGGGTTTCACCATGTTGACCAAGCTGGCCTCGAACTCCTGACCTCAAGTGATCCACCTGCCTCAGCCTCTGAAAGTGCTGGGATTACGGGTGTGAGCCACTGCGCACGGCCCCCTTTTCTTCCTTATAATCGTGCAGTTCTAACAGCGTTCAGAGGTGGATTTTTCACTTGTGGTAGAGGCAGCAGAGGTTGTAGAAATGTTTCTTGAGACAGACACCACACCCCAATTTCATGGAGTGCTTTGGGCTGAGCCAAGTCTACAGCAGGCAGAAGGCTCTGAGAAGTTGTCCCAGCCTGGGCAAAGGACAATTCAGAGCTCGGGGGCATGGGGTGTGCTCAGCAGTACTGGGTGGACAACGTTTTTTGCAAAAGTGAAGAGTTCAGGCTTCCAGGAGCGGATGCCTGAGGCTTCCAGACAGGCTTCTTTGAGCGGTGGCCAGAGGAGATGCCTGTTTTTCAGGGTAGGAATTGAAGGGAGTTGCCCAGGCTGGAGTGGTTCAGCCAGGCTGTCACAAGGCTTTGAAGCTTCCCATCTGAGAGCCTGGCTGTTGGATAGTGCAGGTTTGGAACTTGAGGCTGGGAGATTCTGTTCCATCATGTGCCAGCCACAGCCTTTGGATGGGCAGAGCAGTGATGGGGGAGGGTGTAAAAGAAGAAATAAACTGAGGAAAGAGAAGAGGAAAACAGGCTTCAACAACAATCTAGGCTGGGCATGGTGGCTGACGCCTGTAATCCCAGCACTTTGGGAGGCCAAGGCGAGTGGATCACCTGAGGTCAGGAGTTCAAGACCAGCCTGGCCAACAGATAGTGAAACCCCGTCTCTGCTAAAAATACAAAAATAAACCAGGAGTGGTGGCAATTGCCTGTAATCCCAGCTACTCGGGAGGCTGAGGCAGGAGAATCACTTGAACCCGGGAGGTGGAGGTTGCAGTGAGCCGAGATCGTGCCATTGCACTCCAGCCTGGGCTACAGAGTGAGACTCTTTCTTTCAAAAAAAAAAAAAAAAATCTGTACTGTGCAGGCCTCAGGTGGGTGCCAGAAGCTCTGAGCAGGGACTGATCCCTCTGTTGGGTTTTTCTTCCCTTTATCCCTCCTGGTTAACTTGACTCGGCATAAGGGCCATTTCTTCTAAGAGTCTCTCCCTGACTCTCCAATCCAAGTTATGTTTATTGTCTTGTAGATACCAATTCCTGCCACCACTCGTCATTTCCATTGGCAACATTTCTTTCATTGTTTGTTTTTCAGAGTTGGTCTTGCTTTGTTGCCCAGGCTGGAGAGCAGTGGTGTGATCTCGGCTCACTGCAACCTCTACCTCCTGGGTTTAAGCAATTCTCCTGCCTCAGCCTCTTGAGTAACTGGGACTAGAGGCATGCACCACCATGTGCAGCCTATTTTTAAAATTTTTTATAGAGATGGAGTCTCGCTTTCAGGCTGGCCTTGAACTCCTGGCCTCAAGTGATTCTCCCGCCTCGGACTCCCAAAGTACTGGGAATACAGGCATGAGTCACACAACGCATGGCTGACAAGATTCCTATTCAGCGTCTGAGCACGGAGAAGACTCCCTTGGCCTGGGGCAGGTGAGGTAAACCTCCTCATAGAGGGGACAGTTATGAGGACGCTCATAGCTGTCCCCTCTATGAGGAGGTTTACCTCACCTGCCTCAGGCCAAGGGAGCCTTCTCCGTGCTCTGCCCCTGTTGTAGCCTGAACCTGGCTCTCCCTGCGTTCTCACCAGGCACTGTCATTATTTCTTTGGCTCTCTCTTTGGACTGTGGGCTCAGGAGAGAGAAGGAGTTCTATTTATTGTTGCTTCCTAGGTACTCTGCAATATCTGACACAGCACGTGCTATATGATACCTGTTGAGGGCTTGAGGGCATGGGTGAGATCACAGAGCCATGTTTAATCACTCATTTTGTCCTCTTTATTTATGTATTTATTTATTTTTATTTTTGAGATGGAGTCTTGCTCTGTCACCCAGGCTGGAGTGCAATGGCGTGATCTCAGCTCTCTGCAACCTCTGCCTCCTGGGCTCAAGCAATTGTCCTGCCTCAGCCTCCAAAGTAGCTGGGATTACAGGCACCCGCCACCATGCCTAGCTAATTTTTGTATTTTTGTAGAGACGGGGTTCCCAAAATCCTAGAATTACAGGTGTAAGCCACCGTGCCCGGCCTGTTCTCATTTTTTTTTTATCCATCTCATTTTTTTTTCCTCACCAAAGATATGTTGCTTTGTCTTGGGGTTTTTTTACATGTGAATTCCTGAACCTCATCCAGCCCCTCGTCCCCTCCCCAGCCAGCTCACACTCGTTTGTCACAGCTCCTGGGACTCCCATTGACATACAGGTAACAGCCACCCACAGTGGACTGTGCTGTTCTGTTTGCACCCTTAAATTTATCATGATTACAGAATGCCACTTCTGCAAACTAGTCAAGTAGGGGGAAGTGGCTCATCGATATGCATGCTTGCTCATCCTCTTTGAAAAGGTAACCAGCTCTGAATTCTTTTTTCTTTGAGACGGAGTTTGGCACGATCTTGGCTCACTGCTACCTCTGCCTCCCAGGTTCAAGCTGTTCTCCTGCCTCAGCCTCCCAAGTAGCTGGGATTACAGGCATGCGCCACCATGCCCATCTAATTTTGTATTTTTGGTAGACATGAGATTTCCCCACCATGTTGGTCAGGTTGGTCTTGAACTCCTGACCTCAAGTGATCCGCCTGCCTTGGCCTCCCAAAGTGCTGGGATTACAGACATGAGCCACCATGCCCTGCCTGAGCTCTGAATTCTTAAGAAACTCTTGAGAGGGTCTAGGTCAGTGCTGATAGAACCTCTGCAGTGCTGGGCGTGATGGCTTACACCTGGAATGCTAGTACTTTGGGATGCCAAGGTCAGAGGATCTCTTGAGCCCAGGAGTTTTGAGACCAGTCTGTACAACATACACCCCATCTCTACAAAAAATTTAAAATGAGTTGGGCATGGTTGTGCTTGCCTGTAGTCCCAGCTACTTGGGAGGCTGAGGTGGGAGGATTGTTTGAGCCCAGTAGGTCAAGACTCCAGTCAGCCATGATTGCATTGCTGTACTCCCACCTGGGTGACAGAGTGAGACCTTGTTTTTTTTAAAAAAAACACCCTTGCAGTGATGGAAATGTTCTGTATTTGCACTGTCTGAAATGGTAGCTATTAGCTACACGTGGCTATTGAGGTCTTGATATATGACTAGGATAACCGAATTGATTTAGTTTAATTAAAAAAGATTTTTTTTGAGACAGACTCACTCTGTTGTCCAGGCTGGAGTGCAGTGGCATAACCACAGCTCACTGCTCGACTTCCTGGGCTCAACCACTCCTTTCTCCTCAGCCCCCTAAGTAGCTGGAACCACAACTGTGCACCCCCATGCCTGGCTAATATTTTGCCTTTTTGTAGGACTGGGTCTCACTGTGTTGCCTAGGCTGCTCTTGAACTCCTGGTCTCAAGTGATCCTCCTGCCTCGACGTCCCAAAGTGCTGGGATACCAGACCTGAGCTACCATGCCCAGCCTGGTTTAGTTTAATTTCATTTTACATGTATGTATGTATGACAGGGTCTCGCTCTGTCACTCAGGCTGGAGTGCAGTGGTGTAAACACAGCTCACTGCAGCTTTGACCTCTGGGGCTCAAGCAGTCCTCCCACCTCTGCCTCCCAAGTAGCTGGGACCACAGGTATGTGCCACCATGCTTGGCTGATTTTTGTGTTTTTTGTACAGATGGGGTCTTGCTGTGTTACCCAGGCTGGTCTTGAACACCTGGGCTCAAGCAATCCTCCCACCTTGGCCTCCCAAAGTGCTGGGATAACAGGCATGAGCCACTGCACCTGGCCCAAAGACGTATTTTTACCTGTAGTGTAGTTCAGCCTTTAGACTGTACCAGCAGATAGAGGTGGAAAAGTAATGTAAAGCGAATATCAAATTACATTTATAAATAAAGCAGTTGCTCATTAAGGTTGTTTTTTTTTTTAAACCTCCTTTTTTATTCTGGGTTACATCATTCCCTGGCTGTCTTTACCCCAGCATCAGTGAGTCCTGCAGTCACTATAGCCCCCTGCGAGGACAGATATTTTGGTCACCATCAAGTGGATCTTTATTTTTATCTAACATTTACAATTCTGCCATTTCTGACTCTTAGAATCTCTTTGCCTTGAATACCAGGGTCCACCTCTGATGTTCACTGAAGAGTACCAGAAGAGTCTGCCAGAGCAGTACCATCTGGGTCTGGATCAAAAACGCAGAAAATACGTGGTTGGAGAGCTTATCGGGAATTCTGCCGATTTCACGACTATGCAGTGTAAGTGGCAGTTTGGCTCATGGGATAACGTACCTGTCCTCATTTTTTCAGGTTGCCTTGCCAATTCTGGCCATTTTGATTATAAGAATATTGGAAACAAAGGAGGGAAGCTGGCTTACTCCATGTAGGTTGCATTGAGAATTTTCTAGAAAAAGTAAGTTGTGCTTAGAAAGTAGGAGAGCAATCAGGCCCCCGCCTCCCAAATACGGTCAAAAAGCAAACAGGAGAGTGTGCTATAGTGAGACGGAAATGACTAGCTTGCCTTTTTCTTGTCTATTTCATAGCCAAGGAGGAAGGAAAAATGGGACCTCATTATGGATTTACTTTTGGGACACACTCATTATTCCACAATAGGGTACAAAGCCTAAGAGACTTAAGGTATTTCAGTCTGTTTTATATTACTTGCAAAAAGCAGGCTGATTGAATATAGGTGAGTTTCAACACGTCTTGAATGGGGTAGCATTTAAAAGTCTTCAGGCTGGGCATGGTGCTAATGCCTGTAATCCTAGCACTTTGGGAGGCCAAAACGGGAGGATCGCTTGAGGCCAGGAGTTTGAGACCAGTCTGTTCAGCGTAGCAAGACCTCATCATCTGCAAAAAAAATAAACGAATTAGCTAGGCCTGGTGGTGTGTGCCTGTAGTCCCAGCTACTTGTGAGGCTGAGGTGGGCAGATCGCCTGAGCACAGGAGTTGGAGGCTGCAGTGAGGTATGATTGCACCACTGCACGTGAGCCTGGGTGACAGAGTGAGACCTGTCTTTAAAAAAAAATTGGTCTTCAAAGAGAATAAGATCTGTACTCTCACGTGCAGATGGATGAGGGGCTGCCAAGATAAAATCTTCCAGCATAGTTGTTCTCAGACTGTCATTCTTGCCCATTATAATTACCACCCAGGAACTTGGTAGAAATGCTAACTTTTGGCTGGGCGTGGTGGCTCACGCCTGTAATCCCAGCACTTTGGGAGGCCGAGGCAGGCAGATCACCTGAGTTTGGGAGTTCGAGACCAGCCTGGCCAACATGGAGAAACCCTGTCTCTACTGAAAATACAAAATTAGCTGGGCGTGGTGGTGCATGCCTGTAATCCCAGCTACTCAAGAGGCTGAGGCAGGAGAATCACTTGAATCTGGGAGGTGGAGGTTGCAGTGAGCTGAGAACGCGCCATTGCATTTTGGCCTGGGCAACAAGAGCAAAACTCTGTCTTAAAAACAAAAAAAAAATTAATAATAATAATGCCTGGCGCAGTGGCTCACGCCTATAATACCAGCACTTCGGGAGGTGGTGGCGGTAAGATTGCTGGAAACCCAGGAGTTTGAGATCAGCCTAAACAACGTAGTGAGACCCCATTTCTACAAAAAAAAAAATTAGCCAGGAATGGTGGGACAAGCTAGTTGTCCCAGCTAAGTCTGAGGGAGGAGGATTATTTGAGCCGGGAGGTCAAGGCTGCAGTGAGCTATGGTCAAAGCACTGCACTTGAGCCTGGGCAATGGAGTAAGACTCTGTCTCAAAAAAATAATAAAGTTCGAAATACTGTAAGAATTACCGAAATGTGACACAAAGACACCAAGTGAGCACATGCTGTTAGAAAAACGCCGCCACTACCCTAACTCAACACAGGTTGCCACAATCCTCTCATATGTTAAGAAATGGTCCAGACATGGTGACTCATGCCTATAATTCCAGAACTTTGGGAGGCTGAGATGGGAGGATTGCTTGAGGGCAGGAGTTCAAGACCAGCCTGGTCAACATAGCGAGACCCCATCTCAGTAGTTTTAACTATTATTTATATGTTTAAATAAAACAAAACTATGTTAAGAAATGCAATATCTGTGAAGCACAATCAAGTGAAGTAAAAGAAAATGAGGCCGGGCACGGTGGCTCACGCCTGTAATCCCAGCACTCTGGGAGGCCAAGGTCGGTGGATAGCCTGAGGTCAGGAGTTTGAGACCAGCCTGGCCAACATGGTGAAACTTCGTCTCTATGAAAAATACAAAAATTAGCAGGGCGTTCTGGTGCATGCCTGTAGCCCCAGCTACTCTGAAGGGTGAGGCAGGAGGATCTATTGAGCCCCAGAGTTTGAGGCTTTATTAAGAGTTATTATGTCACTGTATTCCAGCCTGGCTGACAGAATGAGACCCTGTCTAAGAAAAAAATCATAAAATGGTATATTAAGGCTGGGTGCGGTGGCTCATGCCTGTAATCCCAGCACTTTGGGAGGCTGAGGTGGGCGGATCACGAGGTCAGGAGTTCAAGACCAGCCTGGCCAACGTGGTGAAAACCCCATCTCTACTAAAAATACAAAAATTAGCCAGACGTGTTGGTGCACATCTGTAATCCCAGCCACTCGGGAGGCTGAGGCAGGAGAATCACTTGAACCTGGAAGGCGGAGGTGGCAGTGAGCCAAGATTGTGCCATTACACTCCGTCCAGCCTGGGTAATATATTGGGTGACACTCCATCTGAAAAAAAAAAAAAGGTGTATTAATAAGTATGCTAATCTACTAGAGAATGCTGTTAAATGACAAGTAGTCCACAATTCCCTACAACCTCATTTTCACTGGAAGTTAAAGTTAGGAAGTGTTAAGAATTCTAAACAATGTACATAATTGACCTACTAAATATAATAAGGGTGAAAGGAAACGACTGTATGAAAAGTATGCAAAGAAAATATGTTTTTAATAAGTAACGGTATGAGGTACTTAGGACATGTTTCCATTAATGAAAAAGAGATGGCCCGGCACGGGGGCTAACGCCTGTAATCCCAGCACTTTGGGAGGCTGAGGCAGGTGGATCACGAGGTCAGAAGTTCAAAACCAGCCTGGCCAAGATGGTAAAACCCCACCTCTACAAAAAATACAAAAATTAGGCAGATATGGTGGCAGGTGCCTGTAATTCCATCTACTCGGCAGGCTGAGGAAGGAGAATCGCTTGATCCCACAAGGCAGAGGTCGCAGTGAGCCGAGATCTAGCTACTGCATTCCAGCCTGGGCAGCAAGAGTGAAACTCTGTCTCAAAAACTCCCCCCAAAAAAACAAAACAAAATCTCTCTGGGCTTTTCTTCAGGGAAGGCGGGAGAAAATTGTAACTTTTAGTTTTGCTATAATGTTCAGCTAATTTTGAAAAGAAAATAAAATCACAGAGCTAAAAGGATTGTTTCTGATGAATTCTGGTACAAAGCAGAATTACAGTTTAAATGTTTGTTCATAAAACATTGGGCCAAGCGTGGTGGCTCACGCCTGGTATCCCAGCACTTTGGGAGGCTGAGGCGGGCAGATCATCTGAGGTGGAGAACTGAAGACCAGCCTGGCCAACATGGAGAAACCCTGTCTCTACTAAAAATAAAAAATTAGCTGGGCATGGTGGCACATGCCTGTAATTCCAGCTACTCTGGAAGCTGAGGCAGGAGAATCGCTTGAACCCAAGAGGTGGAGGTTGTAGTGAGTCTGAAGTCCTAAGATTTTATTTTCCTTTTATAATACAGACATGAAATAATAAAAAATATATATTTGTAAGATCTGAGAGCTACAGTGTAAAAGAAAAAAGCACACAAAAAAATACACACACATATATACACAAACACACATATATTGTCTCTGCCACTGTTTCCTGGTGCACAGCTCCTGAAACCCTTGGAATCTCCGAAGTAGTAAGTGTCTTTGTGGATGCTAATGAGACGACTGATTTCTGGTGACTCCTGAATAGTCTCAAAATGAAAAGTAGTTGCCAGGGGAACCAACCTCGTGATTAGGGGGTAGGAACTTTCAGCCCCCTGCCCCCAGATTTCCAGGGATGGAGAGGAGCTGAAGGTTTGAGTTGATCACCAGTGGCCACTGATTTAATCAGCCATGCCTATGTTGCCATCGCGGGTGGTACATGCCTGAAATCCCAGCACTTTGGGAGGCCAAGGCAGGAAGATCGCTTGAGGCCAGGAATTTGAGACCAGCTTGGGCAACATAGTGAGAATTCATCTCTACAAATAAAAAAATTGGCCAGGCATGGTAGCGCATGCCTGTGGTCCAGCTACTCAGGAGGCGGAGGTGGGAAGATCACTTGAGTCCAGGAGATCAAGGCTGTAGCAAGCTATGATTGCACCACTGCATGCCAGCCTGGGTGGCATAGACCCCTGTCTCAAAACCAAAACAAAACAAAAAGCAAACTAAAAACCAAATCATGCCTGTGTCTTGAAGTCTCCATGAAACTCAAGACAGCGGCTGGGCTCGGTGGCTCATGCTTGTAATCCCAGCACTTTGGGAGGCTGAGGTGGGCAGATCGGTTGAGGTCAGGAGTTCAAGACCAGCCTGGGCAACATAGCGAGACCCTGTCTCTTTTTTTTTAATGAAAAAAAAGTAAACATGGGGCAGAGGAAAGAGTCAGATATGCATTTGTCTCAGGTGAGCAGAGGGATGACCTTGGGGTCTATCCTTTGTCCTGCAAGCATAAGCTATCAATTTACATTTTCAGGGTGAAATGCAACAGAACTATTCTAAGGTCAAAATCTTGAGGCCCATAAGGAATTTCCTTGTGGGTAAATTTTGAGGGAGGTGTGTAGCTTTTAAAAAAAAAATCTTTGTAGCTATCTATTTAGGAACAGAATGGGAGAGGCAGGTTTGTATGATCCAGTTTCCAGCTTGACTTTTGCCTTTCACTTAGTGAGTTGGTGGTCCTGAGATTTCTTTTCCTTTCACTGTCATTATTCAGGGAAGAGGGTATGGTCTTGACATCAAAATTTCTTGGGGGAGAAATCTACCAGGGTTTGGATGAGGCCAGACTGATGATGCTCATTCAGTATCTCAAACCCAGAAAGATGAGTTACTGACATTGAATATGCTAAAGGAAAACAAACAGTTCTGTTGAATTTCTTGGATTTCATCTAAAACAGTTCAGGTTTTTTGTTTTTGTTTTTGTTTTCGAGACAGGGTCTTGCTCTGTTGCCCAGGCTTGAGTGCAGTGGTGTGATCTTGGCTCACTGCAACCTCTGCCTCCTGGTTCAAGCAATTCTCCTGCCTCAGCCTCCTGAGTAGCTAGGATTACAGGTGTGCACTACCATACCCGGCTAATTTTTGTATTTGTAGTAGAGACAGGGTTTCACCATGTTGGCCAGGCTGGTCTCCAACTCCTGGCCTCATGCAATCCACCTACCTCAGCCTCCTAAAGTGCTGGGATTAAAGGCATGAGCCACCATGCCCAGCCAAAAGAGTTCTGTTGAATTTCACCCTGAAAACATAAATGAAAAACTTGTCTTCACAGGTAAGGGACAAAGGACAGAACTAAAAGTCATCCCTCTGTGCCCCGGAGACAAAAGCATATCTGACTGCTTCCTGTACTTTGTGTTTATTTACCTTATGTAAAAATGCAGATTCACTGAGTGCAAGATGAATGCATAATTGAATATTCTTCCACCCTTTCCTTTCCACATGTAAAATGTGAATTCTGTAAATGCTGATCAAAGACTCAAAGGAACACAATTGCTTGTCTCTTCAATTTGCTTTCCCTCCCTGCTTTTTTTTTTTTTTTTTTACCTTCCCCTACTGCCCACTCTTTTTCCCTTTATTTATTTGTTTATTTATTTAAGACCAAGTCTTGCTCTGTTGCCCAGGCTGGAGTGGAGTGGTGCAATCTCGGCTCACTGCAACCTCTGCCTCCTGGGTTCAAGCAATTCTCCTGCCTCAGCCTCCCGACTAGCTGGGATTACAGGCACGCCCCACCATGCCCAACTAATTTTTATGTTTTTAGTAGAGATGGGGTTTCACCGTGTTGGTCAGGCTGGTCTCAAACTCCTGACCTCAGGTGATCTGCCTGCCTTGGCTTCCTAAAATGCTGGGATTACAGGCGTTAGCCACCAAGCCCGGCCTCTTTTTCCCTTCAAATATTTAAGTCTCCAAGACCCTCTTTGGAAGAAAAGCATCTATTACAAATGTTTCCTGTGGTTTTTATTCCCTTTTCCCTCCCATTGCGTCCTCAACATTGGCGAAATGACCTCTAAAAATGACTGAGACACACCTCAGGAATTTTCTTTGATTTACAAATGTTTACCAAATTTGCTTTGATTCAGCAAAACACAATAGCTAAAAACAAGGATATCAGAAAAATGTTGAATGACCGGCTGGGTGTGTCGTCTCACACCTGTAATCTCAACACTTTGGGAGGCCTAGGCAGGAGGATCACCTGAGGTCAGGAGTTTGAGACCAGCCTGGCCAACATGGTGAAACCCCATCTCTACTAAAAATACAAAAAT
The DNA here is from genome assembly GCF_000001405.40 of Homo sapiens. Taxonomy (NCBI): domain Eukaryota; kingdom Metazoa; phylum Chordata; class Mammalia; order Primates; family Hominidae; genus Homo; species Homo sapiens. The sequence continues at coordinate 64,126,776 of NC_000007.14, forward strand.
TTTCCGGGCTTAGTGGTGAGCACCTGTAGTCCCCAGCTACTCGGGAGGCTGAGGCAGGAGAATTGCTTGAACCTGGGAGGTGGAGGTTGCAGTGAGCTGAGATCACGCCGCTGCATTCTAGCCTGGGCAACAGAGTGAGGCTCCGTCTCAAAAAAAAAAAAAAAAAAGTTGAATAATATCTATGTCTCTGAAAAACCAACAGATTAGGAGGCTGATGAATAAGATCTAAGAGTCTATGAATTGGGGAAATGGGAAAGCAAATCTTTATTTCTGCATTGCTTTTTGTGTTTTGGGTGATTTCTGCATTGCCTTTTGCGTTTTGAGTGACTGTGATTGAGAAATGTGGAATGGGTAGAATTAGTCCCATTTGGCAGATGGGTAGACTGAGGCCCAGACAGCTGCATATGGCTTACCACTCATCACATATCGAGTTATGCCTTACAAAAAAGGGATGTTGTTTCTTTCCCTGTGCTGTGCCCTCTTCTCATTTGGTAGATCTGTTTTGATTTTTTTTTTTTTTTTTGAGACAGTGTCTCGCTCTGTTGCCAAGCCTGGAGTGCAGTGGTGTGATCATAGCTCACAGCAGCTTCCAACTCCTGGGCTCAAGCAATCCTCCCACCTTGGCCTCCCAAAGTCCAGGGATTATAAGCAGGAGCCACTGTTCCCAGCCTTCATTCAGTAGGGAGTGAAGGGACCAGTCAAAGTCCGAGTGTTTGCAGAAGAGAAAGAAAAAGGAAAGAAATTTGTGATGAGATAAAGCACACTAAACTACACAGGGGACTCTCAGCCGCTGGGATGAGATACTCTGCCTCCCTCCTGGTCTCAGGATCCCTTATGTTAACCATGTTTCTTGGCAATATTTTACCTGGGAACAGTTCTCTTGAAAGGTCCTCCCAGAGGCAAGGACTAACTAATTTGATGGAACTTGTTACCCTGCATTATGACTCAGTGGGAGATCAGGTGCCTGAGGATTGGGAGAGAGAAAAGCTCTTCCAACTCTTTCCTCATGAGACTCTTCTAACTCTTACGTGCAATTCCCTTGCATACAAATAAAACACCTCTGCATGTCAGGGACCTTCAGAGCCCCCACTGGACCAGGATGTCCACTGCAGCCCTTCAGCCTTGGGACCCTTCCATATGCCTAAACTTTGACCTTCTCTGGGGAGACGTAATAGTTGAGGGGGTTGTTGGTATGCAGGGAAGTTGCACACAGGAGTCGGAAGAGTCTCATCAGGAAATTTCTGGGAATGAGGCTTTCCAAGAGAAGGAGAACTGTGTGATCTGAAAAGGGACCACAGGAAGGAGATAGGTGATGGACTCCAAGAACACAGAAGCTGACCAGGCATGCTGGCTCATGCCTGTAATCCTAGTGCTTTGGGAGGCTGAGGCAGGAAGATCCTTTGAGTCCAGGAGTTCGAGACCAGCCTGGGCAACATAGTGAGACCCCTCCCCCCCCAGCTCTAAAATAAATAAACAAAATCATGTGGGTATGGTGGTGTACTCCTGTGGTCCCAGCTCCTTGGGAGGCTAAGGTGGGAGGATTACTTGAGCCTGGGGAGGTGGAGGCTGTGATTGTGCCACTGTGATTGTACCACTGCATTCCCAGCCTGGATGACAGAGCAGGACCCTGTCTCAAAAAAAAAAAAAAAAAAAGAAGAAATATTTGGACTTCTGGTAACAACTCAGTGCAAGTTTAAGCAATTAGAGGATGAACATCTACCAGGCTTCTTTGTGCCAGCAATATTTTGAGAGCCCCTGTTTATTTCCTGTAATCTTTAGTGAAATGATATGTGCTATGTGTAATTGTGCCCCTCCCCGCAAACAAATTTATCTGTTAAAGTCCTAACCACTAATATTTCAGAATGTGACCTTTTTGGAGATAGTCTCTTTCCTGAGGTTATCAAGTTAAAATGACGTCAGTTGGGTAACCCCTAATCCAGTGTGACTGGTGTCCCTGTGCCAAAGTGAAATTTGGACACACGCACATAGTGTGAAGATGTTGAGAAGAGACACAGGGAAAAGATGGCCTTCTACAAGCCAAAGAGAGAAGTCTCAGAAGGACCCAACCCTGCTGACACCTTGATCCTGGACTTCTGGTCTTCAGAACTGTGAGATCATACATTTTTGTTGTTCAAGCCATCCAGTCTGTAGTCCTGTTATGGCAGTCTGAGCAAATTAATATAATAAGTCAAAATAAAAATGACTGCTGCGGCCGGGTGCAGTGGCTCACGCCTGTAATCCCAGCACTTTGGGAGTCTGAGGCAGGCAGATCATGAGGTCAGGAGATCGAGACTATCCTGGCTAGCACAGTGAAACCCCGTCTCTACTAAAAATACAAAATTTAACTGGGCATCGTGGCGGGCACCTGTAGTCCCAGCTCCTCAGGAGGCTAAGGCAGGAGAATTGCTTGAACCCAGGAAGAGGATTTTGCAGTGAGCCGAGATCGTGCCACTGCACTCCAGCCTGGACAACAGAGCAAGACTCCATCTCAGGAAAAAAAAAAAAACAACTGCTTCAACATGAATGAACCTCAAAAACGTACATGAAGTGCTAGAAGCCAATGCGAAAGGCCACATTCTGTGTGAGACTATTTATATGAAGTATCCAGAATTCATAGATCCACAGGGACAGAAAGCAGACCGATGGTGGCCAGGGACTGGGAGAAGGAGGGAATGAGATATGACTGCTTAATGGGTACAGGGTCTCCTTTGAAAGTGATGCAGATGTTCTGTAACCAGCTGGCAAGGACGGTTGCACAACTCTCTGAATGTACTAAAGGCCCCTGCATTGTACATTTTATTTTTTTATTATACTTATAAGTTCTGGGATACATGTGCAGAACATGTAGGTTTGTTACATCAGTATACACGTGCCATGGTGGTTTGCTGCACCCATCAAACCATCATCTACATTGGGTATTTTTCTTAATGCTATCCCTTCCCTAGCCCCCGACAGGCCCCATTGTGTGATATTACCCTCCCTGTGTCCATGTGTTCTCATTGTTCAACTCCCACTTATGAGTGAGAACATATGGTGTTTGGTTTTCTGTTCTTGTGATAGTTTGCTGAGAATGATGGTTTCCAGCTTCATCCATGTTCCTGCAAAGGACATGAACTTGTCCTTTTTAATGGCTGCATGGTATTCCATGGTGTATATATGCCACATTTTCCTTATCCAGTCTATCATTGATGGGTGTTTGGGTTGGTTCCAAGTCTTTGCTATTGTCAACAGTGCTGCAGTAAACATCTGTGCATGTGTCCATTGTACACTTTAAATTGAGTCATTTTCTGTTACATAGATTTCACCTCAGTTAAAACAAAAGAAGAAGACGGATGGTGTGCACCACTTGCAGATAAGAGCTGTTGGTGGGAAGGGGTGACCTGAAGAGTCCATGTTCCATTTTGTAGCTTACCTTTATCGAGTAGATAGAGGCTGCCTTTGAAAGGAAGCAGAAGTACATAAAATCCCTGGGACCAGTGGGAAAGAAGAAAAGACACTGGAAACTAGTTTTTTTTTTTTTTAATTTAATCTTTTTAGACGAGGTCTGGCTCTGTCACCCAGGCTAGAGTTCAATGGCATGATCTCAGCTCACTGCAACTTCTGCCTCCCTGGTCCAAGTGATTCTCCTGCCTCAGCCTCCCAAGTAGTTGGGATTACAGGCACCCACCACACCTGGCTAATTTTTTTTTTTTTGTATTTTTAGTAGAGACGGGGTTTCACCATGTTGGCCAGGCTGGTCTCAAACCCCTGACCTCAGGTGATCCGCCCGGCTTGGCCTCCCAAAGTGCTGGGATTACAGGCATGAGCCAACGTGCTTGTCTGAAACTAGTCTTTTTGAAGTGGCCATGGGTGTTGGATATGCCATTGCTGAATTAAGTGGACAGGAACCCACTTGACCACTTCTTCTGTTGTTGCTGACTTAAGATAGTTCCATTTATGATTGTTTAACTTACAATGGTTTTACTTAAGATAGTTCAACTTACAATTTTTCGACTTTAGGATTGTGCAAATGTGATATTTATTTAATACAAGCCATACTTTGAATTTTGATTCAAAATGATTTATAGTAACTTTATTATAAAATAGGCCTGGTGTTAGATGATTTTACTGTAGGCTAATATAAGCATTCTGAGCTAGGCAGAATGCTAGGCTAAGGCAGGCTAGGCTAAGTTATGTTTGGTAGGTCTGGCGTACTGAATGCACTTTCAAAGTAGGATATTTTTGGTTTGTGATGGATTTATCCAGACGTAACTCCTTTGTAAGTCAAAGAGTGTCTGTAATTGTGCCCGGCCTCATGTAAGAAAACACCTGCCCCAGTGACCTCCTCAGAATCTGGATGAATCTCTGCAGCAGATGTATTTCTTGGGCTGCTTTGGCATTTTTTGAATCCCTTTTCTATGTTCAAAAATTTCCAAGCTTTTGGGACTTGCCTCTTCAAGACGAAAGCCAAGAACTCGTTTCCAGGCATCCTTGTAACTAGGGCACAGTGACACAGATCCAATGTGAATAGCTGAGAACAATTTAGCAGGCAGTGACATGAGGAAGAGGGTTCTTTGCAGAATTGATTCCTGGTGAGGGCGAGAAAGGGTGTCCAGCATTCAGGGGCAGCTGAACAGGGCTGAGGATTGAGGTCCCACACGCCACTATGGGGGAGGACTTTTTGTGCTGTGAAAGGGGTTCTGGAATTCAATATGGCATGGGCGTTTGGCCTAGGAGCCTCTAGCCTTGCTTCTGTGAGCCCTCGTGGTGATTCTCAGGCTGCCTTTTCTTTTGACATGGAGTCTCACTCTGTTACCCAGGCTGGAGTGCAGTGGCGCGATCTTGGCTCATGGCAACCTCCGCTTCCCGGGTTCAAGTGATTTTCCTGTCTCAGCCTCCTGAGTAGCTGGGATTACAGATCCATGCCACCACACCCGGCTAATTTTTGTATTTTTAGTAGAGATGGGGTTTTACCATGTTGGCCAGACAGGTCTCGAACTCCTGACCTCAGGTGATCTACCTGCCTTGGCCTCAGGCTGCCTTTTATACCTGAACTAAGTGGGGTTTTGCCAATAAGAACCTCTACTGAGACAGCCCACCCAGGCAATGCTGGACAACCTGCTTGCTTTGAAGGCAGGGTTGTGCCAAGACGGGCAGCATCTGGAGGCTCCAGGGTGGCCTTGGAGTGGTCTGTGGTTGGGCCATTTGCAGGAGAGGAGGAGTCTTGTCAGTTGATGAGAACACCCTGTACTCTACTTGGGCAATCTATCCTTCACCCTTTTCCTACTGTTTTTTTGTTTGTTTGTTTTTTTGAGAAAGGTATCGTCTGTCACTTAGGCTGAAGTGCAATGGTATGATCTTGGCTCACTGTAGCCTCTACCTCTCTGGCTCAAGCAGTCCTCCTGCCTCAGCCCCTGAGGAGCTGGAACCACAAGTGTGTACCACCATGGCCAGCTAATTTTTATTTTTGGTAGAAATGAGGGTCTTCCTGTGTTGCCCAGGCTGGTCTCGAACTCCTGAGCTCAAGTGATCTGCCTACCTTGGCCTCCCAAAGTGCTGGGATTACAGGCATGGGCTACGTTGACTGGCTCTCCTACCTTTTTTTTTTCCTGACTTTCCTTTTGCTTCAGACTACATCTAAACCAGATTCCACCTGGACATGGCTTTCAAGACTGGAGAGAATTGATCACCTAGAGCAGGAATGGTAAACACTTTCCATTTGTTCCATGAAATGTCACATTAATCAGGCAGAGAATGTTATCCTGCCAAGCCTGAATATTGTCATGTGGTCTGCTCAACACTGTACTCCTAGCATCAACCTCTAATAGTTTAATGTCAACACAGACAATCAAATATCCTCACCATCTCTGCACCACAGCCTTACCTTAAACTTAACAGTTTGGGCCCGGTGGCTCACATCTGTAAACTGAGCACTTTGGGAGGCTGAGGTGGGAGGATCGCTTGAGCCCAGGAGCTCAAGGCTGTAATGAGCCATGATAGCACTACTTCACTCCAGCCTGGGTGACCAAGCAAGACCCTGTTTCCAAAAAAATAAAAATAAACAAGAAAAACAAAGCAAAACAAAACACCTAATATATTATGATGGGGAGAGAGAAAGGCCTTTACAGTACTGTAGTGAAAAGTCAAATGGACTGGAACCTGCATCCGCCCCTTGGGGCACTATCCAGAACTTCTTGCCGTTCTCATTTCAGCAGTAACAACACAGATTTTTATAGAAACTAAATTTATAAAATTCACATAATTAGGGAATGTCAAAGGAAACACGTGTTCCATGGGATCTGCAGTCCTTATTAAGACAGAGAAGAACAGAGAGGGAGCCAGTTGAGGTGAGGGTTGGCTTGAAATCGGCAGCTCTCTGCAGAAGCCAGATCTGAGTACATCTGAGGGGCTGGCACTGAAGGGCACAGTTGGGAGGACCCCAATAAGATTACTCTAGAGACTTGTCCTCTTGAGATGCCATGGGCCTGTTGGATACTCTGCCCTCTCCTAGTGGAAGGCTCCTCTGCTCTGAACTTTGAGAAAGTCATAGAAGCATTGGCCTTGTTTTCTCCAGCATGGAGACACCTTAGGGGCCATCAGGTGGTGTTTCTCAATCTGGGCACAATTATCAATGGGGGCAAGAAAATCCCCCATTCCTGTTGCTGCACAACTGGCATCCTTGACCCATTCAATGTCCTTAGCGCTCCTTTTCCCTTCCCTAAAGTTATAGGAGCAATTCAGTGCCTCCTCATGCATTTCCAAATGTCCCTGTTTGAGGCTAACTCATTGAGTGGGTGAAAGAAAGAGATGTGTCTGAACTCACCCATGCAGAGACAGGGGTGGAATGAGATCTTGAACTCCTTAATCCAAAGCTCTTTCCATTGAGATGTTCAGGTAGAAAAAAAATAAAGTTCTTTCCATAAAAAACTACATGTGTTTGGGCACCTATGTGTGTTAAGGAGACATGTACGTATGCCATGACCAAACACACAGTGTCAGCCTGAGAAACTCAAGCATTTCCCAAGAAGCTAGACTTTGTACATTTGAAATGGGTGGAAGTCATGCCCTGAACCATGAGATTAGCTTCTCACAAACACCTAAGCTCAGCCACTCCCAAGGTGCCTTTCTCTTCTCTATGTAAAGTTAGTTTACATTACAGCGAGGTGTTACCGACATGTTGGGTTCAGTCTAGGTTCTGCTGTACACTGCACAGAAAGCCAATCACTGAGACAATGAGTAGTGCCAAGGAAGAAGGCTTTATTTGAGTGCTGCAGTCAAGGAGATGGAAGATCAGCCACAAATCCATCTCCCTGACCAACTAAAATTAGAGGTTTATACAGCAGAGAAGAAATGTAATCATGTGGAAAGCAGGAATTAGGGAGAGGAAAGGAAGAGAAGTTGGTCAACAGAAAGCAGGTAATTGCTTAGGCAATTATGATGGATGAGAGGTGTGGCATCTCACTATCCAGATGTGATGGTCTCGTGAGTTTCAGCTACTTGATTCTATCTGGGAGGGCTGATGGTTGGTTTCCTGAGAAAGGAACTCAGATAAGACAAACGTAACTTTCTTGAGTTTTAAGACTGGGAGGGCCAATTTTTATCTTTATTAAAAAGAAACTATAAACATCATTTCTAGGGGACAATTGGGATGGTTTTATAGGGACATTTTTGTTGAAGAATGTCTTTTGTTCTTATCTTTTTATCCATGGTAGTTATAGCTGTTTACACTCAGGACACACAAACACTCAAGATACTGCCTCTCTGGCTTGTAAGGGACATCAAGTGATATGGTTTGACTGTGCCCCTACCCAAATTTCATCATGAATTGTAGCTCCCATCATTTCCATGTGTCATGGGAGGGACTCAGTGGAAGTAATCATGGGGACAGGTTTTTCCATACTGTTCTCACGATAATGAGTAATTCTCATGAGATCTGATGGTTTTATAAAGGGGAGTTCCTCTCCATATGCTTTCTTGCCTCCTGCCATGTAAGATGTGCCTTTGCTTCTCCTTTGCCTTCTGCCATGATCGTGAGGTCTCCTCAGCCGTGTGGATGTGTGAGCCCATTAAACCTCTTTCCTTTATAAATTACTCAGTTTCAGGTATGTCTTTATTAGCAGCATGAGAACAGACTAACACACCAAGGCAGCAAGTGCTTGGCCCTATCTAAGGGTTGGAGGATGACAACCATGCAAGGGAAGCAGAGACTGGGCCTTGCAGTGGAGCTCTATCAGAATTTCCTCTTGGGCAATAACTACCCTCTCCCATCCCTAATGGAGCTGCCATGTTCATTTATGACATTATTCATCCCTCTCCTCTCTCTCATGCTACAGCTTATTCATCTAGGGCTGAGCACTTCACCCAAACAAGGTTATGATTTCCTTCCCTGAAATACTTGAATGCATGATGCCTTTACCACCACATTGGAACTATGGTACCACTTGACTGTAGTTCTTTAATAGTAACTAAAACTTTGATGTTTGGGGAGCTGTTGGCATCTATATTTTAACCACGTGTGGAAATCCAGGCAGCTGGGAGCCTGGGGGAAGTAAAAATGCAGAGAAAAGCAATGGCAAGATAGGGGAAGCCTGGTCTCTGGTTCTGGAGGATTTGGAGGTCCATTTCCATCCTGCCTATTTCAAGGCTGTTTCTGAAACTGCCTTTGCAATAATTATGACAGTGAGAGAAATCTGACTGTCTTTGTTAGCTTTAAAACAGAAGTGATAACAGCCCCTTCCCGAAACTAACCCCCTCCTTGCTGGGGGACTGAAACCACCTTTGTAAAACTAATGAAAGGCTGCAAGGTTAGGATAATGGAAGGGGCCAGAATTCTGCTAAAATGTAGGCATAGTTAACGTTAATCAGCCATTGTTATTTAGTTTGATTTTCTATAAGCCCTGTATTGCTCAAGTCTTTTTAATCAGAGACACAAGGCTTGTAACTTCCCCAGTTGCTCCCATAGATAGCATCACTCTGTCAAAACCTAAGATTAGTCTTTTTTTTTTTTTTGAGACAGAGTCTTGCTCTGTTGGGCAGGCTGGAATGCATTGGCACCATCTTGGCTTATGCAACCTCCGCCTCCTGGGCTGAAATGATTCTCCTGCCTCAGCCTCACAAGTAGCTGGGACTGCAGGCACATGCCATCATACCCTAATTTTTGTATTTTTAGTAGAGTGGGGTTTCACCATATTGGCCAAGCTGGTCTCGAACTCCTGGCCTCAAGTGATCCACTGCCTTGGCCTCCAAAAATGTTGGGATTACAGGTGTGAGCCAGTGCGCTTGGCCCTTAGATTAGTCTTTGAGATGTTTTTCAGACTTTTGCATTCTGAAGACTGACTGACTTCACCGGGACCTGTGATTCACACCCAGGAACTGACTCCCACCAGAAACCCCCACCCAGAAATTGATGAGTGTGTGAAGACAGTTTGATTGGACTCCTATGATTTCATCCCCAGCCAATCAGCAGTTTCCATTCCCTAGCCCCTTGCTTACCAAATTATCCTTAAAAATCCTAGCCGCTGAGCTTTCAGGGAGGCAGATCTGAGAAACATCTCCCATCACTCTGCTTGGCTGCCTTGCAGAAATTAAACTCTTTCTTTGCTGTTTTCAGCGCATTAGGATTTCTGGACAGTGGGTAAGATGAATCTTGCAGGGCTGTTACCATTTGTACAACTGTTCCTTGAACCCCATGGACCAATGAATTTCTTCCTTTGCCTACACTAGTTCACAATGAGTTTCTCTCATTTGCAATCGAGTTCCCCTAAGTAGGTCCTGAGTCTGCAGGGTGGACATCTGTCTCTCCTTGAGTGTTGCGGGAAGTCAGGGACCCTGAATGGAGGGACCGGCTGAAGCCATGGGAGAAGAACATAAATTGTGAAGATTTCACGGACGTTTATTAGTTCCCCAAATTAATACTTTTATAATTTCTTATGCCTGTCTTTACTGCAGTCTCTGAACATAAATTGTGAAGATTTCATGGACACTTATCACTTCCCCAATCAATACCCTTGTGATTTCCTATGCCTGTCTTTAATCTCTTAATCCCATCATCTTCATAAGCTGAGGAGGATGTATGCCACCTCAGGACCCTGTGATGATTGCGTTAACTGCACAAATTGTTTGTAGAGCATGTGTGTTTGAACAGTATGAAATCTGGGCACCTTAAAAAAAGAACAGGATAACAGCAGTGTTCAGGGAACAAGGGAGATAACCTTAAACTCTGGCTGCCGGTGAGCCGGGGGGAACAGAGCCATATTTCTCTTCTTTCAAAAGCAAATAGGAGAAATATCGCTGAATTCTTTTCTCAGCAGGGAACATCCCTGAGAAAGAGAATGCATCCCTGAGGGTCAGCCTCTGAAATGGCCGCTTTGGGGGCAGCTGTCTTTTATAGTCATAGCTGTGGGATGAAATAAGCCCTGGTCTCCCGTAGCGCTCCCAGGCTTATTAGTATGAGGAAATTCCCGCCTAATAAATTTTGGTCAGACCAGTTGTCTGCTCTCAAACCCTGTCTCCTGATAAGAAGTTATCAATGACAATGCATGCCCGAAACTTCATTAGCAATTTTAATTTCGCCCCAGTCCTGTGGTCCTGTGATCTCGCCCTGCCTCCATTTACCTTGTGATATTACCTTGTGAAGCATGTGATCTCTGTGACCCACACCTATTCGTACACTCCCTCCCCTTTTGAAAATCACTAATAAAAACTTGCTGGTTTTATGGCTCAGGGGCCATCATGGAACCTGCTGACATGTGATGTCTCCCCTGGACACCCAGCCTTAAAATTTCTCTCTTTTGTACTCTGTCTCTTTATTTCTCAGACCGGCCGACACTTAGGGAAAATAGAAAAGAACCTACATGAAATATCGGGGGTGAATTTCGCCCGATAGAGTGCTACCCAGAGGGAGCTGATAATGAGGGCATCTGAGTGACAAGGGCCCTTTAGGCCAAGCTTCAAGAGGGAAAGTGGGTAATGCGGTGTTTCTACTAGAAAGGCAGTGGCAACCCCACAGCAGACTCTGGGAAGTTTTCACAGTAGCTTTCTGCTGTGTAGGAACTCTGCTGTTAACCTTTCCACTTCAGCCTGAAGCTACCCCAAAAATTTCTGGACCCCCCCACCAACCCCAGTCTTGAATGAGAGACTCTGCAACCTTATCGTAGACCCACCCGTGACTCACAGGCAGATCTGCTGCCTAGACACACTCTTTTCAGTGGAGTGAACTTCATCTTCCTGAGACTTTTTGAAGATCTCAGGGAGATGAGATTATTATTTTAGTCGGTCCATCTGGCCATATAGAGTACATGACCCAAATAATGTCTCCTCCAACCCATCCCTCTCTACCTAAGAATATTTTTGCAAATCCCATTGCATGTGGTGAATGACTATCTTTTCAATAAATAACCCCAAAGCACCAGAAGACCTGGGACTATCCCTGTAGTCCCAGCTACTTGGGAGGCTGAGGTGGGAGGATTGCTTGAACCCAGGAGGCAGAGGTTGCAGTGAGCCATGATTGCACCACTGCACTCCAACTTGGGTGACAGAGACAGACCCTGTCTCAAAAAAAAAAAAAAAAGCACCAGAAAACTCTTCTCAGCAGAGGTGCTCGGATTGATTTAAGGATGGATCTTGGGAGAGAACCTGCCATGTTAAATGTAGCTGGGCCTCCCTTAGAGACGTTGAATATTTAATGTATCCTGAACACCCTTCAGGTGCCACTGAATACTTTTTTTTTTTGTGACGGGGTCTCGCTCTGTCAGCCAGGCTGGAGTGCAGTGGTGCGATCACGGCTCACTGCAACCTCCAACTCCTGGGTTCAAGCGATTCTCCTGCCTCAGCCTCCCGAGTAGCTGGCACTACAGGTGCATGCCACCACGCCCGGCTAATTATTTTGTGTTTTTAGTAGAGACGGGGTTTCACTGTGTTAGCCAGAATGGTCTCGAGCTCCTGACCTCGTGATCCACCCACCTTGGCCTCCCAAAGTGCTGGGATTACAAGTGTGAGCCACTGCTCTTGGCCGCCACTAAATATTTTAACTTTTCCACCAGATGAACAGGAAATGTCAGTGATGGACCGAAGAAAACATTCCAAAAACTATTTCCTTTTGTCACTAGGGTTTGCTAAGCCTAGATAGCCTCAGACTCAGCCTGGAAGAGGACAGAGGAGCCCTTCTGAAGGTAAATGTTTTACTGGATACAGTTAATCTATTAGAGTTATGCTTGTCACTTAATTTGTGAGTGCAAATTATTTCAAGACAGTGTAGCTTTTACATACTCTCCTGTTAAAAGCACTGATATTCTGCAAAGTAACAAATTCCTTCCTAGCTTAGCAAAGGATGATAATGAGTTATTGGTAGTATCACCATCAAGCTCTTATTTGCATAAGTAAAATGAAGTTAACATGTGGATAAAATAAAACTTAAAAATGAAATATTGTTAAAATAATTAATGAATTTAGACACATTATTGAGCAGGTACGTTTGGCAACTGATTGGAATAGAGCATTTAATTAGTCTCGTTGAGTCAAAAATCAATATTGAACATTATACAGCACATCAGAATTATATTAATTTCCTCCTCTGTTAATATTTGTATCATTTCTACCATGAATCTCAAGCCCTTTCTTCTGGGGGTCAGACTCCGTGCATCAGGAGGGAGATAGGGTGTCAGATCACCCTTTGTTCTTGCAGAGAGGGTGACTAACCAATCCTGAAACCCAGGAGTACCCCACTTGATCTTCTTAAAATAAACTCTCCAGAGATGTATCGCAAAATCTGAGTGCTAACCTTATTCTGCACCAAGTTCAGCTTAGGGAGGGAAATTAAGAATCTCAGTTGTGGGCAGGGTGAGGTGGCTCATACCTGTAATCCCAGGACTTTGGGAGGCCAGTACAGGCAAATCACTTGAGGCCAGGTGTTCGAGACCAGCCCTGCCAACATGGCAAAACTCTGTCTCTACTAAAAATACAAAAATTAGCTGGGCGAGTGGCTCATGCCTGTAGTCCCAGCTACTTGGGAGGCTGAGGCACGATAATCGCTTGAACCCAGGAGGCGGATGGTTGCAGTCAGCCAAGATTGCACCACTGCACTCCAGCCTTGGCAACAGAGCCAGACTGTGTCTCAAAAAAAAGAAAAGAAAAGAAAAGAAACCCAGTTGTGGACTGAAGTCAGGCAGGACTTTTATGGGGTTCCTCAGGTTTTGTGGTATTAGTGGCTGGGAAGCACCTGCTTCCATTCTTCCCATCAATCCTGATCTCAGATATCCTGTGGATGCTTAATTCTATTAGCTCTGTTAATTATTATTTATAATAATTCTATCAGTATTATATATCACCTCTGATATATAATTGGCTAGGCCAGGGTACTCAAGTACCAGATAGAGTTGACTCCAGTCAACTCTATCTGGGTGTTGCTGTGAAGGCTTTTGTTTGTTTTTTAAACATGAGATTGACATTTTAATTAGTAGATGTTGAACAAAACAGATTAATCTCAATAATGTGAGTGGGCCTTTTCCAATCAGTTGAAGGATATTGAAGCAGGGTCTCACTCTATTACCCAAGCTGGAGAGCAGTGGTGCAATCATAGCTCACTGCAGCCTTAAAGTCCTGGGTTCAAGCAATCCTCCCACCTTTGCCTCCTGAGTAGCTGGGACTACAGGTGCATGCCACCATGCCTGACTAATTTTTTAATTTTTGTAGAGATGAAGCCTCACTATGTTCCCAAGCTGGTCTGGAGCTCTTGGTCTTTAGTGATCCTCCTACTTTGGCCTTAACTTCAGGTAAAGACTGACTTGCCCTGAGGAAAAAGGGAATTCTGCCTGTACACTGCTTTTGGACTCACACTACAACATCAACTCTTCCCTGGGTCTCCATCCTACCAAGTTATTCTGCAGATTTTGAACTGGCCTCTGTAATTGCATGAGCCAATTTCTTAAACTCTTTCTTTCTCTCCTCCACCCCCAACGTGTGTGTGTATGAATGAAATAGGAAGGAAACAATGAAATAGAACCTCCTATTGGTTCTGTTTCTTGGGAGACCTTGATTAATACGCTACTTAAGATATGGGGCCCTCATTTGTCCTGACCATGTCTCAGGGGAGGCCCATGAGGTTCCATCTCCGGAGGCCACCAGCCAGGAGACTCTGAGATCACTTTCAGTTACAAGGAAATTACAGTAGTGCCTGGGTCAATGACTTCCTTAATCAATAGGTCAATGGATTCCATAGTCAACTTGAGAGTAATCCCTTTCGTAGTTGTCTTGAGAGTAGTGGCTTCCATAGTCATCTTGAGAGTAGAATATAGTCAAGATGACAATGAAAGCCAGTGGCCTACTGACTTGGGAATAGAAGGGGGATTATTCTCTAACCTACAGTGGACACTGTAGATTCTCCCTTGAGTGTGACTGGGTCCCCTTAGGTCATATGTCTCCCCTGACCTTGCCAGGAGGACACCATGCAACTAAGTAGCTTAGACCAGAAATTGGAAAAGTATAGCCTGTGGTACAACATCCAACTCGCCATCTGTTTTTTTATGGCCAATGAGCAAAAAATGGTTTTTACATTTTAAATGGTTGGAAAAAAATTGAAAGGAGAATAATATTTTATGACGTGAAATTATATCAAATTAATTTTCAGGGCTCATATATACATTTTATTGGAACACAATCACACCCATTGGCTTGTATATCCTCTGTGGCTGCTTTCTTGATACAATGGCAGAGTTGAATAGTTGCAACAGTGTCTTAGTCCCTTTTTTTTTTTTGTACTTAGCTATTTAATTAGGTTCTTAAGACATTTAGAACACCAATTTGTGAGGATAAATTCCATTCGTCAGGGCAAACACAGATCGCAGGTAGCCCTGGAGCTGAGAAATAGCTTTGACTTTTGGTAAAATTTGTGAGTCCACAGCTTTCTGATCAATCTTGCGCTGCTCTGTAATCTCATATTTCTCTTTTTCTGTGTCGAAGATGTTGCCTTCCTGGTGTCTGGGCTTCCGCAGCTGCTGCTTCTTGAAGTAAGCATCAGTAAGATGTTTTGGGATTTTTACATTGCTGATATCGATTTTGGTTGAGGTGGCAATGACAAATTTCTGGTGTGTTCCTCGTAGAGGAACTCAATTGAGGACCAGAGGTCCAGTCACAAGTAACAAGCCACTAGCCAGCTGCTTCAGGAAAACCACCCTCTTGCCCCTGTGGCATCCAGTGAGGATGATCAGAATGGTCCCAGGGGTAATGCTGGCTTGCAGTTTTCTCACATGCTGACTGAAGGGTTTTTTGCTGTGGCTCAACAGCTTTCGAGGTACATCTTCGGTAGGATAGTATCTAGGCATTTTGTGAAGTTTAACCACCTGGGTACCACCATTCTTGTCACCACCAACTGGTTTTGTAACAGTTGCAAGAACCTTCTCCTTTTTCTTTTCAATCTTTGATTTAGCGGCTGAGTACTTCCTCTTATACATGGCCTTTCTAGAATACATGGCAGATCGGGAATACCTGCCAGTTCCTCTGACAAGGACAGGGTTGTGGCTGCAATAGGGCTTCCCCTTCTTGGGCTTTTTAACTTTAAGATTACCCTCTTGCACCTTGCCACCAGCATCAGCCTTCTTGGCTTCGGGTTTCTTCTCTTTAGTATCTGGCTTCTCAACTTTTTCACCTGCCATCTTGCAAGATGGGAAAGAGCGTCTTATTCCCTTTTTGTGCTGTTATAATACAGTAACTGATACTGGGTAATTTGTAATGAATGCATATATTTTTTCTTTTATTTAGAGATGGAGTCTTGCTTTGTCACCCAGGCTGAAGTGCAGTGGCATGATCACAGCTCATTGCAGCCTCGAACTCCTAGGTGCAAGGGAACCTCCCACCTTGGCCTTCCTAGTAGCTGGAACTACAGGCATGCATCACCACACCAAGCTAATTTTTAAATTTTATTTAGAGGTGGGGCTTCCTCTGTTGCCCAGACTGGTCAGGAAAATCCTGGCCTCAAATTATTCCTGCCTCAAATTCCTGAGTCACTGGGATTATAGGCATGAGTTACTGCACCTGGAAATTTATTGGCTCAGAGTTCCAGAGGCTGGGAAGTCCAAGATCAAGGGGCTGGCATCTGGCAAGGAGGCTCTTCTTGCTGCATCTTCCCATGGCAAAGGGGCAAAAAGTGTGAGAGAGAGCAAGAGGTCCAATTCAGAGCCTCAAGCCCTTTCATAATCAGCATTAATCCATTCATGAGAGTGGAGCCTTCGAAACTTAAACACCTCCCATCACTGTTGCATTGGGGATTAACTTTCCAACACATACTTTTTAGGATACACATTAAAACCATAGCAAATAGAGACCATATGGCTCACAAATCTAAAATATTTACTCTCTGTTCCTTTACAGAAAATGTTTGTCTATGCTTGGTTTAGATTTGTTGCTGTCCATGTATACCTAGAACTGGGAATGAGGGCTGTGTGGATGAGGGGCAGACATTTTAACAAGATCAGGATTTTATTAAGAAGGAAGAAAGACGGAATTAATACAGTATAGGAAGTCAGTGCTGTTCCCTACACATGAGACTTCTCAGACTCAGTTTTCCCATCTACAATTGTGAGATATAGCAAAATATATATTATGGGAAATTGTTGAGAATTCAGGAGAAGGCATGTAGACATAACTGATTGACAGATTCATGAAATAGCTGCCTGGATGATTACGTGGTTAGATGGATGGATTGATGGATGGATGAATAAACGGATGGATGGATGGGTGGGTGGGTGGGTGGGTGGATGGATGGATGAATAGATGGGTGGATGGGTGAGGGATGGCTGCCTGGATGGTTGGATGGATGGATGGATGGATGGGTGAATGGATGGATGGATGGATGGATGGATGCAGGGACGGATGGAGGGAGGGATGGATAGATGGATGGGTGGAGGGATGGATGGATGCATGGATGCATGGATGGATGGATGGATGACTGGTTGGATGGGTGTGTGGATGGATGGAGGATAGATAGGTGGATGGATAGGGAATGGTTAAAGTGAGGCTGGGAAGATAAACTAGCCCATATTATGTCAAATAGTTCTGGCTTTATTCTGCAACCATGGGGAGCCTTTTAAGTACTTAAGCAGAGAATGACAAGGTGACATTTGCATTTGAAAGAGATACCATGGCATTTTGTAGCTGTCTAGAGCAGAGAGGTCATTTGATTGAAGAGCAAAAGGAACAAAATTATTGCGGGATCTGGCCAGCAGCCCGCAATGCAACGGGGCTCTCTGTTCCCAGGCAGATCGGCAGGTTGAGAAATAATAGACACACACAAGATAGTGAAAGCTGGGTCCAGGGGAGTCACCGCCTTCTGGTCCTGCAGTGCCAACAATGCACTGGATATGCCAGCATTTATTATTAAGTTTAGTGAGGGCGGGGGTAGGTTAGTGAGGGATTTAGGGTCATTTGATAATGAGGTGAGATGGTCACATGGGGATGAAGTAATTCTTTAACATAACATTTGTATGTAGAAGTACAGTACATTTGTATGTAGAGGTACTGCATAGAGAGATAAGAATTTACAATATAGTGTGTGCGTCAGTAATTTCTAACAGAGCCTTAAAACAAACACAATCTTTCCATAACCTATGATTAACAAGATATTAATCAGCAGTAACAATTGCAACAAAAGCTGGTTACAAACAATCCATGGAAACAGGAGGTGAAGCTAGACATCTGGTTAGACCAGAAATTCTCAGAAGGGAGTATGCCTTAACCCTAAAGAGGCCTAGAAGAGCCGTGGCAAGATGAGGGTGTTTATGGCCCTATCGTACCCATATGGACAGGCGCCCCCCCATGCGTCCATTTATAGGCTCTCCACGAGGGTCGCCTTCCATTCCCAGAGCTATGAACATCTTTTCTGGGATAGGAATCTTGATGATGTGAAACCTCCCTGACTGCATGTCCATTCACAGGCTCTCTGCAGGGGGAAGCACATCACGTGCTGTTGGCTTGTTCTGGCAGTCCAACCTGGCATTGTCTTTACACAATCCTGCATGCAATTTTGTATTTACAATAATCAGGAGCATTTCATCTTTTATTCCATAGCAATAGTTTCAGGGGATCTCCCTACAGGTTAAGAAATGCGTAGTTTATTGTCACCTTTGTTCAGTTCTTGAGAGATGAATGGGTGATTTGGCGCTATTGGATGTGGGAAGGGTGGAATGACAAGAGCATTCTAGGACTTGAAGCAAGGCTGCTTGAAATAGCATTTGGCAAGGCTCCAGACCTAAGGAAATCATGTAGAGGCTGTGGTTTTCTAAAACCCCCCTAGGTAATGTTGATGTTTAGCCAGGTGCAGAATGCAGCCTGAAGGAATGAGAGTTTCATATTAGAAGGAGCCCCTTAAAATTGCACTAATATTTGAAATTTGGGTAGGGCAACTAAGAAACTGACTTTGTGATTTCATTTCAATTAATTTACATTTGAAAACTGAGGCAATACAAAATATTTTTCCCTGGGAGGCTTAAGCAGGAGAATCGCTTGAACCTGGGTGACAGAGTTTGCAATGAGCTGAGAGAGCACCACTGCACTCCAGCCTGGGTGACAGAGAAAGACCTTGTCTCAAAAAAACCCCAAAAATTAAATAAATAAAAATTTAGCATCTGGCCAGGCATGGTGGCTCATGCCTGTAATCCCAGCACTTTGGGAGGCTGAGGTGGGTGGATCACCTGAGGTTGGGAGTTTGAGACCAGCCTGACCAACATGGAGAAACCCCGTCTCTACTAAAAAAAAAAAAACAACAAAAAACAAAATTAGCTGGGCGTGGTGGTGCATGCCTGTAATCCCAGCTACTCAGGAAGTTGAGGCAGGAGAATCGCTTGAACCTGGGAGGCGGAGGTTGTGGTGAGCCGAGATTGTGCCATTGCACTCCAGCCTGGGCAACAAGAGCAAAACTCCATCACTCCCGCCAAAAAAAAAAAAAAAAAATAGCATCTAAATTGAGATGTATTAATTGTAACTTATGCTTTGTATTTCATAGATATATTTTTAAAAATCAAGTATTTAGTTTGTAAATATTTTTGATATTGCCTTAAATCAAATTATATTATTATTATTTTTTTCTTTTTTTTTTTGAGATTCTTCATGTGATTCTTCTGCCTCAGCCTCCCATGTAGCTGGGACTACAGGTGCCCGCCACCATGCCCAGCTAATTTTTTGTATTTTAGTAGAGACTGGGTTTCACCATGTTGGCCAGGATGGTCTCGATCTCCTGACCTCGTGATCCCCCCGCCTCGGCCTCCCAAAGTGCTGGGATTACAGGCATGAGCCACCGTGCCTGGCCAAAAGTATATTATTAATATTAAATCCATCTGATTCTGTTGGACAGTGCTTACTTAGAACAATATGAAAGATTTGAAGTGCTACATACTTAAATCCACCCTCAATTCTTTTTTTTTTGAGACAGAATCTTGCTCTGTCACCCAGGCCAGAGTGCAGTGGTGCGATCTCGGCTCACTGCAACCTCTACCTCCCAGGTTCAAGTGATTCTCCTGCCTCAGCCTCCCAAGTAGCTGGGATTACATGCATGTGCCACCATGCCTGGCTAATTTTTGTATTTTTAGTAGAGATGAGGTTTCACCATGTTGACCAGGCTGGTCTTGAACTCAGGAAGCCACCCTCAATTCTGATACTAATTCTGTAAGGGTGTGAGTTGATACAAGATTAGGTTCTGAAAATGTTTGTCAGAGCAACCATTAGAGTGTAATCTCCATAAATCTGGTATCTTTTTTATTTTCTTAACCATTCCTAGAGCATGTTTTAGGTACTCTATAAGTATTTGTTGCATGAAGGCACTGAGGCAGAAGGAGTATGAGTAGAGGACATGGGCTGGATGGAAGAGGTGCTAAGTAGATCGACTCTGCTGAACTTCGTGGCTGAATTTGGGTCTTGAACACAGGGATATTTTGAGAGGAGTCTTGGGTTATTATTAAGTGGGTATTGGGATTAAAGCAGCTATGGGGAAGAGGTTACTCATAACTTTTAGACATGGTTGAGTTTTGTTGTTTTTTTTTGACACCGAGTGTCGCTCTGTTGCCTAGGCTGGAGGGCCGTGGTGCTGCCTTGGCTCACTGCAACTTCCGCCTCCCATGTTCAAGATATTCTCCTGCCTCACCCTCCTGAGTAGCTGGGATTATAGGCACCTGCCACCATGTCCAGCTCATTTTTGTGATGGGGTTTCACCATGTTGGCCAGACTGGTCTCAAACTCCTGACCTCAGGTGATTTGTTCGCCTTGGCCTCCCAAAGTGCTGGGATTACAGGCATGAGCCACCGTGCCTGGCCAAGACGTGGTTGACTTTTGTCTGGTGAAGATATCCAGTTGGTGGTTGACTGAGTTTGGAATTCAGGAGAAAGATCTTGTCTTGATAGGGGAGTTATCAGCAAATAAGTGTAGGTTGATGCCAAGCATGTGGACAAGTGGAGAGATTGGACAGAGCACAAAAGGGAACACCATCATTTATAGGTGGGCATGGGAACCAGCAAAGGTAAGTGAAATAAAGAGTGAAGAATTGAAGCGAGTTTCCTAAAGAAGTGAGTAATAGTATCACAAGATATTCTAGTCAGGTGTGGGGCCTCCCAACACTTTGGGAGTCTGAGCCAGGAGGATCCCTGGAGCCCAGGAGTTTGAGACCAGCATGGGCAACATAATGAGACCTTGTCTCTACAAAAAATTTAAAAATTAGCCAGGCATGATGGTGCATGCCTGCATTCCCAGCTACTTTGGAGGCTGAGGCAGGAGGAGGCTCGAACCCAGGAATTCGATGGTGCAGTCAGTTGTGATCCTGCCGCTGAACTGTAGCCTGGGCAACAAACCCTGTCTCCAATATATATACACACACACACACACACACACATATATATGTATATATATACACATGTATATATATACATACACATATGTATATATATACACACACACATGTGTGATATGATATATATGATTCTGGAATTCCATTGAATTTGCCAGTGGGGACTACGTCGGGTTGGTGAATCTTGAATAGTTTCAATGTAGTGGTGGAAACAAAAACCTAAATTGTAGTAGATTGAAGAGTGCATTTTAGACAGACAGTGATTGCAGACAATTATTTGGAGGACTTTGGTTGTAAAATGGTGCAGTGTGTTAGGGTAGGAGCTAACTACTCCTGGAAGGTTTGGTTTGGTTTCCTTTCTTCTTTTCTTCTTCCTTCCTTCCTTCCCTCCCTTCTTTCTCTTTCTTTCTTTCCTTTTTTTTCTTTCCCTTCCTTCCTTTCTTCTCTCTCTCTCCCTCTCTCTCCTTCCTGCCTGCTTTCTTTCTTTTCTCTTCTCTTCTCTTTTCTTTTCTTTCATTTTTAGTAGAGCTGGGATTTTGCCATGTTAGCCAGGATGGTCTTGATCTGATCTCGTGATCCACCCGCTTCAACCTCCAAAAGTGCTGGGATCACAGGCGTGAGCCACCACCCAGGTTTTGTTTTCTTAAGATAGGAAAGACTTGCTTGTTGTTGCCTGTGGGGAAAGAGACAGCAGGGGAAGATTTACAGCTCTCCAAACTTTGGCTCCAGAAAGCTCTCTAATTTTTCTCTTAGGAATGTGTAAACACTTCTGTGCACATTGCCACCAGCTAAGTGCTGATGGTAAATAAATACTCAGTATTCTTGCAGCTTATGTTCTTAGAAAGCTGAGACAGAAATAGACATTACTTTTTTCTTTAAGGGGTAACATTAGAGAAACTGAGTAGAGACTGAAGACCACAGGGGCAATAGTGAAATAACTAAAAGCCTAAACTTGGATTGGTGCCTTGTCGCATCATGAATTAACTAGTTATCTGACGGCCTTCTGCTTGGAGTTAGGCAAGGTCCCTGAAAGTTATCTTTGATCATGAGGGAGCATTCCATGAAGGATGATTTGATACTGGCTAACCCCTAGTGGAAAACAAGATTTGTCATAGGAAGAATCTCCTGAACTCTTAAGGAGCATTTAAATGGTATTTGAATTTAAAAAAAAGGAGGCGGCGGGGGGTAACCGGGTGCAGTGGCTCACCTGTAATCCCAACACTTTGGGAGGCTGAGGCAGGCAGATCACCTGAGGTTTGAAGTTCGAGAGCAGCCTGGCCGACATGGTGAAACCCTGTCTCTACTAAAAATACAAAAATTACCCGGGTGTGGTGGCAGGTGCCTGTAATTCCAGCTACTCGAGAGGCTGAGGCAGGTGAACTGCTTGAACTCGGGAGGTGGAGGTTGCAGTGAGCAGAAGTCACACCTTTGCACTCTGCCTGGGCAACAAGAGGGAAACTCCATCTCAAAAAAAAAAAGAAAAAAGAGGAGAAAGGAAAAATAAATGTTTTCCTGTATAAAGGTAAAATTAAAATTAAGAAGTGAGAGATGTGCTTTGGGAATATTCAATCATGGGGGACACTCAACTGAGGACACCATATAGTTCATAGCACCAGCAAATTTTAAAAATATTGAGGTAGGCTGGGCACAGTGGCTCACACCTATGAATCCAGCACTTTGGGAGGCTGAAGTGGGCTGATCACTTGAGGTCAGGAGTTTAAGACCAGCCTGGAAAACATGGCGAAACCCTGTCTTTACTAAAAACACACACACACAAAAATTAGCTGAGCATGGTGGCACATGCCCCAGCTACTTGAGAAGTTGAAGCAGAAGAATTGCTTGAACCTGGGAGGCGAAGGCTGCAAGGAGCTGAGATCGCACTACTGCACTCCAGCCTGGGCGAAACAGTGAGACTCCATCTAAAAAAAAATTAGATATTACAAAAGTGCAATTCCACATGTTTTACTTAAATCAGATAGCAAATTCTGTGTTTTTGAATAATTTAATTGATGATGACAAAATAATTTTTAGAAAATTTTATCACTAACTTGTTAAAAATGGATGGCACTTCCAATGAACCTTTGGCAGAATACTGATGATTCTTTTCTCAGATCTGATTAGCACCATAGGACTGACAGTGGCATAGGCATTGACCACAAACTTGTGGACACTGTCGATGACAGGGCTGAATACCCATAACAGCATTTTGGAGGATGAGACAATTAAGTCCAATGAGTACATAACCACGAAGAAACTCACCAGCAGCAAGATGGTCTTGGTGGCCCTTTTCTCTGGGGAGGTTCTTAATAAAAAGCTAGTGCTGTGAAGGTGCTGGGAGCACCTCTGATGCCTGGACAAGAGAATCACCATGAAGGCACTTGAGAGCGGCATGATTCCTACAAGGAAGACATCTCTGGATAACGACAGAGTAACAAACAGCCTTCTGATGGTGACATTCATTGGGGAAAGTGAGCAGTATTTACTGACATTCAGAATTATCTGGGTCACACTGGAAAAACCTACAATGTAGATTATCATGTCACTGTTGAAAGACAAATTGAGGGACCAAAAAAAGAGTAAACCCAGGATATGTTATTTTATGTTTAAATCTCACCAACCAGGAGGTGCTGGGGCTGATGGTGATGATCTGAAGCATGCTCAGGAGAGAGGTGGTGCAGATCAAGAGGCCCCTCATTACCTTGTATATGTAGAACACAGCCTTACATCTGAAGTTATTCTGAAAATTCTGTGACTCAAACACGTCTAGAGACAATAACTCTGCTGCCATGACTAGCATCACTATGTAGACAGAAACCAAGTGACAGATGATCAGGTCATGGTTTTTTAGGCTTGTGATCCTTAAAGAATGTAAAAATGTGCCAGAGAAGAAGAAAGATGTTGGCTGAGATTCCAATGCCAGCTTGAAAACAAAAGGCCTTTTGAAAGATAACATGTGAAATGTGTGTTCATCCTAATGACATAGAAGAAACATTTTGAAGACCTGAAAAAAGTAGATCTGTGTCATCAATGTCCTTTTGTCAGTGTTCAAAATTATTACCATTATTATTTTTATTTTACTCTCATTTCTTGATTAACCCCATCTTATATAAATTCTTGATAATGTATCTCCTATACTATTTCCTAAACCAAATAAATATATACATATATAATTATTATGAATCTCTATATAGTAAATACATTTTCAATTTTGCCTAAGGTGCATACTATCTATATTCCTTATGTACCTTGGCCTTCATCTCAGTAATCATATCCTTATTCTATGTTCTCATTTTATATTTAGCACTTCAGTCAGGCATATAAAATGAATAGTATTTGTACAGTTGAATTAAATGTATGTTAATGTGAAAAGACTCAATAAAAAGTATAGTCAGTTGAGTCTCAGGATCTATCATTTTGATACAATTTATTCATCATCACTTTTCCTTCCATGATTTTTGACCCTTGTGATTTTACTGGACTCACCATGATAAATTCATGATATTTCATCAGCATAAAGCAATTTTCATCCTATCTGCACCCTTATATTCTCTTTGTCATGAATTATAATGTGTAATGTGATATCTTGGAATTCAGATGTCAATATCCTTAGAGGGACTGGGGGACATTGTTCTGCTTAATCAAACCCTAATTTACTGTGTATAATATAGAAATGGTTCTGGCTGTCTCTGTTTAGTTCATATCCCAGAGATTTATTATGTGATTTCTCTTTATCTCAGAACACATTTTTTAATATTTTCCTCTCAGTTACCAACAAAATAAATACTACCATTTTTTTTTTTTTGAGACAGTGTTACTCTGTTGCCCAGGCTGGAGTGCAGTGGCATGATCTCTGCTCACTACAAACTCTGCCTCCTGGGTTCAAGCGATTCTCCTGCCTTAGCCTCCCAAGTGGCGCTCACCGCTACACCAGCTAATTTTTCTATTTTAGTAGAGAAGATTTCACCATGTTGGCCAGGCTGGTCTCAAACTTCTGACCTTCCAAAGTGCTGGGATTACAGGCGTGGGCCACCGAGCCTGGCCATTACTTTTAATTACTTTGTTTCGGGCCGAGGGCAGTGGCTCACGTCTGTAATCTCAGCACTTTGGGAGGCCAAGGTGGGCGGATCATGTGGTCAGGAGATCGAGACCATCCTGGCTAACATGGTGAAACCCCATCTCTACCAAAAATACAAAAATATTAGCCGGGCGTGGTGGTGGGCACCTGTAGTCCCAGCTACTCGGGAGGCTGAGGCAGGAGAATGGCATGAACCCAGGAAGCGGAGCTTGCAGTGAGCCGAGATCTCGCCACTGCACTCCAGCCTGGGTGACAGAGCGAGACTCTGTCTCAACAAAAAAAAAAAAAAAAAGTCTTTGTTTCACCATGAAGTTGCATCAAAATAGTCACATGTTGGTCTTCTTCCTGAGACTTCACTTAATACAGAGATACTCTACCATGCCTAGAAAAATACTTAAGTCTTAGTCTGAGTATTCAGTAAGAATACTGTCTTCAATAAGACTATTCAGTAAGATAAAAAATACTTCAATAAGATCTTCAATAAGATCAAAAATACTTAGTCTTCAATAAGAAAGATAATTTCTCTCAAGTTTTCTTGTGATAACTTCAATACTATAACACCTTGTAAAATTTTGCAGAACAATTTTGCAGTTACAATTTCATGTTATTTGGCCAAGATTCTGATGTCATTTATCATTTTACTTTAATCTAGGACTAAGAACAATTTAGCTTCATGACATTAAAAAAGTGAAACACCATTAAACTCACTCGGATTTTTTTTAAATGAAAGTGTGTCAGATTCAAGGTCACTTATCATTATACAATTCCATAAATAAAAATATATGAGACGGTGCAAAAATGTTGACACTGAGTATCCTTGGACAATAATCAAAAATTAGTGACTGAGAAAAAGTTGCTCTAAAACCACCAGATATGTTTGATTTTATAAAGCAAACATCTAGTTGATTAAATGGTTATTACTCTTTCTACAAAACTTTAATAAGTAAATCCATTTATCTTGGAAACAATGAAAGATTTCCACCAGCACACATCTACACCATCAGCGCAGTTCAGTTCTGCTGTCAAGTTGAAATCAGAAAAAAAAAGTAATTTTAAATTAAAGACTTAATGGTATCCAAATTTTAAGGATCACATTTCAGTACTAGAAAAATATATTTGAACATAAGATAATAATATATGTATAATGAGTTATTAACTATATATCTGTATAGTTTTATTAATATAACCCATATGTTATGAACCACACACCAAAAGAAGATATAGGACAAAGAATTAGATTAAATAACATAAATAAGAATTTTAATATTTTATTTTTTCACCCTAAAAAAATCCAGTTTATGCTCTCAAATTCATTCTCCTTACTCTGTAAATAACCTAAACACACTGAAACAGAATAATCTTCTGCTTGATCAGATGGTGTATTTTTTCCATTGAGGCTCTTGAGAGCATTGATGCTGATCCCAGACAAGATCAGCAATCTTGGTTGTCACACTCTTGGTTGTCATAAATTAGAGCACACAAATAGGGTATGATTGAATTGATTGTATCTTCAAAAATTTTTCTCACCTGCCAGAGCTAAACAATTGATAATTGCCTTTAACATATTAATCCAAATATTAAATTTAGCCGTGTTCTATATTGTTATTTGATAAATCTAGCAACTACACCATGGAAGAATTATGGAATTTGCATTAATATGATGCCAAACTGGGTGAAACAAAATAGGGGAAAAATCCATAGATGCTGCTTTTAGGTTGTTCAGAGTGAAAAAAAAAATTGGTTCTATGTGACCCATTGAAAATTTCAAAATCTCAATGCACAGCTTAGCTCTCGCCATTAGAAGTGACAACCTAAGGCTGCTGGGGCTGAGGGTGAAGCTCCTGAGCACGCTCAGTAAACACATAATGCAGCTCAAGTTTACTCTCATTACACTGCCTTTCACTGTAGTGTATTCTCAATATTTTTAAGTCCCAAAATGTGTAAATAATCATGTATAAGAGGGGAATAACGCCATTATACAGACCAGGAATGAAAATCTGATCATAAAAAAACATAAGCTTAGATCAGACATCTGAAGCAAAGATAAAGGGTGTATAAAAGGAAAAAGGCAACTACAGGAATCCAAAAGCTGTTTTGCATATGATGGGTATGTTATTTGTAGAAAAAGAAGTTTGATAAAATATACTTCCTCATCGTTATTATAAAATATAGTTTTTTAGTATTTTATTAGTAATATTTATTTTATTAGTAATACTATTTGAATAGTGATTGTCCCTTGTGTAGATTTAAAATATAATCTTTATAAATGTAAATTTTTTAATTGTATTAATAAAAAGCCTTATTTTTTATTTTTTTTATTTTTATTTTTTTTTATTTATTATTATTATACTTTAAGTTTTAGGGTACATGTGCACAATGTGCAGGTTAGTTACATATGTATACATGTGCCATGCTGGTGCGCTGCACCCACTAACTCGTCATCTAGCATTAGGTATATCTCCCAATGCTATCCCTCCCCCATCCCCCCAACCCACTACAGTCCCCAGAGTGTGATGTTCCCCTTCCTGTGTCCATGTGTTCTCATTGTTCAGTTCCCACCTATGAGTGAGAATATGTGGTGTTTGGTTTTTTGTTCTTGTGATAGTTTACTGAGAATGATGATTTCCAATTTCATCCATGTCCCTACAAAGGACATGAACTCATCGTTTTTTATGGCTGCATAGTATTCCATGGTGTATATGTGCCACATTTTCTTAATCCAGTCTATCATTGTTGGACATTTGGGTTGGTTCCAAGTCTTTGCTATTGTGAATAATGCCACAATAAACATACGTGTGCATGTGTCTTTATAGCAGCATGATTTATAGTCCTTTGGGTATATACCCAGTAATGGGATGGCTGGGTCAAATGGTATTTCAGTTCTAGATCCCTGAGGAATCACCACACTGACTTCCACAATGGTTGAACTAGTTTACAGTCCCACCAACAGTGTAAAAGTGTTCCTATTTCTCCACATCCTCTCCAGCACCTGTTGTTTCCTGACTTTTTAATGATTGCCATTCTAACTGGTGTGAGATGGTATCTCATTGTGGTTTTGATTTGCATTTCTCTGATGGCCAGTGATGGTGAGCATTTTTTCATGTGTTTTTTGGCTGCATAAATGTCTTCTTTTGAGAAGTGTCTGTTCATGTCCTTCGCCCACTTTTTGATGGGGTTGTTTGTTTTTTTCTTGTAAATGTGTTTGAGTTCATTATAGATTCTGGATATTAGCCCTTTGTCAGCTGAGTAGGTTGCGAAAATTTTCTCCCACTTTGTAGATTGCCTGTTCACTCTGATGGTAGTTTCTTTTGCTGTGCAGAAGCTCTTTAGTTTAATTAGATCCCATTTGTCAATTTTGGCTTTTGTTGCCATTGCTTTTGGTGTTTTAGACATGAAGTCCTTGCCCATGCCTATGTCCTGAATGGTAATGCCTAGGTTTTCTTCTAGGGTTTTTATGGTTTTAGGTCGAACGTTCAAGTCTTTAATCCATCTTGAACTGATTTTTGTATAATGTGTAAGGAAGGGATCCAGTTTCAGCTTTCTACATATGGCTAGCCAGTTTTCCCAGCACCATTTGTTAAATAGGGAATCCTTTCTCCATTGCTTGTTTTTCTCAGGTTTGTCAAAGATCAGATAGTTGTAGATACGCGGCGTTATTTCTGAGGGCTCTGTTCTGTTCCATTGATCTACATCTCTGTTTTGGTACCAGTACCATGCTGTTTTGGTTACTGTAGCCTTGTAGTATAGTTTGAAGTCAGGTAGTGTGATGCCTCCAGCTTTGTTCTTTTGGCTCAGGATTGACTTGGTGATGCGGGCTCTTTTTTGGTTCCATATGAACTTTAAAGTAGTTTTTTCCAATTCTGTGAAGAAAGGCATTGGTAGCTTTATGGGGATGGCATTGAATCTGTAAATTACCTTGGGCAGTATGGCCATTTTCACGATGTTGATTCTTCCTACCCATGAGCATGGAATGTTCTTCTTTGTTTGTATCCTCTTTTATTTCCTTAAGCAGTGGTTTGTAGTTCTTCTTGAAGAGGTCCTTCACATCCCTTGTAAGTTGGATTCCTAGGTATTTTATTCTCTTTGAAGCAATTGTGAATGGGAGTTCACTCATGATTTGGCTCTGTTTGTCTGTTGTTGGTGTATAAGAATGCTTGTGATTTTTGTACATTGATTTTGTATCCTGAGACTTTGCTGAAGTTGCTTATCAGCTTAAGGAGATTTTGGGCTGAGACAATGGGGTTTTCTAGATATACAATCATGTCGTCTGCAAACAGGGACAATTTGACTTCCTCTTCTCCTAATTGAATACCCTTTATTTCCTTCTCCTGCCTACTTGCCTTAGCCAGAACTCCCAACACTATGTTGAATAGGAGTGGTGAGAGAGGGCATCCCTGTCTTGTGCCAGTTTTCAAAGGGAATGCTTCCAGTTTTTGCCCATTCAGTATGATATTGGCTGTGGGTTTGTCATAGATAGCTCTTATTATTTTGAGATACGTCCCATCAATACCTAATTTATTGAGAGTTTTTAACATGAAGGGTTGTTGAATTTTTTCAAAAGCCATTTCTGCATCTATTGAGATAATCGTGTGGTTTTTGTCTTTGGTTCTGTTTATATGCTGGATTACATTTATTGATTTGCGTATATTGAACCAGCCTTGCATCCCAGGGATGAAGCCCACTTGATCATGGTGGATAAGCTTTTTGATGTGCTGCTGGATTCGGTTTGCCAGTATTTTATTGAGGATTTTTGCATCAATGTTCATCAAGGATATAGGTCTAAAATTCTCTTTTTTGGTTGTGTCTCTGCCTGGCTTTGGTATCAGGATGATGCTGGCCTCATAAAATGAGTTAGGGAGGATTCCCTCTTTTTCTGTTGATTAGAATAGTTTCAGAAGGAATGGTACCAGTTCCTCCTTGTACCTCTGGTAGAATTCGGCTGTGAATCCATCTGGTCCTGGACTCTTTTTGGTTGGTAAGCTATTGATTATTGCCACAGTTTCAGATCCTGTTATTGGTCTATTCAGACATTCAACTTCTTCCTGGTTTAGTCTTGGGAGAGTGTATGTGTCGAGGAATTTATCCATTTCTTCTAGATTTTCTAGTTTATTTGCGTAGAGGTGTTTGTAGTATTCTGTGATGGTAGTTTGTATTTCTGTGGGATCGGTGGTGATATCCCCTTTATCATTTTTTATTGCGTCTATTTGATTCTTCTCTCTTTTTTTTCTTTATTAGTCTTGCTAGCGGTCTATCAATTTTGTTGATCCTTTAAAAAAACCAGCTCCTGGATTCATTAATTTTTTGAAGGGTTTTTTGTGTCTCTATTTCCTTCAGTTCTGCTCTGATTTTAGTTATTTCTTGCCTTCTGCTAGCTTTTGAATGTGTTTGCTCTTGCTTTTCTAGTTCTTTTAATTGTGATGTTAGGGTGTCAATTTTGGATCTTTCCTGAAAAAGCCTTATTTTTATCATACATTTTACAACATTCATTGAGCAGCCTTATCAGCCCTATGAAATTTAGGTGCCAGGGAGAAGGGGCAATAAATGGCAAACTGAAAAATCCGGTCGGCAAATTTAGAAAAGTAAAACGTTTCCACCAAGATTAGGCCTGTTAAGAAGTTTTATAAAATACACCAAGACTAAAATAATAAATATGGTAAGTATCAGATGCATCAAATGATTGTAATGCATTTGCCACTCTTTGCAAGTTGAAATTAGTGTAGACGGCAGCTAGAAGCTGCTTGCTGACACGGATATTTATAATTTCAAGACATTTAATTCTCAGCTTCGTTGGAGGAAAAAATAAGCAGGAAAATTATTACTTTAAATGTAGGCAATAGAAAAATATTGGAGGGTCTTGATCACAAATTCTATGCTACCAATTTTGAAAAAGTCTAAAATCCTTTTGGAAGAGTGTTTCTTTCTGATTATTTCAACTGAGGAGATACCAGCTAAGTGTAACACTCACTTTTTCCTAAAAATGTGAAAGGTCTTGTACAATCGTGCACCTGTGAATCACATTATAGATTAGGCCTGTCTTACCAAATGAGTCAAATACTGAATTTGGAGGAATATTTCCAAGTTGAAAATTGTGATCGGGAAAACCGCATCTTCTATTCTTTGTGTACACTTACTATGAGCAGTTGAGGTCCTTTCTTCCTAAATACATAAAATGCAGATATTTGAAGCATTTAGAAATGCTTTTATTTCCCTAATGTTCAGAGACATAGTGATTTTGTACTATTATATTTCTTTGAGGGCTTGATGCCCTTATGAGCCACAATTAGACAACCATTATTATCTTTTTCTTTTCTGTTTTGACTTCTCCTTACTCCTTTCTCTCTTTTATATGTTAAAAATCACAGAGCTAGAAAGCATTATTTCCTAATAAAGTTAGACAAAATTAACTTCTACATTTTAACAGCAAAATTAAAATATACTGACCACATTCATGAATATATTTTTAATATGTAAATTGCAAATTTGAAACTTACAGAAAAAACTGTAAGAATGCAAAACTTGGAGAATTTTTTATAATAATAAGATGCTATTTTCTTCAAATTTTGAAGATTATTATTCTCTCATTATTATAAATGTTACCCAAACTAATATATAGAACATTTTGTTTTGACTTAATAAAACAAAATAACTTATTATATTAGCTGTTCATAGTAATAAAATATAATACACTAAAGCTGAATTTGTTTTACAAATTTGTATAGTATTACAAGTTTTACATGTGTAATGTAGTGATTAACTCTACAAAATGTGATAAATGACAAGAGGAGATATTTGTTTACAGTTTCATGGTAACCAGAACCAAATCCTGTATGTGCTACCACACCACAATAAAACAAAATAATTTTATGGTTATTCACTGAAAGCTAATTAATGTAAAATATTAAATAGTAATCATGCTTTGAGATGACTGTAAACATTATAATATACTGTAGTTTTCAACTTTAAAAGAACAAACAAGTATGACTAAATTCTTATGAATTCAGATTTCTCATGTTTCAAAAAATAAAATTTTGGCTAGGTATATACAGTAAGTTAAACTGAGAAAAAACTAGTATAATAACAAAATACAACTACAATTTAAATACAATATTACAAAATTAACAAAGTATTTATAAGATCAATATATTATTACATCAGTATTCATAAAGTTGCTTTTCTCATTTGGAATCATCTATTGTACTTAGATATGATTCACTGAGACATGACTGAAATTAGGAAAAGACAATGATCCTAGCTCTTCATTGAGAAAATTCTGCCTCATCCCACCACTCGCCTGAGTCTTCAGCTCTCACTGTTAATAATGCTGACAGACAGACAGTCACCCAGCTGAGTCTTTGGAGTGAGTCCATGTTTGTAAGATGAGGCTCACACTATGTGGTTATAAGGAAGCAATGCCAT
The DNA here is from genome assembly GCF_000001405.40 of Homo sapiens. Lineage (NCBI taxonomy): Eukaryota > Metazoa > Chordata > Mammalia > Primates > Hominidae > Homo > Homo sapiens. The sequence goes on from NC_000007.14 coordinate 64,159,067, forward strand.
CAGCCCATTCCCTCCAGGCTTATAATTTTCACGTCAACTATAAAGATAGTACAAGCTCTGGTTTTGTGATTTTAAGAAAGGGAACCATCAAGGGAAAATGAAACTTTTTGATTCCTAGAAAATACATTAGAAACAGCCATGCTCCAACTTTTCCATGTGTAAGCTTATTTCCCCAGGTATATTCAGCCCAGTGGGTTGTATGGTGTCTGTTCTTATAAACAAAACAGTGATCTCCCAATTACCCAACCTTCAAAATTGGTAAAACACAATGTCAGATTTTCCACTGCATTACTACTGGTTCAAGTAATTCATGGTTGCCCTCACTAATGTTCCCTAGTAATCTCTGATTTTCATGGTAAGAAGTAGACTAAAAGCACCTTTGTGAGAATCAGAAAAATCCCACCTCTATCAGACCTAAATGGGCAAAGTGCTCCATTTTCCTGAGGACACAGTTCTGAGTCAGGGCACTAGACATGGGAGCAAAATGTAGGCTGCTTTATACCTCTCACTACTTTGTCTGGGTACATTTATAGAGTATAGAAATGCACATCTATTTCAAGCAATGAGTGTTTGGATACAAACTGTCCATGCCAAGAGTTTTTTTTTTTTTTAGATATGAAGTATCAAAGGGTTATTCTACCACCCTGACCCTCAGGTTTCTTTGTGGCTTCCACTCACAGGAGTGCTTTACACACTCAGTAGTAGAGCACACATTTTATAGCAAAGGCCATTTTTGTTTTTTGGCTTCTGTGACACCAAACACGATTCTATTAAAACTAAAGTTAATCATAATTATCACTGCCTATTTGCTTTCTTAGTCTAATATTGTATGTTAAATTGTTGTATGTTAAAATAGTGATTTCTGTTTCTATAAGGCACTCAGCCTCTTTAGTTTCAGCATGGCTGTGCTCTCATGCAACATCTTTAATTCTCTAAAAATCATGCCCTTCATTTGGCCTAAGTCAGGACCAAACAACTCACAGACTTTTATTGTCCACAAGTTTAATTCTTCCTGGTCACTGCATCCCCATCCAACATATCATCAGTTGTCATAAATATAATTTTATTTTCAATTCAATTTAAAAACAATTTCATTTCCTTTTTTTAGATCATAATTTAGTTGCCTTTTCTAAGCCTTTCAACTCTATTTAAATCTTTGTGTCTACTCATTGTAGAAAAACTGTCAAGAAGTAATTCTCTGAATGTGAAAGCTATCAATAAAAAATAAAGGCAATATAAGGCCTTCCAGGTAAACAAAAACTGAGTTGATTTCAACTAGGTAAAAATACAAAAATTAGCTGGGTGTGGTGGCGGGTGTCTGTAGTCCCAGCTACTCAGGAGGCTGAGGCAGGAGAATTGCTTGAATCCAGGAGGCAGAGATTGCAGTGAGCCGAGATCATACCAATGCACTCCAGCCTAGGTGACAGGGGGAGACTCCGTTTCAAAAAAGAAAGACTGGGGGTGTTTCCAAGATGGCCGAATAGGAACAGCTCCAGTCTACAGCTCCCAGCATGAGCGACACAACAGACAGGTGATTTCTGCATTTCCACCTGAGGTACTGGGTTCATCTCACTGGGGCTTGTCGGATGGTGGGTACAGGACAGTGGGTGCAGTGCACCGAGTGTGAGCCCAAGCAGGGCAAGGCATTGCCTCACCCAGGAAGCACAAGGGGACGGGGAATTCCCTTTCATAGCCAAGAAAAGCTGTGACAGACGGCATCTGGAAAATTGGGTCACTCCCACCCTAATACTGTGCTTTTCCAACGGTCTTAGTAAACGGCACACCAGGAGATTATATCCCATACCTGGCTTGGAGGGTCCCACACCCATGAAGCCTCGCTCATTGCTGGCACCGCAGTCTGAGATCGAACTGCAAGGTGGCAGTGAGGCTGGGGGAGGGGCGCCCGCCATTGCCGAGGCTTGAGTAGGTAGACAAAGCAGCCAGGAAGCTCGAACTGGGTGGAGCCCACCACAGCTCAAGGAGGCCTGCCTGCCTCTGTAGACTCCACCTCTGGGGGTAGAGCATAGCTGAACAAAAGGCAGCAGAAACCTCTGCAGACTTAAATGTCCCTGTCTGACAGCTTTGAAGAGAGTAGTGGTTCTCCCAGCATGGAGTTTGAGATCTGAGAATGGACAGACTGCCTCCTCAAGTGGGTCCCTGACCCCCGAGTGGCCTAACTGGGAGGCACCCCCCAGTAGGGGCAGACTGACACCTCACACGGCTGGGTACCCCTCTGAGAGGAAACCTCCAGAGGAATGATCAGACAGCAACATTTGCTGTTCAGCAATATTTGCTGTTCTGCAGCCTCCGCTGCTGATACCCAGGCAAACAGGGTCTGGAGTGGACCTCCAGCAAACTCCAACAGACCTGCAGCTGAGGGTCCTGACTGTTAGAAGGAAAACTAACAAACAGAAAGGACATCCACACCAAAACCCCATCTGTACATCACCATCATCAAAGACCTAAGGTAGATAAAACCACAAAGATGGGGAAAAAACAGAGCAGAAAAACTGAAAATTCTAAAAATCAGAGCGCCTCTCCTCCTCCAAAGGAATGCAGCTCCTCACCAGCAACGGAACAAACCTGGATGAAGAATGACTTTGACGAGTTGAGAGAAGGCTTCAGATGATCAAACTTCTCCAAGCTAAAGGAGAAGGTTTGAACCCATCACAAAGAAGTTAAAAACCTTGAAAAAAGATTAGACAGATGGCTAACTAGAATAACCAATGCAGAGAAGTCCTTAAAGGACCTGATGGAGCTGAAAACCATGGCATGAGAACTATGTGACGAATGCACAAGCTTCAGTAGCCGATTTGATCAACTGGAAGAAAGGGTATCAGTGATTGAAGATCAAATCAATGAAATGAAGCGAGAAAAGTTTGGAGAAAAAGAAGTAAAAAGAAACAAAGCCTCCAAGAAATATAGGACTATGTGAAAAGACCAAATCTACATCTGATTGGTGTACCTGAAAGTGACAGGGAGATTGGAAGCAAGATGGAAAACACTCTGCAGGATATTATCCAGGAGAACTTCCCCAACCTAGCAAGACAGGTCAACATTCAAATTCAGGAAATACAGAGAATGCCACAAAGATATTCCTCGAGAAGAGCAACTCCAAGACACATAATTGTCAGATTCACCAAAGTTGAAATGAAGGAAAAAATGTTAAGGGCAGCCAGAGAGAAAGGTCGGGTTACCCACAAAGGGAAGCCCATCAGACTAATAGCAGATCTCTCGGCAGAAACTCTACAAGCCAGAAGAGAGTGGGGGCTGATATTCAACCTTCTTAAAGAAAAGAATTTTCAACCCAGAATTTCATATCCAGCCAAACTAAGCTTCATAAATGAAGGAGAAATAAAATCCTTTACAGACAAGCAAATGCTGAGAGATTTTGTCACCACCAGGCCTGCCCTAAAAGAGCTCCTGAAGAAAGCACTAAATATGGAAAAGAACAACCGGTACCAGCCACTGCAAAAACATGCCAAATTGTAAAGACCGTCAAGGCTAGGAAGAAACTGCATCAACTAACGAGCAAAATAACCAGCAAACATCATAATGACTGGATCAAATTCACACATAACAATATTAACCTTAAATGTAAATGGGCTAAATGCTCCAATTAAAAGACACAGACTGGCAAATTGGATAAAGAGTCAAGACCCATCAGTGTGCTGTATTCAGGAAACCCATCTCACGTGCAGAGAAACACATAGGCTCAAAATAAAGGGATGGAGGAAGATCTACCAAGCAAATGGAAAACGAAAGAGGCAGGGGTTGCAATCCTAGTCTCTGATAAAACAGACTTTAAACCAACAAAGATCAAAAGAGACAAGGCCATTACATAATGGTAAAGGGATCAATTCAACAAGAAGAGCTAACCTAAATATATATGCACCCAATATAGGAGCACCCAGATTCATAAAGCAAGTCCTTAGAGACCTACAAAGAGACTTAGACTCCCACACAATAATAACAGGAGACTTTAACACCCCACTGTCAACATTAGACAGATCAACGAGACAGAAAGTTAAAAAGGATATCCAGGAATGGAATTCAGCTCTGCACCAAGCAGACCTAATAGACATCTACAGAACTCTCCATCCCAAATCAACAGAATATACATTCTTCTCAGCACCACACTGCACCTATTCCAAAATTGACCACATAGTTGGAAGTAAAGCACTCCTCAGCAAATGTAAAAGAACAGAAATTATAACAAACTGTCTCTCAGACCACAGTGCAATCAAACTAGAACTCAGGATTAGAAACTCATTCAAAACCACTCAACTACATGGAAACTGAACAACCTGCTCCTGAATGACTACTGGGTACATAACAAAATGAAGGCAGAAATAAAGATGTTCTTTGAAACCAATGAGAACAAAGACACAACATACCAGAATCTCTGGGACACATTTAAAGCAGTGTGCAGAGGGAAATATATAGCACTAAATGCCCACAAGAGAAAGCAGGAAAGATCTAAAATTGATGCCCTAACATCACAATTAAAAGAACTAGAGAAGCATGAGCAAACACATTCAAAAGCTAGGAGAAGGCAAAAAATAAGATCAGAGCAGAACTGAAGGAGATAGAGACACAAAAAACCCTTCAAAAATTAATGAATCCAGGAGCTGGTTTTTTGAAAAGATCAACAAAATTGATAGACCGCTAGCAAGACTAATAAAGAATAAAAGAGAGAAGAATCAAATAGACACAATAAAGAATGATAAAGGGGATATCACCACTGATCCCACAGAAATACAAACTACCATCAGAGAATACTATAAACACCTCTACACAAATAAACTGGAAAATCTAGAAGAAATGGATAAATTCCTCAACACATACACCCTCCCAAGACTAAATGAGGAAGAAGTTGAATCTCTTAATAGACAAATAACAGGCTGTGAAATTGAGGCAATAATTAATAGCTTACCAACCAGAAAGAGTCCAGGACCAGATGGATTCACAGCCGAATTCTACCAGAGGTACAAGGAGGAACTGGTACCATTCCTTCTGAAACTATTCCAATCAATAGAAAAGGAGGGAATCCTCCCTAACTCATTTTATGAGGCCAGCATCATCCTGATACCAAAGCCTGGCAGAGACACAACAAAGAAAGAGAATTTTAGACCAATATCCCTGATGAACATTGATGCAAAAATCCTCAATAAAATACTGGCAGACTGAATCCAACAGCACATCAAAAAGCTTATCCACCATGATCAAGTGGGCTTCATCCCTGGGATGCAAGGCTGATTTAACATGTGCAAATCAATAAACGGAATCCAGCATATAAACAGAACCAAAGACAAAAACCACATGATTATCTTAATAGATGCAGAAAAGGCCTTCAACAAAATTCAACAGCCCTTCAGGCTAAAAACTCTCAATAAATTAGGTATTGATGGGATGTATCTAAAAATAATAAGAGCTATTTATGACAGACCCACAGCCAATATCATACTGAATGGGCAAAAACTGGAAGCATTCCCTTTGAAAACTGGCACAAGACAGGGATGCCCTCTCTCACCACTCCTATTCAACGTAGTGTTGGAAGTTCTGGCCAGGGCAATCAGGCAGGAGAAAGAAATAAAGGGTATTCAATTAGGAAAAGAGGAAGTCAAATTGTCCCTGTTTGCAGATGAGATGATTGTATATCTAGAGAACCCCATTGTCTCAGCCCAAAATCTCCTTAAGCTGATAAGCAACTTCAGCAAAGTCTCAGGATACAAAATCAATGTGCAAAAATCACAAGCATTCTTATACACCAATAACAGAGAGCCAAATCATGAGTGAACTCCCATTCACAATTGCTTCAAAGAGAATAAAATACCTCGGAATCCAACTTACAAGGGATGTGAAGGACCTCTTCAAGGAGAACTACAAACCACTGCTCAATGAAATAAAAGAGGACACAAACAAATGGAAGAACATTCCATGCTCATGGGTATGAAAAATCAATATCATGAAAATGGCCATACTGCTCAAGGTAATTTATAGATTCAATGCCATCCCCATCAAGCTACCAAGGACTTTCTTCACAGAATTGGAAAAAACTACTTTAAAGTTCATATGGAACCAAAAAAGAGCCCGCATTGCCAAGTCAATCCTAAGCCAAAAGAACAAAGCTGGAGGCGTCACCCTACCTGACTTCAAACTATACTACAAGGCTACAGTAACCAAAACAGCATGGCACTGGTACCAAAACAGAGATAGAGACCAATGGAACAGAACAGAGCCCTCAGAAATAATACCACACATCTACAACTGTCTGATCTTTGACAAACCTGACAAAAACAAGCAATGGGGAAAGGATTCCCTATTTAACAAATGGTGCTGGGAAAACTGGCTAGCCATATGTAGAAAGCTGAAACTGGATTCCTTCCTTACACCTTATACAAAAATTAATTCAAGATGGTTTAAAGACTTAAATGTTAGACCTAATACCATAAAAACCCTAGAAGAAAACCTAGGCAATACCATTCAGGACATAGGCGTGGGCAAGGACTTCATGTCTAAAACACCAAAAGCAATGGCAACAAAAGCCAAAATTGACAAATGAGATCTAATTAAAGAGCTTCTGCACAGCAAAAGAAACTACTATCAGAGTGAACAGGCAACCTACAGAATGGGAGAAAATTTTTGCAATCTGCTCTTCTGACAAAGGGCTAATATCCAGAATCTACAAAGAACTCAAACAAATTTACAAGAAGAAAACAACCCCATCAAAAAGTGGGCAAAGGATACAAACAGACACTTCTCAAAAGAAGACATTTATGCAGCCAACAGACACATGAAAAAATGGTCATCATCACTGGCCATCAGAGGAATGCAAATCAAAACCACAATGAGATATCATCTCACACCAGTTAGAATGGCTGGCGATCATTAAAAAGTGAGGAAACAACAGGTGCTGGAGAGGATGTGGAGAAATAGGAACACTTTTACACTGTTGGTGGGACTGTAAACTAGTTCAGCCATTGTGGAAGACAGTGTGGCAATTCCTCAGGCATCTAGAACTAGAAATGCCATTTGACCCAGCCATCCCATTACTGGGTATATACCCAAAGGAATATAATTCATGCTGCTATAAAGACACATGCACACATATGTTTATTGTGGCACTACTCACAATAGCAAGGACTTGGAACCAACCCAAATGTCCAACAATGATAGACTGGATTAGGAAAATGTGGCACATATACACCATGGAATACTATGCAGCCATAAAAAATGATGAGTTCATGTCCTTTGTAGGGATATGGATGAAGCTGGAAACCATCATTCTCAGCACACTATCACAAGGACAAAAAACCAAACACCACATGTTCTCACTCATAGGTGGGAGTTGAACAATGAGAAAGAACACTTGGACCCAGGAAGGGGAACATCACACACCAGGGCCTGTTGTGGGGTCAGAGGAGGGCGGAGGGATAGCATTAGGAGATATACCTAATGTAAATGACGAGTTAATGGGTGCAGCACACCAACATGGCACATGTATACATATGTAACAAAACTGCACATTGTGCACATGTACTCTAGAATTTAAATATAATTAAAATATATATATAAAGAAAGAGAGAGAGAGGAAGGAAGGAATGAAGGAAGGAAGGAAGGAAAGAAAGGAAAGAAAGGAAGAAAGAAGAAAGAAGAGGGAAAGAAGAAAGAAAGAAATCAAATAACCAGAGAATAATTTGAATCTACATGAAATGACAAAAGCACCAGTAAAGATAATCATGTCATTATAAAAGACATCGTGTATACATTTTTTATTTCTTATATTATTTAAAAAAATGCATAACAATATAAATAAAATTGTATTGTTGGACCAATTACAAATACGTGTAATATACTCACCAATAACTAAACAAAACAGGTGAGTAATAACATGTTTTGCAATAGAAATTTAGCTGAATATTCTGGAACAACTGAGAAAACTCAGAAATGGGAAAAAAAGATTAATATCAAATGATTTGTAGCTGTATCTTTGCTCTTCTTTTCTCATCTTATTAAAAAAAATTATATAAAATAAGTGTAAAATGTTGTTTATAGTATATATGGATACAATAAGTGTAAAATTTATGTCACAAAATAAGAAGCAGAAATAAAAATACATAGAACTATCATTTGTATAACTCATTAGTATTGTTATTATAAATGTAAAACAGATTCTGATGCATGAAGGTGTATATCAGAAGCCCTAAAGAACAAGAGGTAGCTCCAAATATATATTAAAAATTATTTTTAAAATTGCAATGTTACATAAAAATGCTTTCTTAATGCAAAAGAAGGCAAAATAATAGAAAAAGAAATAAAATACACGTGATATGTAGAAAACAAATAATATAGAAAAAATAAATTCAACTATATAAATAATACTAAATATAATAATATTAAGGAAAACTGAAATTGTTGGAATATAAAAATATGATACAAGTATATGCTGTCTACAGCACAATCGCTTTGGATCCGATTAAACAAATTGTGTAAAAATGAAAGAATAAAAGCTTGCAATAGCAGCCATAATAAAGTTGAAGTTGCAGTTACACAATTAAAAAAGAATTTAGGCCAGGCACAGTGGCTCACGCCTGTAATCCCAGCACTTTGGGAGGCCAAGGTGGGCAGATCACCTGAGGTTGGGAGTTCGAGACCAGCTTGACTAACATGGAGAAACCCCATCTCTACTAAAAATACAAAATTAGCTGGGCTTGGTGGTGCATGCCTGTAATCCCAGCTGCTTGGGACACTGAGACAGGAGAATCGCTTGAACCAGGCAGGCAAAGGTTGCAGTGAGCCGAGATTGCGCCATTGCACTCCAGCCTGGGCAACAAGAGCGAAACTCCATCTCAAAAAATAAATAAATAAATAAATAAAAATAATAAAAAAAAGAATATAAAACAAACAGAAAAACCCACATTTAGGTGAAAAGTGAGACATTCAATATTGACCAGAAAACAGTCAATTCCTTAGGAAGATGTAACAACCGTCAACCAATATGCAAATAAGAAAAGAGAAACAAAATATATGACTGACAAAAATAAAGCAAGCAAGAAATAATCGAAAAATAACAGTTAGAGATTTAAATACTTCATTCTCAATAATGAATTAAAAAACAGTCAACAAGTCAAAGAGTAAACAGACTGGAAGAAAACAAAACCACTGAGATCTAGCAGACGTGTGTAGTCGGATCCACATAACAGGAATAGGCTAGGCATTTTTAGTAAGTGCACATGGACTGTTCTTCGGAATAAACTATACTCTAGGTGATTAAATACACAACAAAATTAAAAGAATTGTGTAAATGCAAAGTATTTTCTCTGACTGCAATGGAATAAAATAAAAAATTAATGACATCAAGAAATTTTGGTAAGTCATAGTTCTGTGAAAATTAAGCAATGAAATTCTAAATAGCCAATGTGTCAAAGAAAAATTTAAGAATTGGAAAATATTTCACATGAATAAAAATGTTAACACAACAAAGCATGCAAGATACAGCAAATTTATAGCAGTCAATTTCTTCACGAAAAAAAGATTTCAAATAAATAACCTTGGACAAAGGGATTTCGTTGGGACAAAAAGTAATCACACTGAAATGCCTAACAGGAAAGAATGGAGAGTCAATGCTTTGGGAATAAGATCTTTGAGAATTGCCCACATAGTTAAGACAATCTAGCAGGAAATGTACAGGATTAAGGCCAGGTGCCAGCTCAGAAAGACCTAGAAAGACCCTAATTTCTGATGTCTATTTGATCTTCAGTCTCTGGACAAGCAGAAAATACAGGGAAAGGCCAAGTTGGAAACATTCTGGTAAACTGGAAAAGGTATTCTACAAGAGACACACAGGACACAGCTTCCAGAACTTGGAATTTTTTGCATTGGTAAATGTATTTATTTAAGTTAGTAAGTTATTCTACAACTGACACATAATTTCAAGTTTTTTTTTTTTTTTTTTTGAGACAGAGTCTTGCTCTGTCTCCAGGCTGGAGTGCAGTGGTGTGATCTCGGCTCACTGCAACCTCCGCCTCGTGGGTTCAAGCGATTCTCCTGCCTCAGCCTCCCGAGTAGCTGGGACTACAGGCGTGTGCCACTCCGCCCAGCTAGTTTTTGTATTTTTGGTAGAGACAGGGTTTCACCATGTTGGCCAGGACGGTCTGGATCTCCTAACCTCGTGATCCGCCCGCCTCAGCCTCCCAAAGTGCTGGGATTACAAGCGTGAGCCAACACACCAGGCCCTAATTTCAAATATTTATAGGGTATAGTGTAATGTCTTAAAACATATGTACATTGTGTTATAATAAAATTAGGGTAATCAGCATGTTCATTATCTCAAGCCATTATCATTTCTTTATAGTAATGACTTTCAAGTTACTGTTTTCTAGCTATTGTAAAATATATGTCGTTGTTATACCATAGTTGTTATAGTCACCCAACTGTGTAATAGAACATCAGAACTTATTTTTTCTATCTGACTGTAACTTTGCACCCAATGAATGGCCTCCCTTAATCTTTTTCTTCCCAGACCCATCCCCAGACTCTGGTAACCACCAGTGTATGCTTTTTTTTTTTTTTTTTTGAAACGGAGTCTCGCTCTGTCGCCCAGGCTGGAGTTCAGTGGCGCCATCTCGGCTCACTGCAAGCTCTGCCTCCCGGGTTCATGCCATTCTCCTGCCTCAGGCTCCCGAGTAGCTGGGACTACAGGCGCCCGCCACCACACCCCGCTAAATTTTTGTATTTTTAGTAGAGATGTGGTTTCACCGTGTTAGCCAGGATGGTCTCGATCTCCTGACCTCGTGATCCGCCTGCCTCGGCCTCCCAAAGTGCTGGGATTAGAGATGTGAGCCACTACGCCGGGCCAACACCAGTCTATGCTTAACTTCTGCAAGATCAGCTTTCCTATATTCCACTTATTAGTGAGCACATACAGTATTTGTTTTTCAGTCTATGGTTTATTTCATTGAACATTATATTATCTAGGTTCACACATATTGCCACAAATGACAGTATTTTGTTCCTTTCCAAAGTCAAATAGCATTCCATTGTGTCTATATACCACGTTTTCTTTATATATTTATTTATTGATGGACGCGTTTTGATTTCATCTCTTGGCTACCGTGAATAGTGCTGGAATAAACTGATAGTGCAAATATCTTTTTGACATACTGATTTTAATTACTTTGGCTATATAACAGTAGTTCAATAATGAACCATATGTTAGCTCTATTTTTAATTTTTTGAGAACTCACCATACTACTTTTTATAATGATTGTACTAAGCTACATCCCCATCAACAGTGACAAAGAGTTTTCCTCTCACTACAGCCTCATGTGTATTTGTTATATTTTGTCTTCTTGGTACTAGCCATTGTTACTAGGGCGGGAGGATATCTCATTATAGCTTCAATTTTCATTTCCCTTATAGTTAGTAATGTTGAGCATTTTGTTATAAACCTGCCAGTCATTTGTACACTTTTTTTGGAAAACTGTCTATTAAGGTATTTTGTCATTTTTAAATTGGATTATTTGTTTTGTTGTGTGGTTTGTTTGCTTGCTGGTTAGTTGTTTGAATCCTTTATATACTCAGGATATTTGTATGGTTTGCAAATGTTTGTTCCCATTCTGTATCTTGTCTCTTCACTATGTTGATTGCTTTGTTTGCTTTGCACCCTTTTAGTTTGATATAATCTACTTGCCTTATTTTCTATTGTTGCCTATGCTCTTGAGGTCCTATACAAAAATTTCATTTAAAGATCAATGTCATACAGAATTCCCCATTTGTTTTCTTCAAGTAGTATTATAGTTTTGGGTTGTATACTTAAGTTCTTAATGCATTGAAGTGGATTTTTTAATATGGTAAGAAATAAGGATCTGGTTTTACTAGCCTGCATGTAGATATACAGTTTTTTTCAGCATCATTTATTGAAGAGACTATTTTTCTCCAATGTGTGTTCTTGTCACCTTTGTCAAAAAATCATCTGTCTTTTTAGTGTGGATTTATTTCTGGGTTCTCTAATCTGTTCCACTGGTCTAAGTGTCTGTTGTTATTGACAGTACCATGTTGTTTTTGTTACCATAGATTTGTAGTATGTCTTGAAGTCACGTGATGCGATATGTCCAGCTTTGTGTGTGTTCTTTCTCTCAAGATTACTTTGGCTATTTTTGGTATTTTTTTATTTCATTTGAATTTTATTTTTTTTCTATTTCTATTTCTAGATTTCTAGAATTTCATTGACATTTTGATGAAAATTGTCATAAATATGTAGATCATTTTGGAAAATGCAAACATATTAATTATATTATTCTTCAAATATGAAGGCAGAATATGCTTTTTTGGTATAGTTAATTTTTTTCATCAGTGTTTTATATTACTGTTTACGTTACTTTTAATAGCAAAAACTGCAATTACTTCTGCACCAACCTAATAATTATTGTAGATCTCTTACACCTCCTTGGTTAAATTTATTTCTAGGTATTTTATTTTACTCTGTAGCAATTATTTATAAGATTGCTTTCTTAATTCTTAATTTCTTTTTCAAATACTTTGTTACTGACATATAGAAATGCTACTTATTTTGTATGTTGATTTGGCATCCTGCCACTTTAGTAAGTTAATGTATTAGTTCTAATAGTTTCTTAATGGAATCAAGATTTTCTATATACATAATCATGCCATCAGTGAACAAAAACAACTTCACTTCCTTTTTACCAATTCAGATGTCCTTTTTTTCTTTCTCTTGCATAGTTGCTCTGGCTGGGACTTCAAGTACTATGTTGAAAAAAAATGGTAGAGGTGGGCATACTTGCCTGGTTACATATCTTGGGGAAGGGCTTTTAATTTTCCCCCATTTAGTATGATGTTAGCTATTGGTTTTTCATATGTGGCTTTTTATTTTGTGGAGGTATGTTCCTCCAATATCGAAATTTTAGAGAGTTTTTATCTTTAAAACTCTTTATGAGCGGTGCTAAATTTTACTGAATACATGTTTTTGGATGTGTTGAAATGACTATATAGTTTTTGACTTTGATTATGTTATGATGAATCTTGTTTATTGATATGACTATATTGAACCATTTTTGCATCTTTGGGATAAACTCCGCTTTCTCATGGTAAATATTCTTTTTAAAATGTTGTTGAGTTCAAATTCCTGGCATTTTTTCAAATATTTTTGCATCTGTGTTCATGAGAGATATTGATCCGTAGTTTTACTTTCTGTTGTGATTTTGGTATCATGGTAATACTGGCCTTGTAGAATGAGTTTGCAGTAATTTCCTCCTCTTTCATATTTTGTAAAGATTTAAGAAGTATTGGTATTAATTCTTCTTTAAATGTTTTCAGACGTTAACAGTAAAGCCATTAGTCCCTGGGCTTTTCTTTGAGAGGAGAGTTTTTATTTCTAGTTTGATCTTGTTACTAATTATTTGTCTTTTTATATTTGCTATTTTTTCATGATTTAATCTTGATAGGTTGCATGTTTCCACAGATTTATCTATTTTTTTCCCAGTTTTTCATTTTATTGACATACAGTTGATCTTAATAGTCTCTTGTGATCCTTTGTATGTCTGTGGTAGCAGTTGTGATTTCTCCCTTTTTATTTCTACTTTTATTTATTTGACTCTTCTCTGTTACTTTCTTAGTCTATTAGGAAGTGTTGATTTTATTATTTCAAAAAACCAACTTCATCATTTGTATTTTCAATTTTTAATTCTCTATTTTATTTATTTTTACTTGGATTTTTGTTATTTCTTCCCTTCTACTTTTTGACATTTGTTTCTTCTTGTTTTGCTGGTTCTTTGAGATGTAATATTAGGTTATTTATTAGAAATATATCTTCTTTTTCATGTAGGTGTTTATTGTTATAAACTTTTCTCTTATAACTGCTTTTGCTGTATCTCAAATTTTTTTGATATGTGGTATTTTCATTTTCATTTGTCTCAAGAAAATCAGTTTTCAATTTTTTTCAAAATAAAAATTTATTTAATCTGTAACAAGATCATTGAATCTGCACATTTGCAAGCAAGTTCACATTTAAATACAGCAGAGCACATCAGTAATAAAAAAAATCTATAATACAAGTGGAACATCCCAACCACCAGGAAGATTAAGGAAGGAGATGAGACCACTCTGTATTCTGCTTTCAAATGCCTCAAAATGGTCCCAGAGATTCCAGGGAGCATCTGCTTTAATAAAATGCGAGCATAAAAGTTTGGGGTGGCTTGGGGCAAAGGTAATAGTCAGAGGGAGAGTCTTCTGGACTTGTTTTCCATGTTTAGAACAAGTCCTATAAAACAAAGCAGAAAGCAAAAAAAAAAAAAAAAAGAAGAACAAAAAAAGAAAAAGAAAAGAAAAGGCACCTTTAGATATGCCAAGCAAACCAAAATCCAACAAAACATAAAAATCAAACATTTTCCTGTGGGCTTACTGATTGGGAAGCACTTCAGGGCCAGTTACCCAGTATTTTAGTTTGGGTATTAGCTCTGCATGTGTACACAGGACGCTGCCACCAACATTGCTTTGAGGACACAGATGGCAGCACCAGTCAAATGCCTCTTGGGGGATCTTCAAGCTGATTAAGGATGATTCTAATTTAGAAATCCTGTCCTAGATCTCTGGGGCACTGAGAAAATGAGGCCGGTTTTCTTCTCATAGCAGGAGCCAGCGCCGTTCACCCTCCATTTCCAGGCTGAAAAAGTACAGAAGCACCTTGCAGTAGCTCTTTATGGTGTCAAGGGACCCCACGCCCTGGGAGAAGGGTTAGGAGTTTGCAGCTTCCGGCTTTGGTGGCAGGCCTTTTCCTAATATGGGTGTCAGAGGAGTTGAGGCAACAAATATGCTTGTGTCTAATACATGCCTTGATCTTTTAATTTGGAAGGGAAAACAAAGTCCAAGATGCTTTTAAGTTGGATTGGTGCTGAAACAACTAAAATTTCATCTTATCCACCATGAAAAAGCAAAACAAAATTTGAAAAATGACACTAGCCGTTCACCATTACAGCCATCACTATAAGGCACACCATCACTGAGGAAATGACAACTATTTCCGTAGAGAGTGCTGGATCAGAGTGCAGGACACAGATGGAAGTCAGCTTCAGGGTATACTCACTTATTCACAAGGGCTGACCATAATGGCACTGCTCTGCATGAGGACTCACAGGACAGCTAGGGCACTGATGCCTGCAGGACTGCGTGGCCAACAAGATGATGCACATTTAATATTCAAAATGTAAACAAAGTATCCACAAATAGTCCAAAAAAGCCTGGGGGCTGTCCCCTTTCCTGAGCAGGTCTCAGGGAAGAACCAGCCCCATCCCCATCTGACCCAGGTCTCAGCCCAGGAGCCTGCATAGGGAAGAAAGGACAGACAGGGCCTCCATGCGGCTGACACTCAGGAGGGGCCGGGGCAAGAGAGCAGAGGGAGCATAGGGCCAGGCAGGGGCTGCTCAGGATCCATGGGGGCTCAGGGTGCACAATGGGGCCGCCCCTTCTGGGCTACAGGCAGCATCCCCTATGGGACCTGAGAAAGTCCAGTCCTGCGATGGGACAGTGCTGCCCAGGGGTGTGTGGCTGGGCCCTGACAGCAGTCTCCCCAAAAGTGACCACATCACCAGGCTCAGTTCCAGGAAGGCTGAGAAGTGCCCAGTACACCGAGGATGCATCTGGAGCCCATCCTGTCTAACGGACTCTGACCATCCTGCATCCACTTGCCTCTCCTACATATTGGCCACCACCCCTTCACTTTTCCTCATTTCTCCATCGTGTCTGACCCAGAGGCTGTGACCCTCTCTCCAGCCACAGTAGCCCTTTTTTTACCCTTGTCCTGTCAGAGCTCCTGAGCAAGACTCCCCAGATCCATCCACATGCCTGCCTTGTCCACTTGTGCTGCTGTGCACTGCTGGGGTGGCACCAGAGGCAATGAGGTTGTCTGAGGGCCCCACAGGTGGCCAGCTTGGCCCTTTACCTCATCCCTAGCCTCAGGGGGGTTCTTAGGGCTGTCAGCCAGCAGCTCTGGATTAGGGCACCTGGCTGTCCTCCCATTGTATTTTTCTGACTCTGCCTCGCTCACCTATCCTCTGTCCATGGTGCTGACCAAGCCAGCAGGGAGCAGGTCCCCAGAGGGTGCTGTTGAGCTTTGGGGACCGACCGAGGCTCCTCTGCTGAGGGGTCCCAGGTGAGTCGCTGCCCCTGGTTCTACGTCATCTGCTGTCCTTTTCAGCATCATCCCCCCCGCCCCACCCCAGGCCGGCTCCATGCAGATGCATTCCAGAGTCACCAGTCTCAGGGTCCTCTGTTGTAGGATGGAGATTACTGTACCTTCTGTACGCATTCATATTTATTGTGTGAAATAAAGTATAGAATCTAAAGTAAATGAGGACTTTGATTTGCATTTTCCTGATGATTACTGATGTTGAGCACTTCTTAGCCATTTTTATATCTTTTTTTAAAGATAAATGTCTATTCCGGTTCTTTGCTTGTTTTTAAATCAGGTTATTAGATTTTGGTGAGTTGTTTCTCTTTTTTTCTGTTCAGTTGTGTGGATTTCTTATGTATTTTGATATTAATCCCTTGTGAGATATATTGTTAGCAAATATTTTCTCCGAGTTCGTAAGCTTCTTTTTAATTTCATTGATTGGTTTCTCCTGTGCAGAAGCTTTAGGGTTAGATGTACTCCTACTTGTATTTTTTATTTTTGTTGCTTGTGCTTTTAATGTCATATTTAATAAATTATTATCTGAACCAATGTCAAGGAGTTTTGCCCTATGTATTCTTCTAGGAATTTTACAGTTTCTGATTAAATAACAATGGGATATCACCTCCCATCTCTTAGGATGGCTGTTATAAAAAGGACAAGATATAACAAGTGTTGGTGATGGTGTGGAGAGAAGGGAACCTTCGTACACTGCTGATTGAAATGTAAGCTAGTACAGCCATTATGGAAAACAGTATGAAGCTTCCTGAAAATCTAAAAGTAGAATTACCATATGGCTCAGCAACCCCTCTTATAAATTATATGTCGACAGGAAATGAAATCAGCATCTTGTAGAGATATCTGCACTCCCCTCTTCTCCGTGCCCCACCGCAGCATCATTCCCAACAGCCAAGCCATGGGATCACGTTACTGTGCATTGATGGACAAGTGGAGAAAAAAAAATGTGGGGGAGGTGTTTGTGTGTGTGTGTGTGTGTGTATAATACATTATATAATATAATATTTTTCAGCTTTTAAAAAGGAGAAGATACTGCCATTTGTGATAACATAAATGATCCTGGAGGATATTAAGCTAAGTGAAATAGCTTAGGGAGAGAGGAAAATACTGCATAATTTCTGTTATATATGAAATCTTTAAAAAGAGTAAATACATAGATACAGGACAGAATGATAACTAGGGGGAGAAAAAACACAACTCAACATTTCAGTTTATAAAATAAATGAATCTAGAGGACTAAAGTACAGTTTAAAGGTTATAGTTACTATTTTTATATGATATACTGGTAATTTTTTAACAGGGTAAACTTTAGGTGCTTTGACACCAAAAGGAAACTACATGAGTTCATGCATATGTTAAATTGTTTTACTGTAGTCATCATTGATATGCGTATATATATAATTATGGGCTCATTAAATTTAAATATTATAAATAGGTAACAAAGAATAAAATTAATTAGAAAACTGTCATTAAACTTGATTTTGCCTAAATGACAAACTAAAACTACCTCCTAAATATTACTATTTGAACATCACATAAACTTCATATATTGGAAATATGTTTGAAGGAAAGGAATTATAGATTTTAATAAACACAAAATGACACAGTAAATGCAAAACAGTAAAAAGAGATGAAAATTGGATTAATCAGAGTGATTAATGCTTAGATATAATTAATGATATGTTAGGTGCAATTTCAAACCATTTACACATAGATTTAATACCAAAGAGTTTAATGTATACACAGAGATCAATTAAATGAAAAATTGATACATTTACAATGACATTAATTGATATTAAAATGATCATGGAAATCAACTGTCTGGTATAGAAAAAATAAAGAGTGTTAAGTATTAGAAAGTTTGAAACTTTATTAGAAAGTTAATTAAGTGGAAAAGGGATCAGCATTTTTGAGCACTAAAAAAGAGGATGGACATAATTTTCCAATACCAAGAAAATCATTTACTATTGCAAGGTTTTAAACCTAAATTAGTGTCTTTAACTTCACAAAGTCACAAATCCTATAAGCAGTATTTCTTGAACACTGTAAAATGACAATAAAAATTACAGTGTAACCAACAAGTAATGTGTAGCCACATGCAAATTTCCTTTCAGATTTATTATTTTTTAATTATTATTATTGTTTTTTTGAGATGAAGTCTTGCTCTGTTGCCCAGGCTGGAGTGCAGTGGCACGATCTCGGCTCACTGCAAGCTCCACTTCCCAGGTTCACACCATTCTCCTGCCTCAGCCTCTAGAGTAGCTGGGACTACAGACGCCCACCACCACGCCCGGATAATTTTTTGTATTTTTAGTGGAGACAGGGTTTCACCGTGTTAGCCAGATGGTCTCGATCTCCTGACCTTGTGATCCACCCGCCTAGGCCTCCCAAAGTGCTGGGATTATAGGCGCGAGCCAACGCGCCCAGCCCCTATTTTTTACTTTTATGTGAATTTTTTATTTCAATAGGTTTTTGGGGAAGAGGTTGTGTTTGGTTACAGGGATAAGTTTTTTCGTGGTGATTTCTGAGATTTTGTGCACCCATCACCTGAGCAGTGTACACTGTACTCAATGGGTAGTCTTTTATCCCTAAAATTGTTTTAAATGACATCTAGGTTAAATGGAAAATTCAAACTGAGATTACTTTTACAGCACCAGAGAAATGCTAAGGAGGAAGCTTTGTAACTGAAACCAAAAGACTGAATTTATATATTTAACTCTACTAATTAAGTTTCTTAATTTTATAGAAAAACAGCAATTCTGCCCACGTGCAGGAGTTATGCATTAAAGTGGAGCATGATCACTTCAGACATTTGTCCAAAACATAAAAATTCTTCCAAGTATTAAGAAAATATTTATACTTCACAGATAATGTTAGTGTATAATACATGGGCATTGAGATGTTTTAAATGAGAAAAATTGCAATTTCTCATGGGGCACTGTTCTACACAAAATATTTATGTAACATTTTTTACTCATATATGCATGTGGACATTTGCTGTTTTAGTACAGAATAACATATTCTCAAAGGTCACTTAATGTAGTAAATTAAAAATATTTAAAGTTTACAAGAATTCTGAAACTGCCCAGCAGAGCTGGTAGAAAAATACGGGAACTTCCCAGGACCAGAAGTGAATCAAGAGGCAAATTCATAGGAGTTACGATAGCAAGAAGTTAGAGCTGCCTTCAGGTACAGCTCTGATTGCAGGGCTGATTACAAAGACCTCAAGCCTGTGAGGATCGTCCACTCTGCCCCTTGGAATAAACACAGAAAATTACTAAATGGGGCCATCCCAAATGTGAGATCTCTATAATTGTAAGTAATGAAGCACACAAAATAAGCTACCCAAAAAAGGGAAAGAAGAAATTATACATCACATAAACTTCACAGATTGGAAACATATTTAAAATAATTCAGTAACACAAATGGGGAAAGAGAATATCAAAATAATTTTGAAAACACATGAAGTTCTAAAGCGGGCACTGGGGGCAGTGGCTCATGCCTGTACTCCCAGCACTTTGCGGGGGCCAAGGCAGGAGGATCACTTGCCGCCGGGAGTTTGAGACCAGCCTGGGCAACAAAGCAAAAACTGTCTCTACAATAAATAGATATGAAAAAATGATCCAGGCACAGTGGCATGTGCTTGTAGTGTCAGCTACTGGGGAGGTGGAGGTGAGAGGGTCTCTTGAGACCAGGAATTTGAGGTTGCAGTGAGCTATGACCACCACTGAACTCAAGCCTGGGTGACAGATTCTTCTCAAATACACACAGACGTGCGCGCGCGCGCGCGCACACACACACACACACACACACACACACACTAAGCAGGCATGTTTTACAAAGACTCAAATAGAAATTGAACAACTGAAACTTAAATAAACTTAATATACAATGTATGGTTTAATTATTAAATTAGGCCAAGTTAATAACAGGATTAATGAACTAGAATAATGAAATGAAGAAATAAACGAACTACAGAAAAACAAAATGATCACAATACAAATATGATTATACTATACATGTACAAAGAATAAAATGAGATGAAATCAAACACATAGGTTTCACTAGCTTACATACAAGTAACAAATCATACTAATAAATATTTATAAATTTCTGAAACTGAATATCAGGAACTCTTGAATGCAGAAGTGTATTGTGATTAAAAGTGACCACCAACAAAAAAATACTCAACAGAAATAAAAGTCAAACTGCGTAACACCAAAAAAAAGAAAAAAATCTTTAAAGCCTTGAGAGAGAAAAGAAGAGAGAACCAACGAAGGTGAGAGCAAAGTCTCCACAGCCTGTGTTCAGCCAGAAAACAGAGAAATAAGTAAGAGTGCTGAGAGAAGTTACTGTTCAACCAATAATTAGATACTTCACTAACATATTTTGAATAAGTAAGGATGCACTAAATGATTTCCAAAAGTAAATAAATGAGAAATCTTATTACCAATATGAGGTTATTAAGAATATACTTCAAAAAGAAAAAAATTAAAATGAAGTTCAAGAAATCAAAATGAAATGCAAGAAACTGCAAACATACTGGGCTATGAAATCATGGTGGACAATGAACTAAAGGATCCATCAAGTCTTTGGCAGCATCAGTTTCCAAATGATTTACATAAAATGACAGTGTTTGCAATGAAATAAAATATCAAATCCTCTGATACTTGAATAATTTAACTGATGTTAGAATCTCCTTTTCAGATAATTATTTTCATAGAAAAAATATACAATACTTCTGTCTCATCATTTGCAGAATATCAGTTATCCTTTTTTCAGACCTTATTAGCACCAAAGGGCTCACAGTGGCATAGGCACTGGTCACATGCCTCTGGACACCCAGGACGACTGGGTCATATGTTGATATCAGGATTGAGTAGGATGAGAGACTCAAATCCATCTGGTACATGACCACAAAGAAACTCACCAACAGCAAGATGGTCTCTGTGGCCTTTTTCTGGAGAAACTCTTGGGGAGAGTCTGGTGCTGTGAAGGTGCTGGGATCACCACTGATGCCTGCACAAGAGAGTCACTATGTATGCACTGGAGAGCAGCATAATTCCCACAAAGGACACATCTCTGGATAATGAGAGAGTAAGAAAAATAAGGTGGCTGATGATGACTTCCTTGGGGAAATGAGGCAGTATTTATTGAGTGTCAGAAAACTGGTGTGAGTCGTATTGGAAGAAACCACAGTGTAGAAGATTATGTAACTACTGCAGGACAAACTGAAGGACCATAAGAAGACAAGAACATGTGAAATGTGATTTGTGAATTTATATTTAAACCTCACCAACCAGGAGGTCCTGGGGCTGATGATGATGGCCTGGAGCATGCTCAGGAGGCAGGTGATGCAGATGGAGAGTCCCTCATCACCCCGCTCACCTAGAAATGCATCTTACACTTGAAATCATCTTGAAAATGAAGGGACTTAAAAAGGTCTTGAGACACCAAGAACACAATGGTGAGCAGCATCATGATGTGGACGAGGTCCAAGTGACTGGTGGTCAGGTCAGTGAGCTTGAGATCCAGAAGGAGCGTCATGATACAAGAGAAAAAGAGGAGGATGTTGGTGGAGACTCCAACATCAGCTTGGGCAAAGAAGGCACTTTTGAATGATAACGTTAAGTGGAAACTGTTCATTTTAATGGCAAATAGGAAATATTTTATGTAGCTGAAAAAAACAACCAATAGAACTTCCATCATCAATGTTACTTCAAATTCAAAATTATCACCGTCATTATCATTTTAAATCCATCCATTCATTTTGATTAATGTTGATCATCACATATAAATTCTTAAACATCCAGCCTGATCATTATATGATCAACCAAATTAACATAGTTGAGCGAACACGCACACATTCACAGTCACCCCTGTAGAGGGCGCACATTATCTGTACTCCTATAGTACCAAGGACACACTTTTTTAGTAAGCATTTAGTTCTCACTTTTTGCATTCCTTCATTTAGTTTTCACCACCCAGAACTGTGACATGGTGAATCATGGGTGACATGGGTATGAATCATGGGTGTTTGTAGAACTGAAGTAGATTTTGTGCTAATGGAAAAAGCAATCACCAGAAGTATTTTGGAAAAAAATAATAATGCATTGAGTGGCTGTCATATCACATCACTCTGACATCATGCTGAATATCACATTCATGCATGCAACGTTTCATGTATCCTATAAAAATTATATAACAGACACATAGCAGAAGGTGTTCTTTTCAGATAGTTTTGTGATAGCAAAAAAAAAAAAAATCTCCCTATTAGCAATTAGTATAATAGGATTAAACGTAGTTTTATTATGGTCCTCTACTAAAAGCTTCTTAATGTGAAGTATATTGAAAGTCTTGGGAGCGCGCCGGGCCGGCCCCGCGGTGGGTTCGCTCGGGGACGCACGCGGGTGGACTAGGGGACCGAGCCCAGGCGCCCATGACCCGGGCCGCGACAGCCGAGCCGGGCCGCGTGTCTCCCGCCTCGCCCGCGCGCAGCACGGCGGGCCTGCCGCGCGCCTTCCTGCAGAGCCTGCGCACCCTGTTAGACATCCTGGACGACTGGCAGCGCGGCTGCGTGCACCTGCGAGAGATCCAGTCCCTCTGGGTCGAAGCGCGGGAGCTGCCAAGCGGGGTGCTGGAGGGCCTGAGCCAGGTGACCCCAGCCAGCGGCTACCTAACCTTCCAGCGCTTCGTGGCCGGCCTACGCACCTCGCTGCTGACAGCCGACGGCAGCACCCCGGACCAGGCGCCGCCGCCGCCGCCGCAGCCGCCGCCGCCGTCTCCGCCTCCGCCTCCGCCCCCGCAGCGCCTGGTGTTTGCACCGGCGGACGATCTGCTGACGGTTCTGGAGAGGAAGCCCCTGTCCCTGGGCGTTCGCGCCCCTCTGGCCTGTCCCAGCGGCGCGGGCCGCAGCCGGGAGCAGCTGTACGCTCCCGCCGAGGCGGCGCAGTGCCCCGCGGGGCCCGAGCGGTTCCAGAGCGCTGCGCTGGAACGGAGACCCGGCGCGGACGCAGGTGCAGCGGCCTGCAGCGCCTTGGAGGCGGATTCAGGGGATGCCCGGCGGACCCCTGTGCCCGAGGGGAACACCGGAGGCACACCATCACCAGCGGCGTGGACTGCGGCCTGCTGAAGCAGATGAAGGAGCTGGAGCAGGAGAAGGAGGTGCTGCTACAGGGTTTGGAGATGATGGCGCAGGGCCGCGATTGGTACCAGCAGCAGCTGCAACAAGTGCAGGAGCGCCAGTGCCGCCTGGGCCAGAGCAGAGCCAGCGCCGACTTTGGGGCCGTGGGGAGCCCTCGCCCACTGGGACGGCTACTGCCCAAGGTACAGGAGGTGGCCCGGTGGCTGGGGGAGCTGCTGGCTGAGGCCTGTGCCGGTCGGGCCCTGCCCACATCCTCCTCCGGGCCCCCTTGCTCTGCCCTGACGTCCACCTCGTCCCCGGGCTGGCAGCAGCAGATCATCCTCATGCTGAAGGAGCAGAACCGACTCCTCACCCAGGAGGTGACCGAGAAGAGTGAGCGCATCACGCAGCTGGAGCAGAAGTCGGCGCTCATTAAGCAGCTATTTGAGGCCCGCGCCCTGAGCCAGCAGGATGGGGGTCCTCTGGACTCCACCTTTATCTTTCCCGTGTGGGCTGAGCCGGCCCCCGCAGGGCCGGCCTGGCACTCAGCCCTTCGAGGGCGGGCGCTTCGTCGCACCCAGCCTCTCTGGCTGGAGACCCCCGGCAGGCCCAGGCAGTTCAGGAGTGGGCGCCTTCCTGCCCGCCTTGCCATCCGGGCTCCCCAGGCCTGTCCCCGGCTGGCCCCCACATTGAGCCCTTGACTCGGTTTCGGCTTCCGGTGCTGACATGGGCTGGGGCTCTCTTGAGTCCGCATAGTCCGCAGCTACTACTGCCGCTGTCAGCGGACAGTGGGGGACCCCTCCACGAGTTACCAGATACCTGGTTTCCAGCGGTGCTGCTTTGGGTCCCATCTCCAGGGAAAAGAACTGCTCACGCCAGGCTGCACTTCCACCAAAGGCCAGCAGAGGGCGCGTGGCAGCTCGGATGCGGCGCTGAGGCTGCGCCCGAGACCTGCGGGTCCAAGGGCAGCTTCCCCCACCCCCCGCCCGCCTCAACCAGGGCACCAGGACAAAGTGGCTGTCGCTCGGACGGGAGCAGATGGAGGGGGTGGGGATGGCCTCTAAGCGGGGGATGCCCGCCTGGCAGAGGAGCCCCAGGGATGGCGGTCGGGTTTCAGGTCCCGGCCAAGCTTGAGGGACTCTGACTGCAGCAGATGGGGGAGCCAGGTGGGCGAGAGTTGGGCCTGCGTGTGCCTCCCGCAGACCCCGGGGTGATGGCCTTCCTCATCCTGGCCAGGACGCTGCCCCACTTTGAGTCCCACAAAACAACCTGTGAGCCTGACTCCCTCGGAGGGCCCTGTCCCCAGGAGGGGGGTCAGCCTGGGCCTCCAGACAGTTCCCAGGCATGTCATAGGGAGAGTCTGTCACCCCCGACTCAGGATTCCCAAGGTCTGGGGTCCTGCTCACCCTCCTTTCCTCCCACGCCCAGGCTGACCCCAGGTTTCTATGGGGAGAGGCCACTTCCCTCAGCCAAGGAAAAGGAGAACACCCAGGGTACAGGAGGAGGCTGGGGCAGGTCCCCTTTGGTGTCACTCCCTGCCCCCCTGCCCAGGCCCTCTCCCGCTGGTGCTAGGATACGCACTGGTGGGGGCCCCCTACTCAGCCCAGCCTGGCGGGCCCCAGTGCCACCAGAACCAGGGGCACGGCAACATCATGGGTGGGTTCTGCAGCCCAGGGCCTCCGATGCACAGTCAGTGTGTGTGGGGCACAGAGCCCCCGATGCGGCGTCAGTGTGTGTGGGGCACAGGGCCCCCTATGCGGGGTCAGTGTGTGTTGGGCGCAGGGACCCTGATGAGGGGTCAGTGTGTGGGGGGCGTAGGGCCCCCGATGCAGGGTCAGTGTGTGGGGGAAGCAGGGACCCCTCATGCCCAGGACACTTTGGTACACTGTCCCACAAGGCACCCTGTCTCAGAGGAGGGGTCCTGGCAGGCAGAGCGGCAACTCTCTTCTGGAACCCAGCTCCATGCCAACCTTCCCACAGCAACCCCACAGAGCCACATCCCCTGCTGCACCCGGGCTGCAGGGGTGTTCCAGGACAGGCCCAAGACAGCCCAGCGTGCAGCTGCCCTCTTACCCTGAGGATGGGAGTGGGCTTTCCAGGGGACATAAAGACGCCAGGCCTGGACCTCCTGGGCGGGAAAGGGAGCGGGTCCTGAAGGCCTGTGCCCCACAGCCCCAGCACCAGGTGGACTGCAGCGCAGTGGGTGGGCCAGCGGCAGCCGGGGAGAAGCCCCCCATCAGCAGGCTGGGGTCTGCCCACTAGGGCCTCCCCATGTCTGCCTTTGAGGGTGCCTGACGTGCGCTAGGGGATCCGGGCATCTTTACAGGACTGGAAGCAGGAGACAGAACAGTGTCTGTCCCGGGGTGATTTCATCAGAAGACCGCCCACGTAGAGCTGGACCCCGCAGCTAAAGCGGAAATGTGAGACAGGCTGGCACCTCCGGAAAAAATGCCTCTCAGCCTTGGTGTTCCATGCAAGGTGAGAAAAAAAAATAGGTCCTCCAAGTTTACAGCTTGCAATCAGGCTAGTGTGTGGCCCTACAGACCACGAGGGGAGAATATAAAGTGGCCCCAGCTGGCACTGTCTAGGTGGCTGGCAGAGGCACATGCAGACCCTGCCTTGAGCCCGCCCTAGTAATGCTGCGCGGGTCAGTCTCCTGGCAGGATGTGAGCAGCATCTCTGGCCTCTATCCACGAGATGCCATAGCTTGCGCAGGTACGTACAAGTGCGTGCACACACAGTTGTGACAGCCAGAACTGTCTCAGGATGTCAAAATGTGTCCCTGGGGGCAGAAGTGTCCCTGGTTGAGAATCTGCCCCAGAGGAACACAACCACACCAGGTCTCAGGATTTTGTGTTGATCAAGTTCCAAGGAGAACGACTATCTCGGCCGACCGCAGTGGTTCACGCCTGGAATTCCAGCACTTGAGGCCAGGAGTTCGAGACCAGCCTGGGCAACGTAGTGAGAGACCCCATCTCTACAGAAAAAAAAAAAAAGAAAGAAAGAGAGAAAAGAAAATGAGATATCCAGTTTTAAAATTCATAAACACAAGAAAACAATACACTATGAGACCCAGCAGAAACAACAGGTAGACACGGATACTGGAATTATCAGACAGAATATGAAGTAACAGTGTTTTATATATCTAAAGGAATAAAAGATATTTCTGGAATCATGAAAAAAAATTCTTGTTTTATCACATGATCATTCAAACCATCCTTAAGTGTTAGAAATGTACTACAGCATTTCCAAACTTAAGCCCAAAGTAGTATAATTACATCACTCTGAATTGGTGCAGATTTGGAGTGTCTTAAAATGTAAAGATTTGCATAAATGCATAAAATAATTTGTACTAATTTTTTAAAGTGGAAAATAAAATTCAAATTCAAATATGATTCATAATTTATTATTATTATTATACTTTAAGTTCTAGGGTGCATGTGCACAACCTGCAGGTTTGTTACATATGTATACATGTGCCATGTTGGTGTGCTGCACCCATTAACTTGTCATTTAGCATTAGGTATATCTCCTAATGCTATCCCTCCCCCTTACCCCCACCCCACGACAGGGCCTGGTGTGTGATGTTCCCCACCCTGTGTCCAAGCATTCTCATTGTTCAAGTCCCACCTTTGAGTGAGAACATGTGGCGTTTGGTTTTCTGTCCTTGCGATAGTTTGCACAGAATGATGGTTTCTAGCTTGATTACATAATTTCAAATTTTCTTCCACCGATCTATACATTTATATATTCATAATATTAATATTTCATCTAGGAATACCTACTGACTAGTTATAATTCAGTGAGATGTAAGAACAAATTGTGAGAGAATTACAGACATCATCCCACCTGAGTCTTGATCACTCACTGATAATGAAGCTGAGAAACAGACAATCACCCGGCTGAGTCTTGGAGTGAGTCTGTGTGTGAATTGTGGTCCCTGAGCCATGGTTATAAGGAAAGGATACTGTGAGTTCATCCCCCTCAGGCCCATAATTGTCATGTCACCTGTAGAAGCAGGATGGCACTGGCCCTGGGATTGTTAGAAAGGGAGCCACCAAGGAGAAAACTAAATGTACCTAATTCCTGAAAACAGCAGAGTATCCACAGCTGGGTTCTGAAGTTTAGAATGAGAGCGCTTATTTTCTTAGGTAACCTTGCACAGGTGAATTGCCTCCTCACAGTCCTCGTCAACAAAACAGATGTTAAAGAATAACTTTAACTTCAAACCGTCTTTACATTTTCCTGTCAGATTACCAAATGTTTCCTTACTGAAAAAAAAAAAAACTATGCATACATACAATGGGATGAATGAATATCACAATGTTGCATACAAGAAACCAGATTAAAAAGCATGCATAGTATCTAATTCCATTCATGAAAAAAATCAAAAAGCAAACAAAACTGAGTTTCTGGCTTCAGGTAAGAGTGAAGTAGCTTGTTTAACAAGACTCTCACAGGAAAAATAATACATTTTTGATAAAATATGATATGTAATTATATAGAAATATATTTATATGTAATACATATGGTATACTACATGGGTGGGTAAGAAGTGAATGAGAATTTCAGCTTTGTCCACTGTAGGGGAGATAGGGATTCGAGTTGAGTTCAAATTAAGTTTCTTCTAGAAAAATAATAATCCTCAAGAAACATAACAGAATCCAGAGTCTCTATAATTGTCATTTATAGTTTCTAGCACATAATTTTAAAATTCATGAGATGTGTGAAAAAAGCAGGATAATGTAATTCATATACAAGACTAAAACTAAAACAGGCATCAGAAGCTATCTCCAAGATGTTCAAGGTGTTGTAATAAGATGACAAGAATTGGAAAGCAGCTATTATAAATATGGTCGTGGAGGTAAAGAAAAATATTCTCATAATGATTGAGCAGATGTGGGATCTCAGCAGAGAAATGGAAATTATAAAAGAACCAAATAGAAATATGATAATAAAAAAGAACTGTTGAGAGGATCAACTGATTAGAAACAGAAGAAATAAACTTAAAGACAAAGCCCTAGAAATTAACCAATCTGAAGACAACATTTCAGATGAATGATTGAAGAAAAATGAAAAGAGCCCTACAGATTTGTGAGATGACTGAGTCCTACTACACAAGGCCTGCCTTCCCCAGTGTCGAGTCCACAGTGCAGCTGACCTGCTCCTGCCTGAGCATTTCAGCTGTGGCCCGCATTCTTCTGAGAGCCCGGCCCCAGAGGCCAGTGGACCACCCTGGGGCTCCTGCCACAGTCACTACTGCCACTGCTATTGCTGCCACAAGGCCAAGGAGGAATTGTGGAGACCAGGCACTTTCCTGCACCCCAACAGTGGAATCCACCCTGTTTTTGAGGAGGGGAGGTGGCAAGTGGGCCACAATGTTTCACAGCTGCCAGCCTCCACTGCAGCCACTGAGAGGGGGCCTATGCTCCCCAGCAACAGGCCCATCACATAGCCGCACTGCTCTTGTCTAGGCATTTTGGTTTCAGCTGCGCACTCTTCTGAGGCATTGCAACTGCAAAAAACCAGCCCAGTGCAGAGCTGCCTGACATGGAGTTCCCTCCCCAGCTGCTGGCAGAGCAGTTGACTCTGATGGAAGGAGTGAGCAGCTCTGCTCTTCAGGGCAGGGCAGGGTCAGGCCATGCCTCTGGCACCAGCTTTCTCAGACCAGCCATTCCCTGACTAGAGTCTAGTGATCTGGGTCTTATCCCAGCTCCACGTTTCACCAACTGTGTGACCTGGATGAGTTTCTTCACCCACTAGCCTTTCCTGTCCACCTGCAGACAGTGGATATAGGACACAAACAGTGCCAACCGCAAAGAGTGACTGGGCACATCAAATGAGATGGGACAGATAGGAAGAAAAGTGGAGGCCTGGCCCATTTGTTGGTGGAGGTGCTCACTGAGGTGCAAGCAGGTCTATAGGTCACCCACCCATCTGCCCAGGAGCCTCACCTGCCTGAGCACTTATTAGGCACCTGATGTACAGGGATTCTATGGCAGACACCCAACACAGCCCTTAGTTGTGGCTCCCACATTATTCTCCCACCTTGCTCCCAAAGTGCGGGGATTATAGGCATGAGCCACCACCCAAGCTTAAATTTTTGTTTCCTTTTTTTTCTTTTTATATGCTTTAATTACTTTCTCTTTTTCTTCTGTGTATCTACTATGGTTTTTTCTTCCCAGTGGTTATCATGAGACTTACATAAAACATCTTGTATCTTAACAATCTTGTTTGAGATGATGACAATTTAACTTCTATGCATAGAAAAACTTTACAAATTGTCTCCCTTTCACACATTTTGTACTATATATGTCACACTTTACAACTTTTTGTGTTGTGTGTCCATTAACAAATTATTGTAGCTATTTTATTTTTAATACTTTTTATAAATCTTACACTAAAGGTCAAAGTGACTTATGCAAAACCACTACAGTATTAGAGTATTCTAAATTTCACTATGTATTTACCATTTTCAGTGACATTTATACTTTAATATTTTTCATATTATTTAAATTTGATCATATCAATATAAAGACTTCCTTTTAGCATTTCTTGCAGGACAGGTTGAGGCGTGATAAATTCCCTCACCTTCTTTTTTGTCTTGAAATGTTGGAATGTCTTGACCTCTATTATTTCTAAAGAACAGCCTTGTTGCATAAACTCTTCTTAATTGTCAGTTTTTTTCCTTCTTTCAGCATTTTGAATATATGTTCTCCCAGTTTTCTTACAAAGTTTCTGCTGAAAAATCCACTAATACCATTATAAAGGTTTCCTTCTATGTGAAGAATTTATCTCATGCTGTTTTCAAGGTTTGTGCTTTATCTCTGTATTTTGACAATCATAATGTGTTCAAGGGCAATCTTTATTAGGTTCTTCTTGCTGAAGGTATTTTGAGCTTCATAAAACTTGATGTTCATATTCTTCTCTAGATTTGGAAAGTTTAAAGACATTATATATTTAAATCTCTTTTCCTCTCTCTCCCTTTTTCTGAAATTTCTGAAATGTGTATATTTGTTCACTTTATGATTGGTTACTTTTAAATAACCTGTCTTTGAGCTTGCTGAATTTTTCTTCTTTAGGATTGATTCTCCTGTTAAACATCTCTATTACATTTTTTCAGTTCTGCCACTGTTTATTTCAGTTCCAATTTCTGTATATATTTTTTTACTTGCTCAATCTCTTTATTTAGTGGCACACATAGAATGAATGAATGAGCTCTTAGTTGTGGCATACTTAGTAAGTCTGATCTTGCTTATAGAAATAGGATCTTAATACTTCGTTCTCAGAAAACTTTAAAACCCAAGCCACAGTTTTTCTTTCAAGGATATGGAAAGTATTCCTCATTCAAATCTGATTAATGGTTTTATAAAATATGTACCTCATTTTTATTAGTCATTATCTTCATGCTGGATTCTAATATTCTTTTTGATGTTGATGTGTTCGATGACAGAAACTTATAGAGAGAAAATTCCTTCCTTCTCAGTTGATAAACAAAAATTTTAAAAGCAACATTTTTGATGTGGTAGGAAGACATTTATATGACATATGCAGCAACTACCTTAAACTGGCAAAAATAACAAAAGAAAAAATTGTTATTTATCCTTTGAATAATGAGTCTCTATTTGCTACAAATCTACAAATATTTTAAATATATTTCCTTCTACTGCAATAAAAATTAAGATAACCTTCTGTTTAACAGCTTTTGAAGATGTTAATTTTATAAGGAAATAAAAAAGATTGACTTGCCTCCTGAATGTGCAGTGATAAACTGAACCCTAATTTCCCTCCCTCAAGAACATAAAAATGATGTAAACTGTATCAAAGTATGTAACAAGTTAATATTAAAAATAATTCTTCATATGGTATTTTGTAATCAATGTAAAAAGAATGTAAAAATGTGTTTTTGCTTGAAGATTTAGTGACTGTCCAAGGAATCACAATTTTTGAGCTTTTATATCGCGAGTACTATGCTATGTGAAAATACTATAGTGCTTCATATAAAAAAGCACAGTGATAAAATTCCACATGTGGCTGGGCACAGTGGCTCAAGCCTGTAATCCCAGCACTTTGGGAGGCTGAAACAGGTGGATCACCTGAGGTCAGGAGTTTGAGATCAGCCTGACCAACATGGTGAAACCCCGTCTCTACTAAAAGTACAAAAATTAGCCGGGCATGGTGGCAGGTGCCTGTAATCCCAGCTACTTGGGAGGCTGAGGCAGGAGGATCACTTTAACCCGGGAGGTGGAGCTTGCAGTGAGCCGAGATCGCGCCACTGCACTTCAGCCTGGGTAACAGAGCAAGACTCCGTCTCAAAACAAACAAACAAACAAAAAAAAACCATATAAACAAATTATCTCATTGTTTTGACTTTAGATTATTCTCTATATTAAACATTCTTGATTAATGTAAAGTTTGAAAATGTTAGTGCCTTTGTACTTTATCGTGGAAATTCTCTGATGTTTATTTAGACTTGATTTTTGAATACTTCTTCACATTTATTGCATTTGAAAAGTTTCCCTAGGAAGAATTCTCTATGAATTCTGGTTATTTCTAAGGTTTATATTTTAGATCAAACTCTTTCTACATCCATTACATGTACAGTATTTCTCTAGTATGAATTATCTGATGTTGAGTAAAGTGTGAACTATAGTTAAAGGCAAAAGAGCACATAGAAAGCAAATGTTTTATTCATTAAGATAAATTAATAATCTGTTTTCTATTTTAAAGAGAGTGTGAAGGATTTTTTTAGCTAGTCATCATCCTTTATTTATTTTTATTTATTTATTTTTTTGAGATGGAGTTTCACTCTTGTTGCCCAGGCTGGAGGGCAATCTCGGCTCACCACAATTTCTGCCTCCTGGATTCAAGCGATTCTCCTGCCTCAGCCTTTTGGGTAGCTGGGATTACAGGCATGCACCACCATGTCTGGCTAATTTTGTATTTTTAGTAGATATGGGGTTTCTCCATGTTGGTCAGGCTGGTCTCGAACTCTCGACCTTAGGGGATCTGCCCGTCTTGGCTTCCCAAAGTGCTGGGATTACAGACATGAGCCACCGCGCCCGGCTGTCGTCATCCTTTATATAGACAGATGAGGGGTCCCTGGGTGCTGGAAAAGGGGTCTCATGCCCACTTAGATATCCAAGAAGGTTCTGGTTGGAATTCTTTCATTTAACACAGAAATACTAAGCACTTAACTTTGTGTAGTTACTTTTCTAGAACCTTGGCATAATTCAATGACTACAGCATTTAGATCTCTGGGCCTCAATTCTATTCAACGAGTTAGACACTCCTTCAAAGTAGACAGACATCATAGCAGGTCATGTCCACAGAATGTGGGATAAGATGCCCAATGGCCTCTTCTAGGTAGGGAGGCAGTCTCTCAGATTCTGACCAAGATGACAGATCCCAGGACTAACTATAACGTGGGTGGAATTTGAGTTCATAATAAGGGCCTCCTGTACCCCAAATATATGGGGGAAATACAAACAACATGGTTGGGAAGAGGCCGAAAGAACCCTGGGCCTCGTGCATCTATGATTCCCATGAGAAGGCTGGAGTCTGGGTGTTCTGCAGAATAAAAGGAGTCAAAGAGGCTGCAGATGGGCCTCAGACCCCCTACCAAGAAGAGAGGAGGCTGGAGCTCCCAGCCAGCCCTTGACAGACCCATCCCCATCACAGTCACATCCCAGCTCTGCCTGTCCCCCTCTATCCCACATCCAGGGGGCCCAGAACTGGAGTTATGATAAGCAGCCTGCCTCTCATAACCCTCCTTCTGTGGGTGTCATACACAGACCTGGCAGGGAGCATGCCTGCCGGTAGTTGAGGGCACTAGTTGAAGAAGCTAAGGTCCCCTCCCCGCCTTGGGCACCTCGGCCTGCGTCATTGCGCTCTGCCTGGCTGCGGCCGCTGTGGCCAACACCTCCCCGGAGCTCCTGGAGAGCGAGGCGAAGAAAGACTCAGCCGGCACAAGGCAAAGGTTCAGCGGGTTGAGGGTTCAAGGACACGGAACGGGTGCCTGGGTGGAAAGCGGTCACCAGGTGTGAGTGTCACCGTGGGGCCAGTGCCCAGTTTTGCTGCCCCCGCTTCCTGAAGATCGCAGCTGGAGCCACCTGGGCGCAGCGTTTGATGTGGCACCTGCAGTGGCCAAAGTGACACCCAACCGTGAGGACGCTGCAGGGAGTCGGCACGGAGACATCTGTCCCCTCTGTCCCAAGGTCCCAGTTCCTGGCCAGCTTTGACCAAAGTGAGAGGCTGGACTTTGGAGTGTGGGTATGAGTGCATGAGCTCATGTCCAGCCCCCCAGTGCTGGGCACGACAAGGTGACACCCTCTAGCGTCACCACTGCCCCCACCCTGCTTTCATACCTGGTGGGCTAATAGGGATGCTGGCAGATGTCCCAGGGCTGTGGGGCCGCTGGCTGTCAAGGTCAGGAAGAACGTGGTGGCTCTTCTAGAAGGGTTTGTGGGGCCAGCAGGGGGAAGGGTGCTCCCATCCCAACCTGCAGGCATAACACGGTCCCCGAGGTGCAACACCTACTGTCCCCAGCTGAGCCGGGCTAAGTGCTGTGCATGCCACCTGCTCCTTACATGTGCCCCAGGCTCCACGCAGTAAGCTGAGAGCAGTGGCTTGGTGGGCGGCTGCCAGGCACCTGCCCACTTGGGACAGCCATTCTAGGGGGACTGAGGCTTCCTCATCCCTAGCCTGGCAGCTTTGCAGGAAGGCTGTCGCCTGATAAGTGGAAGGGGAGGGTTTGGAGAGGGGCAATGGCCCAGCCAACCTGAGTAATTTCCAAGTGAATGAGCTGGGGATCTGGCCCACAAGGTGGGGCTGGTGGTTGGCTTCTGTCTGCAGGAAGCCTGGGACCCCCATCTAACAAAGGAGGACCCAGGCTGGGGTGAAGAAGCTATCAGAGTCACCAGGTGAGTGAACTGCCAATTGGCTAACTTTTTGTAAGTGGTGGCATATCCGGGTATGGAATGGGATTGGGTTAGTAGCCCAATTTAGGGGAGTTAGAGTGTCTCCTAAGGCAGATAAGACAAAAGGTCCCCTTTAATAAAAGGCAAGAACACTTGACAAAACTTGTGGTTGAGGCGCAACTTCAAAAGGTTAGTCTTTTCTAAGATTTAGGGGGTTAGAGTCCTCTCTCAGTAAAGTCCCTCTGAGCTAAGATTAGATTTGGCATTATGGAATGTTAACCACGATTGTCTTTGTGTTTGTTTGTTTTGAGATGGAATCTCGCTCTTGTCGCTCAGGCTGGAGTCCAATGGCGAGATCTCAGCTCACTGCAACCTCTGCCTCCCAGGTTCAAGCGATTCTCCTGCTCAGCCTCCCAAGTAGCTGGGATTACAGGCACACGCCACCAAGCCCAGCTAAGTTTTGTATTTTCAGTAGAGATGGGGTTTCCCCATGTTGGTCAGGCTGGTCTCAAACTCCTGACCTTGTGATCCGCCCCCCTCAGGCTCCCAAAGTCCTGGGATTACAGGCATGAGCCACTGTGCCCATCCCTGTTTTTGGATTAATCTGCCTTGCACTTTTCGCTGATGACTGTGGCTGATAGAATTAGGCGAGTATAGGATCATGGAACAAGTGGAGCTTTTTCCTCCCTAAAGTGGGAAACTTGAGAGCAGATGGGACTGCCAAAAAAGATTCTTTCACAACCAACAAGCGGCCACCTAAACTTTTGATTCAGTGCAATGCATAGGTCTTTCTCAGGCTTTTCTGAGCTCCTCACCTTTCCCACCCTGCCATAGGCAATGCTTCTCTCTCTCTCTCTCTCTCTCTCTCTCTCTCTCTCTCTCTCTCTCTCTCAGAAAGAGAGATACACCAATGGAAGATGGGCTAATTTTCTCTTTTTGGGATCCAGGTTCTAGTATAAAATAATAATCTTAATTTGGAGAGGGATCTGCTTGCCTTCATATATATGTGTATATATATACATATATGTATTTCCCTTTCCTATCTTTTCTGTTACTCTGGGCCACCATCTTTCCCAGAGACCACATGTTGAAACTTCTGGTCAGAAGTTCCTGAAACAGGCCTGGCAAGGTGGCTCACACCTGTAATCCCAGCACTTTGGGAGGCTGAGGCAGGTGGATCACCTGAGGTCAGGAGTTCAAGACCAGCCTGGCCAACATAGTGAAACCTCATTTCTACTAAAAATACAAAAATTAGCCAGGGTGGTGGTAGGCACCTGTAGTCCCAGCTACTCAGGAGGCTGAGGCAGGAAGAACTGCTTGAACCTGGGAGGCAGAGGTTTCAGTGAGCCAACATCACACCATTGCACTCCAGCCTGGGAGACAGAGCAAGACTCACCTTCAAAGGTACAGAAAAGAAGCCCTTGAAACAAACAACAACAAAATGGATGAAGTTTCCCTCTTGTTTTATGTTCTTGGGAGCTTGACCTTGTAGTCATATGGCAATATGTTCTCTTGGTTTCTACCATCCAGCATACAGAAGTTTTAAAATTTATGTTATAGTTAACCCTAAAAATGATCTTGAGCAGTTAAAAACCTTTGCAAGCTCAAAATTGGCTGCTGGAGGCTTCTTCTGGGAGACTCCAGTGGAGACTGCTCAGGGCTGTAGCTCAGTAGCTGGGCTTTGCTGTCTCACAGTGGCAGCCCGAGTTCAGGGTTCAATTTCTGGCTTAGGAAATGAGTCCTTTCTGATTTGATAACTGTGTGAACATTTGTGGATTCTCTTCCCCTCCATGAACTATCTTGGATTTTCCTTTCTCTGAGCTACTTTTAAAGATTTTATATTTTGTAAAAAGTGCTTGCCACCTTTTTGAAAATACCTTGTACACTTGTGGTTAGGTTAATAACCTTAGTTAAAGCTTATTGATTTCAGGAGGCAGAAGTTGCAGTGAGCCGAGTTTGGCCACTGCACTCCAGCCTGGGTGGCAGAGGGAGACTCCATCTCAAAAAAAAAAAAAAATGCTTATTGGTTTCGCCTGGGAGGTTATGTTAGCAGAGTTCAAAAGTCAGAAATATTGACACTTTGGTATGGCCTAAGTCAAGTAATAAGAGAATGAAATAAATTTTTTGCCAGGCTTGGTGGCTCACATCTGTAATGCCAGCACTTTGGGAGGCCAAGGCGGGTAGATCACCTGAGGTTGAAAGATTGAGACCAACTTGACCAATATGGAAAAACCTTGCCTCTACTCAAAATACAAAATTAGCCAGGCATGGTGGTGCATGCCTTTAATCCTAGCTACTCGGTTGGCTGAGGCAGGAGAATTGCTTGAACCTGAGAGCTGGAGGTTGCAGTGAGCTGAGATCACACCATTGCACTCCAGCCTGGGCAATAAGAGCAAAACTCAGTCTCAAAATAAATAAATAAATAAATAAATAAACAAATTTTTTTAAAAAGTGCATCATGGTTAAAATTCAGCTTATTTTTGTAATTTTTTTTTTTTCTGAGATAGTCTTGCTCTGTCACTCAGGCTGGGGTGCAGTGGAGCAATCTTAGCTTACTGCAACCTCCACCTCCTGGGATCAAGCAATCATCCTGCCTCAGCCTCCGGAGTAGCTGGGATTACAGGCACCCATGACCACACTCCACTAATTTTTGTATTTTTCATAGAGATGGGTTTCCACCATGTTGGCCAGGCTGATCTTGAACTCCTGATCTCAAGTGATCTGCCTTCTTCGGCCTCCCAAAGTGCTGGAATTACAGGTGTGAACCACTATGCCTGGCCCAAAAGTTTGCTTAATTAAATGCAGATATTCAAGCTCTAACAGCTGGAACTCCTTGGAAAAAACAGAGGAGATGCCACAATAGGCATTTTGGGAAAAACATCTGTTTTCCTCATGAAACCCCAGGAATTGGAAGTGGATAGATCCCTCTCAAAGTCTAAGGCTCTGTTGCATTTTGCATTGCATTGTCTGATGGTTTTTACTTTCTGGAGTATCAGAAATTACTTCACATTATGAGAGAACTTAGATATGTAATAACTAGGTAGGAAATATACATTGAGTGATGGCTAATGGCAGCTACGGGGGGATACTCGGCTTTTTGCAAATTTGAATCAGAGAAGTGTGCTCTTGGCCACCTAGAAGATATGAAAATGTCCCCTCCCTCTACTGAGAGATAAGATGCCAATGGAAGATGGGCTAATTTTCTCTTTTTGGGATCCAGGTTCTAGCATAAAAATAAGTCTTAATTTGGAGGGATGTGTTTTGCCTTCCAGCTGTGCCTACTTACTAGGCTGTAGAAACTGCTTGTTTTTTGCTTTCCTGGCCCTGTTTCTCTGAGGCATCCACCCTAAAGCCAGGGTGGTAATCCAATTAAAAAACTGACAAAGGAAAAATCTTAAAGGTACTTGATCTTCTTCTTCCAACTATGTATTTATATGTGTTGTGTGTGCAATATGAAAGAGCTTTGAATAATTTGTTTAAAAATAATAAGAGCTTAAAGAAAATATTTTATCAGAAAAATAGAAACCGTGGTGTATTTTACTAAAGTCATGTTTTAGTTTATATGACTTTAGTAATCTTTGGGAAATAAAAATAGTTTTACATGCTAGGTATGTAGAAAAAAGTAAAATGTGTTTTTGGTAAAAGATTACGAGAAGTCATGGGAATGTGGATTACTTTTGGCCTAAATTATAGAGCTGAAGGTTTAACCAAGTTGTGAAAGGTTTGCAAAAAATTAAATCTTGTAAAAGAAATTCTTTGTGTTAACATATTGGCTAAAGTTAAAGGAGTATTCAATTTTTTTATAAATTGAACACTGGAATAAAAGAACAGCTGGTTTCCTTTAGAGCACTAATCTGCTTTTTCACAAAAAATTGTAAAGTGTTATCAAAGGATTATAGGAATCTTAACTTATGATCAAAGTGATTAAGACTAGATAGATTTTCCTATAAGATTTTATTAAGAATTAGGTTTGACATCAATAGTGCACTAATGCAAGGGTGAGATTTAACAAACTGTGAACAAGATTTTCATGTAATATTTAAAAAATGAAAGATTGTTGTCTGCTCTTTTGAATAAACTGGAGCAAAACGAAAAGAAAAAAAAAGATTATTTGGAAAGTGAAGTCTTCCCTCTATTAATGAGTAAAGGTTTTTGCCTGTTTAAATTTTTTTTTTTAAGACAGAGTCCTAGTCTGTCACCCAGGCTGGAGTGCAGTGGTGCAATCTTGGCTTACTGCAACTTCCACCTCCTGGGTTTAAGCAATTCTCTGCCTCAGCCTCCTGAGTAGCTGGGATTACAGGCACATGCCACCACATCCAGCTAATTTTGTATTTTTAGTAGAGACAGGTTTTCACCATCTTGGCGAGGGTGGTCTTGAACTCCTGACCTTGTGATCCACCCGCCTCGGCCTCCCAAAGTACTGGGATTGCAGGTGTTGAGCCACTATACCCGGCCTTAAAATTTTTGAATTATCATTTTGGTTAATGAGTGACTTATGATAATATGGGATTTGATATTTGACAAACTTTTAAAAATCAAATTATAAATTATGTATTTTTCTTACCTAAATATCTTTTAGACATTAGATCTCTTAAAGGACAAAAATGACATTTGGCTTATTTGGTATAAAAATCATACAGGAAGAATTGTCAGAAAGCATTGTCAGGCTGGGCACAGTGGCTCACACCAGAAATCCCAGCACTATGGGAAGCTGAGGAGGGTGGATCACCTGAGGTCAGGAGTAAAAGACCAGCCTGGCCAACATGGTGAAACCCCATCTCTACTAAAAATACAAAAAAATTAGCCAGTTGTGGTGGCAGGCACCTGTAATCCCAGCTACTCAGGAGGCTGAGGCAAGAGAATTGCTTGAACCCAAGAGACGGAGGTTGCAGTGAGCAAGCTGAGATTGCAGCATTGCACTCCAGTCTGGACATCAAGAGCAAAACTATCTCAGAAACAAAAAAGAAAGCATTTGTTCTCAGAGTTAGATAGATACAAGCAGCCCTCCTCCAAAGATTGGTTCTTGATTTCGGTCCCCTATTCACACCCTTTATTGAGATGAGTCTCCACTTTCTCTGTGTATCAAACCCTCCCAATAAATCTAAGATGAAGAGAATGGAGCCAGGCAGTGTGCTGCCCAGGGAATTCTCTAATCCCTGGCCCATAGATAAACCCCATCCATACTCCCTCTCATGCTGCACTACCACCTGTGCCACCAGGGTCAGGTTTTGGTATCAGGATGGTGAAGTCCTCATTAGATGAGTTAGGAGGAGTCCCTCTTTTTCAATCGTTTGGAATAGCTTCAGAAGAAATGGTACCAGCTCCTCTTTGTACCTCTGGCAGAATTTGGCTGTGAAAACATATGGTCCTGGGCTTTTTTTGGTTAACAGGCTATTTATTACTGCCTCAATTTTATAACTTGTTATTGGTTTATTCAAAGATTCAACTTCTTTCAAAAAAATTTCAAAAACAACAGATAAATCTAGAATTTAATAACAGATGTACCATAGTTCTTAAAGCATAATTTTTTTCTCTCTCCAGTCTCCCATTTTACTAAAGACGAATCATGGTATGACCAAGTTGCTTTATTATACTTGGCCTGATTATTTGTATAAAGTGCAGCAAGAATAATTATTTTTACATAGGTTTTAAAAATTGGATTTGATGAAACCTTGTTCCATGAAATGAATCTCAGATAAGACTTTTTAAAGCTGAACCCAGCCATGAGTCTATACCCTCAAATATGAGTTGCATAAATTTCTCTTTTGAGATCATAGGATAACTTGGGGCTCATGAGCCTGTCAGGAAGTGACATTATTTACTTACCACAGGTTAGGAACCCTGTACAGGGACTGTGTAGACAAGGTATAAAGCCAGTTTTCCCAAGGGACCTTTATTGGCTCTACAAGTCATGTTTGATTCCTTAAAGGAAGGCATGCCATTCTAGTCAAAGCCTTGGCAAAATAACTAATTTCTCCAATTGTGTCCTGTTACAGAAGAAAACACTCTTTTGCACTTATGCAAATTATATTGCCATAAGTTAAGAATACTCACAAATAGTTTCCAAATTCTGGAGAAAAACAGGTAGAGAGAAACAAATATGCTCCAAATTTTGTTTACAGAAGTATATTTTACTCAATTGCTAAAAGCTATAAATAGCTCAAAATAAAAGCTTCCTGGACTCTGAAAAACAAAACAAAGAATCAGTAATATTTTAAGCAAAGTAAAAAAAAAGATTACTTCAATCTTATATTAGTTTACTCCATGCAGTTATGTCCTGTTCTGCTTGATATTCATGGACATTTCAGCTCTCCGTGAGAGACCTGAAAGTTTTTTCTTTATTCTAATGCCAAAATTTCCAAATTTATCAGAAACCTGCATTTAAGAGCACCTGTCCACATCCTATAGCTGATTATAAATCACCTTTCAAAGAGGATTAAAACAAGACAACAATTGTCTGTCGATGACAAAGAAGTCTTAGGACAGCCACTATTAAAGCCACAATTGACAGGGAGATTTTGGTTACTTCTGTTGCATACGACAATTTTACATAACAATTATTACTATTAATAACATACATAAGTCATATCAGAATTATAGGAGTTTTCCATTTTTTGAAACACATACCAATAACATATTTATACAAATACAACCCAAGGAAAACCAAACACCATTTCATATTTGACAATGGTTTCTTTCTTTCTTTTTTTTTTTTTTGAGATAGCGTTTCACTCTTGTTGCCTAGACTGGAGTGCAATGCCGCAGTCTTGGCTTGCTGCAACCTGTGCCTCCTGGGTTCAAGTGATTCTCCTGCCTCAGCCTCCTGAGTAGCTGGGATTACAGGTGCCAGCCACCACACCTGGCAATTTTTTTTCTTTTTTGTATTTTTAGTAGAGACAGGGTTTCACCATGTTGGCCAGGCTAGCCTCTAACTCCTAACCTCAGGTGATGCATCCTCCTTGGCCTCCCAAAGTGCTGGGATTACAGGTATCAGCCACTGTACCCAGCCTGACAGTACTTTCTGACAATTCTTGCTGTATGATTTTTATACCAAATAAGCCAAATGTCATTTTTGTACTTTAGGGGACCTAATATCTAAAAGAATTTGGGTAAGAAAAATAAATAATTTATAATTTGATTTTATAAAATGTGTCAAATAGCAAATTCCAGATTATCATAAATCACTCATTAACCAAAATGATAACTCAAAAATTTTAAGAAGGAAAAAACCTTTACTCATTAATAGAGGGAAGACTTCACTTTCCAAACAACCTTTTTTTCCTTTCCTTTTGCTCCAGTTTATTCAAAATGGCAGACAAAAATGTTTCATTTGTAAAATATTACATAAAAATCTTGTTCATGGGAAAAAGCTAAATCTCACCCTTGCATTAGTTGATGTCAAACCTAATTCTTAATAAAATCTTATAGACAAATCTATCCATTCTTAATCAGTTTGACCATATGGTAAGATTCCTATAATCCTTTTATAATACTTTACAATTTTTGTGAAAGAGCAGGTTAGTGCTCTAAGGAAAACCAGTGTACTTTTATTCCAGTGTTCAATTTATAAAAAAACTGAATACCCCTTTAACTTTAGCCAATATGTTAACACAGAGAATTTCTTTCACAAGATTTAATTTTTTACAAACTTTTCACAACTTGATTAAACTTTCAGCACTATTTTACCTAACTTAAAACAATCCTGTTAACCCTTTAATTTAGGCCAAAATAATCCACTTTCCCATGATATCTTTTAATGTTTTACCAAAAGCACATTTTACTTTTTTTACATACCTAGCATGTAAAACAGTTTTTATTTCCCAACGATTACTAAAGTTATGTAAACTAAAATACACCATGGTTTCTATTTTTCTAATAAAATATTTGATTTAATCTCTTATTATTTTTAAACCAATTAATCAAAGCTCTTTCATATTGCACACAAAACACATATAAATACACAGATTTATATGTGTTTTGTATTTTTAGTAGAGACGGGGTTTCTCCATGTTGGCCAGGCTGGTCTGGTCTTCTTCCAGTGCAAGAAGATCAAGTACCTGTAAGATTTTTCATTTGTCAGTTTCTTAATTGGATTACCACTCTGGCTTCAGGGTGGATCCCTAGGAGAAACAGGACCAGGAAAGCAAAAACCAAGCAGTTTCTACAGCTTAATAAGTAGGCACAGCTGGAAGGCAAAACAGATCCTCCAAAATTAAGACTACTATTTTTATACTAGAACCTGGATCCCAAGAAGAGGGAATCAGCCCATCTCCCATTGGCATCTTACCTCTCAGTGCGGGGAGGGAACATTTCCATATCTTCTAGGTGGCCAAGAGCACACTTCACTGATTCAAATGTGCAAAAAGCCGAGTATCCCCCCATAGCTGCCATTCGCCATCCCTAAATGTATATTTCCTAACCACTTATTACATATCTAAATTCTCTCATAATGTGAAGTAATTTCTGATATCCTGGAAAGTAAAAACCATCAGATAATGCAATGCAAAATGGAACAGAGCCTTGGACTTAGAGAGGGATCTATCCACTTCCAATTCCTGGGGTTTCAGGAAGAAAACAGAAGTTTTTCCCAAAATGCCTATTGTGGCACCTCCTCTGTTTTTTCCAAGGACTTCCAGGCTGTTAGAGCTTGAATATCTGCAATTAATTAAGCCAACTTTTGGGCCAGGCACAGTGGCTCATGCCTGTAATCCCAGCACTTTGAGGGGCCAAGGCAGGCGGATCACTCGAGGTCAAGAATTCAAGACCAGCCTGGCCAACGTGGTGAAACCCCGTCTCTACTAAAAATACAAAAATTAGCCGGGTATGGTGGTGAGTGTCTGTAATCCCTGCTACTCAGGAGGCTGAGGCAGGAGAATCGCTTGATCCCAGGAGATGGAGGTTGCAGTGAGCCAAGATTGCACCACTATACTCCAGCCTGAGTAACAGAGCAAGACTCTGTCTCAAAAATAAATAAATAAATAAATAAATAAATAAATAAATAATAATTAAGCCAACTTTTAACCATGATGCTCTTTTTTTTAAAAAAAAATATTTAATTCTCTTATTACTTGACTTTAGCCATGCCAAACCGCCAATATTTCTGACTTTTGAACTTTACTAACATAACCTCCCAGGCAAAACCAATAAGCTTTTTTGTTTTTGTTTCCTGTTTTGTTTTGTTTTGGTTTTTGAGACAGAGTCTCCCTCTGTCGCCCAGGCTGGAGTGCAGTGGCCAAACTCAGCTCACTGCAACCTCCACCTCCTGAAACCAATAAACTTTAACTAAGGTTATTAACCTAACCACAAGTGTACAAGGTATTTTCAAAAAGGTGGCAAGCACTTTTTACAAAATCTAGAATCTTCAAAGGTAGCTCAGAGAAAGGAAAATCCAAAACGGTTCGTGGAGGGGAAGAGAATCAACAAATGTTCACACAGTTATCAAATCAGAAAGGACTCATTTCCTAAGCCAGAAATTGAACCCTGAACTCAGGCTGCCACTGTGAGACAACAAAGCCCAGCTACTGAGCTACAGCACTGAGCAGTCTCCACTGGAGTCTCCCAGAAGAAGCCTCCAGCAGCCAATTTTGAGCTTGCAAAGGTTTTTAACTGCTCAAGATCATTTTTAGGGTTAACTGTAACATAAATTTCAAAATCTCTGTATGCTGGATGGTAGAAACCAAGAGAAAATACTGCCACATGGCTACAAGGTCAAGCTCCCAAGAACATAAAACAAGAGGGAAACTTCATTATTTTGTTGTTGTTTGTTTCAGGGACTTCTTTTTTGTTTCTTTGGTTTTTTTTTGTTTGTTTGTTTTTTTAAGATGGAGTCTCTCCTGTCTCTTGGGCTGGAGTGCAGTGGCACGATCTTGGTTCACTGCATCCTTTGCCTCCCAAGTTCAAGCAATTCTCCCTGCCTCAGCCTCCTGAGTAGCTGAAACTATAGGCACCCACCACCACCCTGGCTAATTTTTGTATTTTTAGTAGAGACGAGTTTTCACCATGTTGGCCAGGCTGGTCTTGAACTCCTGACCTCAGGTGATCCGCCTGCCTGGGCCTCCCAAAGTGCTGGGATTAAAGGCGTGAGCCACCATGCCCAGCCTGTTTCAGGGACTTCTGACCAGAAGTTTCAACATGTGATCTCTGGGCAAGATGGTGGCCC
The DNA here is from genome assembly GCF_000001405.40 of Homo sapiens. NCBI lineage: Eukaryota > Metazoa > Chordata > Mammalia > Primates > Hominidae > Homo > Homo sapiens. Next base: position 64,203,472 of record NC_000007.14, read on the forward strand.
AGAGTAACAGAAAAGATAAGAAGGAGAGAGAGAGAGAGAAAGAAGAGAGAGAGAGAAAAGCGTGGCCTATGGTGGAGCAGGAAAGGTGAGGAGCTCAGGAAAGCCAGAGAAAGACCCACGCATTGCAGTGAATCAAAAGTGTAGGTGATCTCTTGTTGTGAAAGAATCTTTTTCAGCAGTCCCATCTGCTCTCAAGTTTCCCACTTTAGGGAGGAAAAAGCTCCCCACGTTCCATGATCCTGTACTCGCCTAATTCTGTCAGCCACAGCCATTAGCAAAAAGTGCAAGGCAGATTAATCCAAAGACAAGGCCGGGTGCAGTGGCTCATGCCTGTAATCCCAGCACTTTGGGAGGCTGAGGTGGGTGGATCAGCTGAGGTCAGGAGTTTGAGACAAGCCTGGCCAACATGGTGAAATCCCATCTCTACTAAAAATACAAAAATTATCTGGGTGTGGTGGTGGGCGCCTGTAATCCTAGCTGCTCAGGAGGCTGAGGCAGGAGAATCGCTTGAACCTGGGAGGCGGAGGTTGCAGTGAGCCAAGTTCTTGCCATTGCACTCCAGCCTGGGTGACAAGAGTGAGACTCTGTCTCAAAACAAACGAACGAACAAACAAACAAACAAAAAATCACAAAGACAACAGTGGTTAACACTCCATAATGCCAAATCTAATCTTAGCTGAGAGGGACTTTACTGAGAGGGGCCTCTAACCCCCTAAATCTTAGGAAAGACTCTAACCTTTTGAAGTTGTGCCTCAAACACAAGTTTTGTCAAGTATTCTTGCCTTTTATTAAAAGAGACCTTTTATCTTATACGTCTTAGGAGAAACTCTTAACTCCACCCAATCCCATTCTTTACCTGGGTACGCCACCACTTGCAAACTCTTAACTCCACCCAATCCCATTCTTTACCTGGGTACGCCACCACTTGCAAAAAGTTAGCCAACTGGTGATTCAGTCTATTTCCTTTGGGTTGGGGGTTTCCTTAGTTTCGTCCCTTTGTGATTCAATGAAATGAAGCTTCCAGAAATGGTCCCAATCCAGAACCGAAGAGTGGGTTCTTGGATCTCGTATAAGAAAGAATTTAGAGCCAGGGGTGGTGGCTTCTGCCTGTAACTCCGGCAATTTGGGAGGCTGAGGCAGGAGGATCACTTGAGGTCAGGAGTTCGAGACCAGCCTGGCCAACATGGTGAAACCCCCATCTTTACTAAAAATACAAAAATTAGCCGGGCATAGTGGTGCATGCCTATAATCCCAGCTAATCCAGAGGCTGAGGCAGGAGAATCTCTTGAACCCAGGAGGTGGAGGTTGCAGTGAGCCGAGATGGCGCCACTGCACTCCAGCCTGGGTGACAGAGGGGGACTCTGTCTAAAAGAAAAAAAAAGAAAAGAAAGAATTTTGGGTAAGTCTGCAGTGCAAAGCAAAAGCAAATTTATTAGGAAAGTAAAGGAATAGAAGAATGGCTACTCCGTAGGCAGAGCAGCAGTGTGGGCTGCTCAACTAAGGATACTTACAGTTATTTCTCAATTATATGCTAACCAAGGGGTGGATTATTAATGAGTTTTACAAGAAAGGGGTGGGCAAGTCCCAGAACTGAGTGTTTCTCTTCTTTTTAGACCATGTAAGGTAACTTTCTGATGTTGCCATGGCATTCGTTAACTGTCATGGCGCTGGTGGGAATGTCTTTCACATTATAATTAGCGCGTAATGATCAGTGAGGATAATCAGAGGTCACTTTCACTCCCATCTTGGATTTGGTGGATTTTTTGGCTTCTTTACTGCAAACTGTTTTATCAGCAAGGTCTTTGTGAACTGCATCTTGTGCCAATCTCCTATTTACCCTGTGATTTAGAATGCCTGACCTCATGGAAAAGCAGTCCTGTAGGTCTCAGCCCCATTTTACCCAGCACCTATTCCAGATGCAGTTGCTCTGGTTCAAACGCCTCTGATATGGCCACAGAGTGCTGGAATATGGCTGGTCTGAACTGCAATGTGCTGGAAAGGTAAAATACAAGAGTACATTCAAAGATTTAGCTTCAAAAATGTATATGCTTTATTAACCATTACATACTAATCACATAGTAAAATAATAATATTTTGGATATGTTGGGCTGATTAAATTGTTACAGTCAATTCCACCTGTTATTCCACCTGTTTCTTTCTTTTTTATTTTGAGACAGAGTCGCTCCGTCTCTAGGCTGGAGTGCTGTGGCATGATCTCAGCTCCCTGCATTCTCTGCCTCCCGGGATCAAACAATTCTCCTGTCTCAGCCTCCCTAGTAGCTGGGATTGCAAGTGCCTGTCACCACACCCAGCTAATTTTTCTATTTTTGGTGGAGCCGGGGTTTCGCCTTGTCAGCCAGGCTGGTCTCGAACTCCTGACCTCAGGTCGTTCACCACCTAGGCCTCTCAAAGTGCTGGGATTACAGGTGTGAGCCACTGTACCCAGCCCCACCTTTTTCTTTTTACTTTTTAACATTTGGCTACTAGAAAATCCAAAATTTACATGTGGCTCATATTTTACTGCAGAGGATTGCCTCCTTTTTGAAATCTCAGGCTGCCTGCATGTATTAGTCCATTTTCACACTGCTATAAACAAATACCTCACACTGCGTAATTTTTTTAAGTGGTTTAATTGAATCATAGTCCTTCAGGGCTGAAAAATCCTCAAGAAAATTACAATCATGACCATGACAGAAGGTGAAGGGAAAGCAAGGCACATCTCACACGGTGGAAAACGAGAGAGAACCGGGAAGGTGGGGAGGGGAGATGTGCCACATTTTTAAACCATCGGGTATCTTGAGAGCTCCCTTATTATCCCAAGAACAGGATGAGGATAATCCACCCCAATGATCCAATCACCTCTTACACAGTCCCTACCGTGACACATGGGAATTACAATTTTTTTTTTCTTTGAGACGGAGTCTCGCTCTGTCGCCCAGGCTGTAGTGCAATGGTGCCATGTCGGCTCACTGCAACCACCACCTCCTGGGTTCAAGCGATTCTCCTGCCTCAGGCTACCGAGTAGCTGGGACTACAGGCACGCGCTGCCACGCCCGGCTAATTTTTGTATTTTTAGTAGAGACGGGGTTTCACCGTATTGGCCAGGCTGGTTTGGAACTCCGGAACTCGTGATCCGCCTGTCTCGGCCTCCCAAAGTGTTGGGATTACAGGCGTGAGCCACCGCGCACGGACGGGAATTACAATTTGAGATTAGATTTGGGTGGAGCCACGGAGTCAAACCATATCACTGCAAAGGATCCGCAGCAAGGAAGGTCATAAAATCCGAAATTTTAAAATAATTGTCATTATATTATTTCAATTTGTGAATAACTATATTATATATCATTTATAAATGCATATGACGTTATACACAAGGTTAAATGCAAATATCCTCTGGTGTTGGCCTGGCTCAGATCAGGGAAGAAGCCCTGCCTGTAAAGGGTGCAGCTTAGGCTGTTATTTTTGCTTCATTCAGCCTAGCGTCTGATCAAATATTCCGTCACTCAGGGCGTGAAGGGTGGGGCCTGAAACCTTATCCCATCAGGGGCCATATATTAGAAACTGTATAATCAGGCATGCAGCTGGAGAGAACAGGACGCCTCCGTAATTTTACCGGGCCTTTTGTGTTTCTCTGCGTCCAGAGCTCCAGTTCTTCTCTTCACTGCTCTGCGTCCTCTGCTCTTAGAGGTCAAGCCACTGTGGCCTTGTGTCCTGCAGGTATCCGCAGATTTATGGCTAAAAGACCGGGACCCCCTGGAAGCCGAGAAATGGTGAGTGCTGGGTCTGTCATCGTGAGAGAGGGGTGGGAGGTGGTTGGAACCGGCTGAAAGTGGCTGCAGCAGGACCCATACTTCCTCGCAGTCAGCTCCGGAGTCTGAGGACCCAAATCCTCCTTGGCCCAGTTCGGCTGTTAGCCCCCTCCAGCCCTAAGATGGTGCCTGGGCCAGCGGCTGGGACCCTGGGAGTTCTGTCTTTTTCCTCTGCAGTGGCTTTGCCCTGGGCTGGAGCCCTCTCTGGGCAGCTCTGCACTCCCAGCGCCTCATCTCATCCAGATTGTACAGGGATTGGGAAAGTTATCAGGGGAGAATCCTGACACAGGGTGCAGGATTCATAAGTGGTAAGAGCTGTGGTCCCTGGGGTCCCTAGTTCCTCATTTTTCCTTTTAGAGATGTGTGGGAGTCACTGTAAAAATATTAGAGAATTTAATCAAAACGTGATTCAAGAATCATAGAGCGGGCCAGGCGCGGTGGCTCACGCCTGTAATCCCAGCACTTTGGGAGGCCGAGGCGGGCGGATCACGAGGTCAGGTGTTCGAGACCAGCATGACCAACATGGTAAAACCCCATCTCTACTAAAAATACAAAAATTAGCTGGGTGTGGTGGCACGTGCCTGTAGTCCCAGCTACTCGGTAGTCTGAGACAGGAGAATCACCTGAACCCGGGAGGCGGAGGTTGCAGTGAGCCGAGATCGCGCCATTGTACTCCAGCCTGGGCGACAAAGCAAGACTCCACCTCAAAAAAAAAAAGAAGAACCATAGAGCGCCCAGCTATGGCTTGTGGGTTGTGATCCATGGGAGAGACTTGAAGAAAAGTCTGTTATAAGTTGCATGATGAAGCAAACCAAATGCAATAATTGGTTTGGTACAGTTATTTAGTGTTTTTACTTGGAAGATCCAGGTGAAAATTTATTGGTTATGTCATCAGAGATTCATTGGCAGATTGTGGTTGCCTAGGCCCGAATATTTTCTTCAAGATAGTAATCTCCAATAAATGTTTTTTTTTTTTTTTTTTTTTTTTTTTTTTGGAGAGGGAGTCTCACTCTGTCCTCCAGGCTGGAGTGCAGTGGTGCAATCTCACCTCTTTACAACCTCTGCCTCCTGGTTCAAATGATTGTCCTGCCTCAGCCTCCCGAGTAGCTGGAATTACAGGTGTAGGCCACCACGCCCAACTAATTTTTGTATTTTTAGTAGAGACGGGATTTCACCACGTTGGCCAGGTTGGTCTCGAACTTTTGACCTCAGGTGATCTGCCTGCCTCAGCCTCCCAACAGGCTTGGGTTATAGGCATGAGCCACCACACTCAGTCAAGTTTTTTTTCTTTTACCTTTTATTTTAGGTTCAGGAGTACATGTGCAAGTTTGTTATATAGGTAAAATCATATCATGAAGTTTTTGTGTACAGATTATATTATCACTCACGTACTAAGCATAGTACTCAACAGATTTGTTTTCTGATTTTCTTCGTCTTCTGACCCTCCACCCTGAACTGAGCCTCAGTGTCTGTTGTTCTCTTATTTGCATCCATGTATTCTCATTATTTCACTCCCACTTACAAGTGACAACATACAGTTTTTGATTTTCTGCTCCTGCACTAGTTTTCTAAAAATAAATCTCCAGCTCCATCGATGTTGCTGCAAAGGACATGATGTTGTTCTTTCTTATAGCCGCATCATATTTCATGGTGTTTATGTAACACATTTTCTTTATCCAGTCTACCACTGAAGACATACAGGTTTATTTCTGGTTTTTGCTATTGTGAATCATTTTCTGTAATAAACATATGCGTGCATGTGTCTTCATGGTAGAATAACTTACATTTATTGGGTGTATTCCCAATTGTGGTACTGGGAATGGTAATTCTGTTTTCAGGTTTTTGAAAAAATGCCAAACTGTTTTTCTCAATGGTTAAACAAATTTATACTCTCACCAGCAGCGTATAAGCATTCAATTTCTCCACAACCTCACAAGCATCTGTTCCGTTTTTTTTTTTTGACTTTTTAGTCTAATTGTTTTTATTTGAATTATTTCTTTTTTCTTCATTACTCTAGTGTTTTATCTATCTTATTATTTTTACACAGAATCAACTTCTGGTTTTGTTGAACTTTTTTTTTTTTTTTGAGACGGAGCTTCGCTTTCGCCCAGGCTGGAGTGCAGTGGCGTGATCTCGGCTCACTGCAACCTTCGCCTTCCATTTTTCAAGCGATTCTCCTGGGATTACAGGCATGTACCACCATGCCTAGCTAATTTTTGTATTTGTAGTAGAGACGGGGTTTCACCATCTTGGCCAGGCTGGTCTCAAACTCCTGACCTCGTGATTTGCCCGCCTTGGCCTCTGAAAGTGCTGGGATTCCAGGAGTGAGCCGCAGTGCATGGCCTGTTGAACTTTTTTTAGTTATTTAGGTCTCAACTTTCTTCATTTCAGTTCTGATTTTGGTTATTTCTTGACTTTTGCGAGTGTTGAAGTTGGTTTGCTCTTTTGAAATTCTTTTAATTGTAACATTAGATTTTTAAATTGAGATCTTTCTAACTTTTTGATGTGATGTTTAGTGATATACATTTTGTTCTTAACACTGCCTTAGCTGTAACCCTGAGATTCTGGTATGTTGTACTTAATCTCTAATTAGTTTCAAAAATTTTATTTCTGCCTTAATTTCATTATTTACAAAACAGCCATTTGGAAGCTGATTATTCAATTTTTATGTAATTTCATCATTTTGTATGTTTTTTGTATTGAATTATTATTCTATATATTTTCTTTTTAAAATTAATGATAGAGAAACATAAGAATAAATAAAAATGCTGTGCTCTTAATCCAAATGCTAAAAATTATTCAACACTTAGTACCAGCTCCCAGGGTGCTATGAAAATTAAATCACAAAATGTGTTATTCCCAGCACAGTGTTCTGTGATATGCTCCTGAGCACATAGTACCTGCTTAATAAACATTTTATTAGTACATGTGTGCAGGTTTTCCAGGTGCAGATTTACTCAGATATTGCTGCCTTCTGTTTTCTCTGTAAACTTAAAAAAGCCAACAAAAAAATATAGCATTTCAGCATGGTGATTGGTTGTCTTTATTTGTACCAGATGTATTTGTTTTGTGACAAATTTGGTGGGTGTAAGGGACTCTTTGCTGTGCCTGCTTTCTCTCGCTAATGCTAATAATGTGTCTGGGAAAGCACAATCAGCATTTACAGGGGACTTGTTGAAAAAGCCCATTCCTGGACCCTTTTGGATCCTGCAGAATCACTTTGCATAAAGCAGGGCCAAGATTACCAAGTGATTTATAAACTTGAGGGGTTCAAGATACATTCAGGAGAGTTTAGTTCAACCTTTGCATCAAAGGAAGGCTGCACTGCCTGCCCTGTTTCAGTTTGGTAGGAAGAGGTCAGTGCGGTTCGTGCTCCCATTACTGTAAAGAAGATTGCTGGAGTCTGATAGGGGAGGGCAGGGAAAAAGAAACTTATATTTTATTAGTTATGGAGAAGCTCATTGTTCTCTCATTGCTCTTAAATCTTTTCAATTATACACAACAAAAATGGGTGAATGTTTTCTGCAAGTCTCGGTCTTTCTGCCCTTGGGTGTGTGTGGTGGTAGCAGGTGAATAGGTTGTGCTTTAAAGGCATATTCTCAAGATGCAGGTTTGATATGTCCAGAGCATCTTACCTGAAAATACATTTCAGAGAAAGAGGAGGAAAAGAAAAAAATCACTTTTTCTCAGGTGAGCATGTTTCAGATCAAGAGCAGTGTCCACTCTGCCTTTTGGAATGCCATCTGTTTGGAAATTGCAAATTTTTACTTCTGTACTTGTACTGTTGATCCCTAATGAGTTTGTTTCAACTACTTTTTGTGATTTGTATGATAGTCAAGGGGTTCTGAAAAAAATATTTTTTTTCTATATGCTGTAGCGTTCTATACATTCTCTTCATCTTGGATTCTTATATGCAATGCAGAATTCTCACTACAAATTTATAACCTGCAATATTTAAAATGTTCCCATTGTAGCTGTTGAACATGAGAAGGTGTAAATACTCAAGATTTCTATTGAGGAAACACAGTTGTCTTTGGATATTAGTGAAAAGTGAAACATACCTTGTTGAGGTTTCATCTGTGTGCTCTATTAGTTCCATGCAGAACAGGGTTTAGAAAATGTTCATTTAAACAGAATGGCATGTATTACCCAGAAAGTTCTGAAAAAACTATTAGGAGATACTTGCTCTCCAGGGTGCTAAACAAAGACTACTTAAAATTACTATTAAAAATTACACAACAGGGAAGTTATCTGTACCTTCAACTTTGCATAAAACTGATGTTTCTTTATAATTAAATTTAGGTCAGTCACGGTGGCTCAGGCTTGTAATCTCAGCACTTTGGGAGGCTGGGGCAGGCAGATCACATGAGGTCAGGAGTTCGAGGCCCGCCTGGCCAACCTGGTGAAACCCTGTCTCTACTAAAAAAATACAAAAAATAGCCAAGTGTAGTGCCATGCGCCTGTAATCCCAGCTACTTGGGAGGTTGAGGCAGGAGAATTGCTTGACCTCAGGAGGCGGAGGTTGCAGTGACCTGAGATTGCACCATTACACTCTAGCCTGGGCGACAGAGCAAGACTCCATCTCAAAAAAAAAAGAAAAAAGAAAAAAAATATATATATATATATATTTATTTATTTAAATGTAGTTATAATTTACTTTTCTGAGAGGAGAGAAATACCACAGCAGTGATGTTGTGTTGTGTGTGCATCAGCACATAATAAAAATGTGTCCTAATAAAGGTGATAACAATTTTATTCACTTGGTTCAAGATCTCTATGACATTTTTTCCACGATAGAGTTAATTATTATTCTCTTAATTATTAAGTACACTTAGGAGATTTACTAGCCGAAGTGCATAAACGATCACATTTAATCTGGAAGCTGTCCTTTCTTTTTAGATGACTTTTGCATATATTTGTCTTTTAAAGTTGAAGGCTCTTATCTTTATTTACAGGTGAGAGAAACTGGGGAAAACCCAGACTGCCACTTACTGGATGTTTGACAAAATATTCTTACTAGGCTAGAAACATTGGTGAACTTGCTAAAAATTCAGAAATTCAGACTTTATCCCAAATCTCCTGAAACAAAATCTCACAACAAAATATTTAGTTTATTGCACATATTTAGACTTAAGAGGTACCTTCCAACTCATCATGACTGTTTTATCTGAGAAATATACACAGCTTATTCTGTATGATGTAAATATAGCACTGAAAAATAGACATGTCCGACCGGGTGAGGTGGCTCATGCCTGCAATCCCAGCACTTTGGGAGGCAAAGGTGAGTGGATCACGTGAGGTCAGGAGTTCAAGACCTGCCTGGCCAACATGGAGAAACCCCTTCTCTACTAAAAATACAAAAATTAGCCAGGCGTGGTGGCCCATGCCTGTATTCCCAGCTACTCGGGAGACTGAGGCAGGAGAATCGATTGAACCCGAGGCGGAGGTTGCACTGAGCCAAGATCACGCTACTGCACTCCAGTCTGGGCAACAGAGTGAGACTTGGTAAAGAAAAAAAAAAAAAGAAAAGAAAAAAGAAGGACAAGTCCATGTTGATGCCCTTAATTTTATAATTTATCATCCAGAAAATTATCAAAGCTACTGTGGTATTGTGAATCTTATGCTCTCCTCTTTTCTCAGAATTAGAGAATACTTCCATGTTAAAAATTATCTTACTGAGTAATTTCAGTCACTCTTGTAAGTGAGAAACACTTCTTTTTACTCTCTTTTTTAACTTGAGTCAAATAAAAATCTCTGCTTACGGCCATATGGTAAGTGTGTGTTCATGAGGTTTTTCTTTTTTTTTTTCAGGGACTGTTGACATTCAGAGACATAGCTATAGAATTCTCTCTGGCGGAGTGGCAATGCCTGGATCATGCTCAGCAGAATTTATATAGAGATGTGATGTTAGAGAACTACAGAAACCTGTTCTCCCTGGGTGAGGTTAACCTCAATACATAATTCCTAATATATTGCCGTTCTCTCTTTTCTAAGATGATTTTGGTAATTTCTGCTTTGCATGAATGAATTTTAGCTCTCCGATTTAAAGAAAATCTTGGGGATTCATTGGTGTAGATTAAATTCTTCAAGATGTTTTATCTTGACCTGAACTTTTCCCTTTCCTGAGCTTATGTATCTTTTGCTCTAGGTTAGTGGCAATTCCAAAAATGTCATGGCATAAAATAGCGTTGCCAACACCTTAGAATTCAGTTGTCACCAACAATGTTTGATTCAGTAGTACTGAGTAGTGAAAATAAGGACTTACAAATTTAAAATATTTTCTAAATATTGAGAAAGTTCTGTTACAAATAATATTAATTTTCTAGAATTTTCTATTATATCCTTTTTACTGAGCATAATACTAGTTTGGTAATTAAAGAATTCAGCAAGATTTACATGACCAGGCACAGTGGCTCACACCTGTAATCCCAGCACGTTGGGAGGCCGAGGCAGGCAGATCACAAGGTCAGGAGTTCGAGACCAGCCTGGCTAATATGGTGAAACTCCGTCTCTACTAAAAATACAAAAATTAGCTGGGCGTGGTGGTATGTGCCTGTAGTCCCAGCTACTCAGGAGGCTGAGGCAGAAGCATTGCTTGCACCTGGGAAGTGGAGGTTGCAGTGAGCTGAGATCATGCCACTGCACTCCAGCCTGAGCGACAGAGTGAGACTCCATCTCAAAAAATAAATAAATAAATAAGATTTAAGTTACTTTTTTTTCTTAATAAAACAGGTATGACTGTCTCTAAGCCAGACTTGATCGCCTGTCTGGAGCAAAATAAAGAGCCCCAGAATATAAAGAGAAATGAGATGGCAGCCAAACACCCAGGTAGGTGAGAGCAAATGAAGCAGATGACACGGATGAGATGTCCACAAGTCAAGGAGGTAGCCAGTCTTTAAAATGTGGTCTGCAGAGCTGTGCTTTTATGGAAAGAGTTTCTGAGAAGCTTGAGTATTTTTTATTTTTTATTTTTTTTATTTTTTTGCTCTCACATTGGGACACCTTCTGCCCCATGCTGTTAAATTCTCTAAGGATTCTACTTTCATTTCAATAATCTTTCTTCAGGTTCACAGTGTGAGCCAAAGTTTTCTTTATGGCTTATCAGGGACTGCACAAACTGACTACTTTGCCATTGCTTTTGGGGACACACTAATATCTGCATATTTTTGAGAAACTCTATGTTAAACCATTTAAAAAACTTTTTGCATCATGTCTAAAATGTGTGAGAATAGTAATTTCTGTTTCATTGGTGGTTGTCCATTTTTCTGTACATGCCATTCTGTTTTTATTACTGTAGCCTTGAAATATAGTTTAAAGTTTTTTACAATTTTTTTATTTTTTAATTTTATATACGTATTTATTTATTTAAAGGGTGGGTTACGATACTTGCTGTAGGGGGATATGCAAGCAGGGTACCTCATGTCTTCATTTTACTCTGTTGCATATTTTAGATATAGATTCATAAATGGTATTGCTGTATTATATAATAATTTCATTTTTAATTATTTGAAGAACATTCATGATATTTTTTATGATGGCTGCATCTTTTTTCTCATCAATAACTTTCATAGGTTTCAATTTCTTTACATCATCAACATAGTTGGTGTTTTAAAAAAAAATTATAGTGGTCATCCTAATTGATGTAAGGTAATTTTGTTTTGTATTGTTATTTTATTTTGCATTTTTCTATAAATTATTAATTTTGTGCAACCTTTCAAATACTTCTTCCCATTTGTATATCTTTTTATTAAAATTTAGTTTAATCATTTGTCCATTTCTTTTTTCTTTTTTTTTTTTTGAAACAGAGTTTTTCTCTTGTTGCCTAAGCTGGAGTGCAATGGGGCAATTTTGGCTCACAGCAACCTCTGCCTCCCAGATTCAAATGATTCTCCTGCCTCAGTCTCCTGAGTACCTGGGATCAGGGATGTGCCACCATGCCCAGCTAATTTTGTATTTTTAGTAGAGATGGGTTTCGCCATGTTGGTCAGACTGGTCTCGAATTACTGACCTCAGGTGATCTGCCCACCTCAGCCTCCCAAAGTTCTGGGATTACATGAGTGAGCCACTGCACCCGGTTCATTTGTGCATTTCTAAATCAAGTAATTCAATTACTGTTGTCTACTTCTAGGAGTCGTTTATATATTTTCAATATTAAGCCTTATCACATGTGATTTTCAAATATTGTCACCCATTTCTTGGGTGACACTGTCACTCTATTAAATGTTTTATTTGATTGCAGAAATTTTGAAGTTTAGCCCAGTTAAATTTTCCTGTTCTTCTCTTTGTTGCTCATGCATTTGATGACATGTCTAAGAAAATGGTGCCAAGACCAATGTCATGTCTTTCCACTATATTTTTTTCTAAGAGTTTCATTTTTTTTTTTCAGTCCAAGTATTTTGTTTAAAATATTTTTTGTATATGGTGCAATTAAAGCATCCAACTTCATTTTTTCAATGTAGATATCCAGTTTTCAACATTATCTATTGAAGGGTTTATATTTTCTCCATTGTCTGCTCCTGGCAACCTTGTGGCAGATTATTTGGTCATACACAGAAGAGTTCATTGCTGGGCTCCCTATTTTGTTCTATCATGTCTTTATTTGTCTTTGTGTGAATACCACATAGTTATTGTTATTGTTGCTTTTTATTATGTTTTGAAATCATGAAGTATAATGCCTCTGTTTTTCATGTGTGTTTCTCTAGATATAGTTCATAATAAAATTTAAAAATTTTAGGTCAAGCGTGGTGGCTCACACCTGTAATCCCAGCACTTTGGGAGGCTGAGGCGGGTGGATCACGAGGTCAGGAGATCAAGACCATCCTGGCTAACAAGGTGAAAACCCGTCTCTACTAAAAAATACAAAAAATTAACCAGGTGTAGTGGCGGGCACCTATAGTCCCAGCTACTTGGGAGGCTGAGGCAGGAGAATGGCATGAACCCAGGAGGTGGCGCTTGCAGTGAGCCAAGATCGCACCACTTCACTCCAGCCTGAGCAACAGAGTGAGACTCCATCTCAAAAAAAAAAAAATTTAAACAATATTTCAATAATAAATATACTTTTGGAATTTTGATATAGATTATATTAAATTTGTTCACCACTGTGGGATATATTGACATCTTAACAAATTAAGTTGTCACTTAAATATGTTGAGCCTTGAGCAAAAATATTAAATTAGGTTAAATTAAATTATTTGACCCTGTGCAAGAATACATTGAAGAGTGTGTTTATTTCCATATATTTTTGATTTGCCAGTTTTACTTTTTTCTTTTTAGTTTTATTGAGCTTTGATTAGAAAACATACACTGCATGATTTTGCTCTTCTTAAATTTTTTTTTTTTTTGACACAGGGTTTCTCACTCTGTTGCCCAGACTGTAGTGCAGTAGCACAATCTTGGCTCATCACAACCTCAACTTCCTGGACTCAAGTAATCCTTCCACCTTGGCCTCCTGAGTGGCTTGCACTACAGACCTACCCCGACCATACCCAGCTAATTCTCAATTATTTGTAGAGACAGGGTCTCACTGTGTTCCCAAGGCTGGTATCAAAGTTCTTGCCCTGAATGATCCTACCACCTTTGCCTCCCAAAGTACTGGGGTTACACCTGTGAGCCACTGCACCTGGCTGATCTTTTTAAATTTACTAAGACTTATGTGTTCTAACAGAATGTACCAGATGCAAATAAGAATATTGTGTATCCACTTGCTTTTGACTGGAGAGTTCTGTACATGTCTGTTTAGCCTATTTGGTTTGTGATATGGTGTAGGTGCCCTCAAAATCTCATGTTGAAATGTAATCTCCACTGTTGGATGTGGGGCCTAATGAGAGCTGTTTGCATCACGGAGACAAATCCCTCATGAATGACTTGGCACAATCATAGAGTTCTCACACTATTAATTCACATGAGAGCTGGTTGCTTAAAGGAACCTGGCTCCTCCACCTCACACTCGCATCATCTTTCACCATGTGACATGTTTGGTTCTTTTTTGCCTTCCACTGTAATTGCAAGCTTCCTCATATCCTCACCAGAAACAGATGCTGGCATATACTTCTTGTACAGTCTACTGAACTGTGAACCAAAGAAGTCTTTTTCATTATAAAAGTTTTCTATAGCATTGTTTTCTCAGGTTGTTTTCTATAGCATTGCAAAATGAATTCATATACAATACAATGTTCTTCAGGTTTTCTGTTTTTTTTAATTGATTTTTTATTTAAATTTTTTATTTATTATTGAAAGTGAGGTCTTAATGTTTATAATTTTATGTTGCTATTTTATTTCTTGCTTCATTTTTGTCAATATTTGCTTTATATATTTTGAAGTCCTGATGTTATATATGCATATGCATATAGATAGACATAATAGTTACAGATTCCTAGTAAATGGACTCATTTTACTATTATATAATATCAGTCTTTGTCTCATGCTAGTAATGGACTCATTTTCTTTTGTGTGTCTATAAAGATTTTTTCTTTGTGCTACATTGGAGATTTTATAAAACCTCTTAATGTTACAATAGTATATTTTACATTGGTAAAAAAAAATGACTTCAGTTGCATAGAAAAATTTGTCCTCATTATATCTACCCTGTGCTTCTTACTGATCTTGCTAATTGTATCTTTTTATGTTTTATGATTATTTTTATGCTTATATCTTTCAAATTTTAAAGAATAACTAAAAATGTTTTCTGTACAATCACAATAATGCCACAGAATTTTATTTTTTTGTATATGCATATGTTTTTCAGAAAGTTATGTATTTTCATATGATCTTTTTTCATTATATTATTTGAAGTGGAAAGACCTCTTTTCAGCATTTTATTTAGGGCACATGCAGTGCTTATATGCTTTTCCAGCATTTGTTTATTCTGGAAGATCTTTATTTTTTCTTTATTTTGTAGTACATTTTTGCTGGTTATATTTTCACTGTGAAGATTTTTTTTCAGCACTTTGACCATTTTACACAGTTCTTTTCTGACCTGAAATGTTTCTGTTGACAAATTCACTGGTTGTCTCGGAGGACTAGGCTTATAAATAATACCTCATTTTTATCTTGCAGCTCCAAACATTATCTTCTGGTTTGTGATTTTTGAAACTTTGCTTAAATATGTGTTATGGATCTTTTTGTGTATATCCTAGTTTGTTTGTTTAACTTCTTCATTTGTTACATTACTTTTTTCTTACCTTTAAATTATTTCAGTTTTCTTTTCTATGTCCACAATTGTTTATTTTTATTATTCCAACCATTTTGTTGACATTCTCATTTATCTGATGTCTGGTTTTCCATTTTTTTCTCATTGAGCAAAATATGGATTATCTTAAATTTTAAAAATTAATATATACATCTTTATTTTTATAGTTGCTTTTCGAAAATTTTGATTTTTTTGATTGGACCATGTTGCCCAAATATTTTGTATACATTATAATCTTTGGTTGAGATTTAGACATTAACATAAAACTACCTTTCACAATCTTTGTAATGCAGCTCTTTCTTGGCATAGCCTGAAAGCAATTGTCTTGGGTAGAGATTCTGGGAGTCTTGCAAACATGTTCTCAAGATGTGTCTTGTCTGCAATTTTGTATTTATTTTTCAGTTAAGACTTCTTCATATTTCTCCTTACTGGTCAGTAACCACTTTCTACATCTATTTTCTGTCCATGATAGTGCAGTCTTTCTGTTGTTGTAACACTCACTTTTGATCTCAGAAAACTTAAAGCTGTCATTAAAGGCACCATGTTCTTCTACTGGGGATGAGGAAGGGCTGTGTTGGGTAAATGTAGCAGACTTTTCTCTATATATGGTTCTTGACATTGTGGTCACATGGTGCACACACTTACTTTATTTATAAACTTCCAACAAAGGTATTTTGATAACTATGATTTTGTTACATTTATATATCTATGAAGGAATTATGGCCTGTGGTATTTTGATATGCCATTTTGCTAATGTACCTTGAACAATTTTATATATTTGATTTGTACAGTATATTTATCTGAGTCTAGTAAGTGGAGTAACTTGTGATTTTTATGTCTTTCAGTTACATGTTCTCATTTCAACCAAGACCTTCAGCCAGAGCAGAGCATAAAAGATTCACTCCAAAAAGTAATACCAAGAACATATGGAAAATGTGGACATGAGAATTTACAATTAAAAAAATGTTGTAAAAGAGTAGATGAGTGTGAGGTGCACAAAGGAGGTTATAATGACCTTAACCAATGTTTGTCAAATACCCAAAACAAAATATTTCAGACTCATAAATGTGTCAAAGTCTTCAGTAAATTTTCAAATTCCAATAGACACAATGCAAGATATACTGGAAAGAAACATTTGAAATGTAAAAAATATGGCAAATCATTTTGCATGTTTTCACACCTAAATCAACATCAGATAATTCATACTAAGGAGAAGTCCTACAAATGTGAAGAATGTGGCAAATCCTTTAACCACTCCTCAAGCGGTACTACACATAAAAGAATTCTTACTGGAGAGAAACCCTACAGATGTGAGGAATGTGGCAAAGCCTTTAGGTGGCCCTCAAACCTTACTAGACATAAGAGAATTCACACTGGAGAGAAACCCTACGCATGTGAAGAATGTGGCCAAGCCTTTAGGCGCTCCTCAACACTTACTAACCACAAGAGAATTCATACTGGAGAGAGACCCTACAAATGTGAAGAATGTGGCAAAGCCTTTAGCGTATCCTCAGCCCTCATTTACCACAAGAGAATTCATACTGGAGAGAAACCCTACACATGTGAAGAATGTGGCAAAGCCTTTAACTGCTCCTCGACTCTTAAGACACATAAGATAATTCATACTGGAGAGAAACCCTACACATGTGAAGAATGTGGCAGAACCTTTAACTGCTCCTCAACTGTAAAGGCACATAAGAGAATTCATACTGGAGAGAAACCATACAAATGTGAAGAATGTGACAAAGCTTTTAAGTGGCATTCAAGTCTTGCTAAACATAAGATAATTCACACTGGAGAGAAACCCTACAAATGTAAATAATGTGGCAAAGTCCAGCCCTCAGACCTTATAATACATAAAATAATTTATACTGGAAAGAAAGCATTACAAGTGTAGAGAATGTGGCCAAGCCTTTATCTAGTTCCATACCTTAATTGTACATAAGAGAATTCATATTGGACAAAAATCTTATAAATGTAAAAAAATGTAACAAAGCCTTTAACCAACCCTCAAAGCATAATGAACCTAAGAGAATTTATTTAAAAACAGTTTTTTTTTTCTTGAGATGGAGTCTCACTTTTTCATCCAGGCTGAAGTGCAGTGGCATGATCTCAGCTCACTGCAACCTCTACCTCCTGGGTCCAAGTGATTCTTCTGCCTCAGCCTGCCAAGTAGCAGGGACTACAGGCACATGCCACTATGCCTGGATAATTTTTGTATTTTTAGTAGAGATGGGGTTTCACCATGTTGGCCAGGCTGGTCTTGAACTCCAGACCTCAGGTAATCCATCCACGTCAGCATCCCAAAGTGCTGGGGCTACAGGCGGAGGTCACCACACCTGGCCTGCCAGTGGTCTAAACTGAAAATAAGTTGAAGAATTTTGTTCTCATAAATCAAATTTGTATTCTTTTTTACCCTATTTAGATTTTTAAAAAAATTTTGTGGGTAGTTAGCGTGCATACACATGCCAAGACCAGCTCAGTCAGGGAGACCCTAACCCAGTGGCACTAGAGGAATTAAAGACACATACACAGAAATATAGAAGTGTGAAGTGGGAAATCAGGGGTCTCATAGCCTTCAGAGCTGAGAGCCTCGAACAGAGATTTACCCACATATTTATTAAGAACAAGCCAGTCATTAGCATTGTTTCTATAGATATTAAATTAACTAAAAGTATCCCTTATGGGAAATGAAGGGATGGGCCAAATTAAAGGAATAGGTTGGGCTAGTTATCTGCAGCAGGAGCATGTCCTTAAGGCACAGATTGCTCATGCTATTTTTGTGGTTTGAGAACGCCTTTAAGTGGTTTTCCGCCCTGGGCAGGCCAGGTGTTGCTTGCTCTCATTCTTGTAAACCCACAACCTTCCAGCGTGGGCTTTATGGCCATCATGAACATGTCACAGTGCTGCAGAGATTTTGTTTATGGCCAGTTTATGGCCAGATTTTGGGGAGCTTGTTCCCAACATACACACTTACAGCATATATGAGACATTTTAACACAGGCATATATTATTTAATTATCACAGCAGAGTAAATGAGGTATTCCTCATCACGAGCGTGTATTTATCCTTTGTATTACAAACAATCCCATTATACAGTTTTAGTTATTTCAATATGTGCAATTGAATTATTAACCACAGGGTCATTTTATGATCATAAAAATTACATGATTATAATTAATATCCATACATTTCTGAGTCTTGATTAAATATTTTTAAAAACTTGTTTTATATGTATTTTTGTACATGTGCCTCTCTGCTGACAAACAAAAACAGACTTTTAGTTTTGATTTACATAGAGTTACATATACAAACATATTTCTCTAAAGATATATCAGCCAGACACAGTGGCTCATGCCTGTAATCTCAGCACTTTGGGAGGCCTAGTGGGGCAAATAATTTGAGGTCAGGAGTTCAAGACCAGCCTGATCAACATGGTGAAACCCCATCTTTACTAAAAATACAAAAAATTAGCTGGGCGTGGTGATGCGTGCCTGTATTTCCAGCTACTAGGGAGGCTGAGGCAGGAGAATCACTTGATCCTGGGAGGCAGAGGTTGCGGTGAGCCAAGATGCCACCACTGCACTCCAGCCTGGATGACAGAGCAGGACACCGTTTAAAAAAAAAAAGATATACCCTATGTATAAGAAAGTTATGTAGCAAGTGAGTGTGTTTGTGTGTGAGTCTGTATGCATTTTCAGAACAGAAGAACAATATTGAAACAAAAAAGAATATTTTAATAAGGTGGATAATTAACAAAAAACCTGGAAACCTCAGAGATCCTCAAAAAAATAAACCTATATTCTGTGTCTTGTATTGAATTCATTACTGTAAAATCATATCCCACCCAAATCTTATCACAAATTGTAATCCCCACATGTTAAGGGAGGGACTTGGTGGGAGTTGATTGGAACATGAGGGTAATTTTCCCCCATGCTGTTCTCATGATTGTAAGTGAGTTCTCAAAAGATCTAATGGTTGTATAACTGGTGGTTTTTTTCTGCTCTCTCTCCTGCTGCCTAGTGAAGAAGGTACTTGCTTCTCCTTTACCTTCCACTGTAATTGCAGGTTTCCTGAGACCTCCCCAGCCATGCAGAATTGTGAGTAAATTAAACCTCCTTTCTGTATAAATTACCCATTCTCTGGTAGTATCTTTATAGTAGTGTGAAAACAGACTAATACAGAAAATTAATACTGGGAGTTTGGGGCACTATAAAGATAATTGAAAATGTGGAAGTGACTTTGGAAATGGGTAATAGGCAGAGGTTGAAACAGTTTAGAGAGATCAGAAAAAGATAGAAAAATGTGGGAAAGTTTGGAACTTCTTAGAGACTTGTTGAATGCTTTTGACTGAAATGCTAAGAGTGATATAGATGATAAAGTCCAGGCTGAGGTGGTCTCAGATGGAGATGAAAAACTTATGTTTAAAGTGGAAGCAGAACATAAAAGTTTGGAAAGTTGGCAGCCTGATCATGATTTAGAATATAAAACCCCATTTTTTGGAAAGAAATTCGAGGCACTGCAGAAATTTGCAAAAGTAAAGAGAAGCTGAATATTGATAGCCAAGACAATGGGGAAAATGTCTTCAGGTCATGTTAAAGGTCTGAGGCAGGTCCTTCCATCATAGGCCAGGCGCCCTAGGAGGAAACACTGGTTTCATGTTCGAGGTCCAGGGCCCCATTACTCTATGAAGTCTTGGGACTTGGTGCCCTGCATCCCAGCTGCTCCAGATCCAGCTGTGGCTAAAAAGGGCCAAGGTACAGCTTGGGTTATTTCTTTAGAAAGTGCAATCCTCAAACCTTGGTAGCTTCCATGTGGTATTGGGCATGTCAGTGAACATAAGACAAGAGTTGAGCTCTGGGAACCTCTGCCTAGATTTCAGAGGATGGATAAAAATGCCTGGATGTTCAGGCAGAAGTCTTCTACAGGGGCAGAGCCCTCATGGAGAACCAGTAATAGGGCAATGCAGAAGGGAAATGTGGGGTTGGAGCCCTCATGCAGAGTCCCCCCTGAAGCTGTCTACTGGACTTGTGAGAAGGCCTCTATACTCCAGACCCCAGAATGACAGATCCGCCATGAGCTTGCACTGTGCACCTGGAAAAGCCACAGGCATTCAATTCCAGTCCATGAAGGAGCTGCCCAAGGTCATGAGGCCCACCCCTTGCATCAGCATGCCCCACATGTGAGACATGGAGTCAAACGAGATCATCTCAGAGCTTTAAGATTTAATGACTGCCCTGTTGGAATTCAAAATTGCATGAGGCCTGTAGCTCTTTGGTTTTGGCCATTTTCTCCCACTTGAAATGGGATAACTTATCTAAGGCCTGTACCCACACTGTATCTTAGAAGTTTCTACTTTGCTTTTGATTTACAGGCTCATAGGTAGCAGGGACTTGCCTTGTCTCAGATTGGACTTTGGAGTTAGACTTTTGGGTTGATGCTAAAATAAGTTAAGATTTTGGGAGACTCTTGGGAAAGCATGTTTGGTTTTGAAATATATAAAGGGTGTGAGATTTGGAAGGGGCCATGGGCAGAATGATACTCATGGTGTTCTCATGATAGTGAGTGAGTTCTCATGAGATTGGATGGTTTTATAAGTGGTAATTTTTCCTGTTCTTCACTAAGTGAAAAAGATACCTGCTTTTCCTTCACCTTCTGCCATTATTGTAAGGTTCCTGAGGCCTCCCCAGCCATGCTGAACTGTGAGTCAAATTAGCCTCTTTTCTTTATAATTTACCTAGTCTTGGGTGTGTCCTTATAGCAATGTGAGAATGGACTATTAGACACAGTAACTTAATAACAAAGGTATCATTATTATCTTTAATTTACAAAGAAAGAAACAGAGCCAGGGAGAGAAATAACTTGCCAGGGAGAGAAATAATAGCAGAGCCAGTATTAAAAAACAAGCAACTTTGACTCCAGAGATAATACTCTTGAATACAACAATAAAAACCCTGTCAAACAGAAAAGAAGTTACCTTTAACATCCATTCTTAAAAATTTAACAAAAATGAAAATGGATACATTTGTATTGTTATATATGTATATATGTGAATGTATACTATAAATAAGAAATACTTCATACAAGCCAGAAAAAGATAAGTAATTCATGAATAAAATTGAAAAGTAGTTCAATTAATTATTATTTGCAGATGATATCTTTGTTTACTTAGAAAGACAACAAAAGCAACTGAAAGGCAATTTTTGAAATCTATTCAAGTGGGTAGGCAAAATTCTCAAGTGACCCTCAGATTCCCACTTCACTGCACACCTGCTATGTAATCCTTTTCTCTTGAGTGTGACAAAATGTGTGACTGTGGTGGGACATTATTCATGTAATTATGTTACTAATGTATTGGCTTCCTGTTTATCATAAAAGAGATTATCTTGATTAGACTAAACTTAATCAGAGGTCTTTTTAAGAGAAAGAGCACATCATGGAAAAACACCATGATGTGCAGAAAACAGTTTGAGAGCAGAGAACTGCTTTGACCACATATTTACCAGGGTGGAGTTTTTCCCCACCCTAGTAAGCCTGAGGGTACTACAGGAGACCAGGGCATATCTCAGCTCTTATCTCAACCACAGAAGACAGACATTCCCAGAGTGGATGTTTATAGACCACCCCCCAGGAATGCATTCCTTTCCCAGGGTTTTAATATATTAATATTAAAACCTTGCTAGGAAAAGAATTTAGTGATATCTCTCCTACTTGCATGTCCATTTATAGGCTCTCTGCAAGAAGAAAAATATGGCTCTTTTTGCCCAACCCTGCAGGCAGTTAGACCTTATGGTTGTCTTCCCTTGTTCCCTAAAAATCACTGTTATTCTGTTCTTTTTCAAGGTGCACTGATTTCATATTGTTCAAACACACATGTTTTACAATCAATTTGTACAGTTAACACAACTATCACAGTAGTCCTGAGGTGACATACATCCTCATCTTACAAAGATAATAGGATTAAGAGATTAAAGACAGGCATAAGAAATTATAAAAGTATTATTTAGGAACTGATAAATGTCCATATTAAAATGAAATCTTCAAAATTTTTGTTCCTCTACTGCGGCTCCAGCTGGTCCCTCCGTTCAGGGTCCCTGACTTCCCGCAACAGGTCAGGAGTTCAATACTAGCCTGGCCAACATGGTGAAACCCTGTCTCTACTGAAAATACAAAAAAATTAGCTGGGCATGGTGGAGCATGCCTGTAGTCCCAGCTACTCAGGAGGCTGAGGCAAGAGAATGACTTTGACCTTCCAGGTGAAGGTTGCAGTGAGCCAAGATCACACCATTACACTCTAGCCTGGGCGACAGAGTAAGACTCCATCTGGGGAAAAAAAGAAAAAGAAAAGAAGTATGTCAGAATGCCCTTTGTTGACAGATCCCAGACAAGACAGTCACATCACCTAATTGTTGGGGCCAATGATATGTCACAATTATCCATGTGGGCAGGGCCCAGAAAAAAAGGATAGTCAAATCATCTAAGTGCTGAGCTCATTGATATGTCACAAGTGTTGCTGTAGGCAGGCCCCATGTAGAAGAGGAGAATCACATCACTTAGGTGCTGGGTGCAGTGTAATATCACTATCTTTCTGAGAACAGGGCCCAGGCACATGAGTCACACCTCTTTGGTTCTTGGCCCAGGTATCTGTCACAATTTTATTTGTGAACTGGGCCATCTGGAGAGTCAAATTACTCACATGTTGGACAAAGTTATATGTCATAATAACACTGTGGAAAGGTCCAGTGATAAGTTCCACCATCCTGCACATGTCTTGACTCCAGGTAAAAAATTCATCATTGTGCTTGTAATTTGGTCCCAGGTATATGGCACAATACAACCTGTGGGGAGGAAGAGGCCAGAAAAGACACATCACTTGGGTGCTGGTCCAGAAATATGTCACAATCCCCCTTGTAGGCAGAACCCTGGCAGAAGAGTCACATCACTTGGCTGCTGGGCCCAGTGATATATCAAAATCCCCCCTGTAGGCAGAGCTTAGGCAGGAAAGGGGAATCACTTCACCTAAGTAATTAGCCTAGACAGGTTTCACAGTGGCCCCCATGGGCACAGCCAAGGCAGGAGAGTGACATCACCTTGCTGCCAGGCTCAGCAATGGGTCACAATCTCTCCAGTGGGCAGGAACTAGGCAAGAGGAGAATCACATCACCTAGGTGCTGGGCTAAGTGATATGTTCCAATGCTTCCTGTAGGAAGAACTCAGTCAGGAGAGTCACATTACGTGGGTGCAGTACCCAGCTAAATGTCACAGTGCACTCTAAGTGCAGAGCCAAGGCAGTAGAAGTCACATCACCTGTGTAATGAACCCAGAAATAAGTCACAATGCTTTTTGTAGGCAGGGAGCAGGCAGGGGAGTCACAGGACCTGGGTTGATGCTGGTTGCTATGAAATGTAAAAATGCCCTTGGCAGGCAGGGCCCAGGAAGGAGTTTCACATTACTTAGGTGGGTGGTCCATGTATATGTCACAATTTTATCTGTGGGCTGGGCCTAGGAAACAGTCAGATCACTCAGGTTCTGGGCAAAGGTATATTTCCCAATCACACACTTGGGAATGTACAGAAATGAGTTTCACAGTTTCACACGAGTCCTGGCTTCATGTATGAGAGGCAACCCCTCTTGTGAGTGGGGTTCAAGTAAAGGAGATACAGTCTCAACAATGCACAAAATGCATGCACAACAGCCCCAATCTCACCTGCAGATTGTGTTCCAATAGGGAACTCACAGCCTCACAGGTCTGCCGAATCATGGTTCGAGAGTCACCAAACCACCTGGAAACCAGATCCACATATGAGAGTAATAAATCCAACTTGCAACTGTTTTTATGTGTGAGATTAAGTGCCTCATTCGTAGGCTCTGTTTATCTGTAAGAATGAGGAAGAGTCTGTCGGCTGGGTCTGCATACAAGAGTCACAATCTCAGCTGTTAGCTAGGCCTTGTTATCACCTCTATCACTCTAGGGCTTCCTATGATAGTCCTGAGTGTTGTAATGTTCTGTGAACTTTATACAAGTAGGAGACCCAGGACATTACCTATGGCCTAAGCCTGGCTACAAAAGTCAAAATATCTCCCACTGTCTGTGTCCAGGTAAGAGAGTCATCATTGTGGTTGTGAGCTGGGCCCAGGTATATGCCACAATTTCACCTGCCGGCAAGAACAAAACAGGAGAATCACATCACCTGGGTGCTAGATCCAGTGATATGTCACAATGCCCACTGTAGGCAGGGCACAGGCAGGAGAGTCACATCATCTGAGTTCTTGGCTCAGCAGTATGTCACAATCCCTTCTGTAAGTAGGGCCCAGAGAGCAAGAAAAATCACATTACCTAGCTGCTGAGCCTGGCAATGTCACAATGCTCCCTGTTAACAGGGCCCAGGAAAGAGCACAGAGTCATATCACACAGCTGATTGGCCCAGAAATTTGTCAAAATCTTCACTGGTGGCAGGGCACAGGAAGAAAAGCAGAGTCACATTACCTAGGTGATGGACCCAGCCAAATGTCATGAACTTGCCTGTAAGCAGGGTCCAGGCAGGACAGGAGAGTCACATTACCTAGGTTATGGGCCCAGAGAGATTTCACAATTTCTACTGAGACCAGGGTCCTGGAATGAGAGAAAAGTTATACCACTTCTGTGAGGTGTCCAGAGGTATGTCACAGTGACCCCTTTGGCCTTGCCCACACAGGAAATGGAAGTCATATCACCTAGGTAATAAACCCAGAGTCATGTCACAATTTTTCCTGAAGGCAGGGCCAAGGCAGGAGAGTCACATCACCTAGGTTCTTGGCCCAGCAATATGTCACAATCCCTTCTAAATGCACAAGCAGGAAAGAAGAGTCACATAACTTAGGTACTGGGCACAGAAATATGCCACAATCCCCAATGGAGGCCAAGACAAGGCAAGTCAGTAGAGTCACATCACATAGGTGATAAGTCCAAAGATATGTCACAATGTACCCTGTGGTAAGGCCTGGGCTGGAGAGTTATATCACCTAGGTACTTGATCCAGGTATATGTCACATTCCCAACTGTTGGCTGGGCCCAAGCAAATTAGTAAAATAAATTAGGTGCTGTGTGAAAGTATACGCCACAATCACACCTGCGGGAAGGACCAGGAATAAATTTCACAATTCTACGTATTTCCCAGCTTTAGGTCTGAGAGTCTACACTTCTGGTGAGTTGCATCCAAATACACGAGACACAGTCTTAACACTGGACAGGATCCGTGCACGAGAGCTCCATCTCCACCTGCAAACAGAGTCCTCATAAGATAGGCACAGCCTCACCAGGGTGCTGAATCTTGGTCTCAGAGTCACTATCCTACCTGTTGATCAGATGCATGTATGTGAGTCAAACTTTCAACTTTTCATTGCCTCTGGGCATGAGATTCAGAACCTCAACAGTGAGCTGTGTCCATATGGGAGAGTGACCATCCTTATTGTTGGCTAGGTATGCATAGGAGATTCACAATTTCCTCTATGTTTTTGGCTCTGTTATGACACTCTTTGTACCATTTGAGATCTTCACACAACATGCTTGAGAGTGGAATTCTGCTCTGAGAACTTTATGTTTTTATGGATCCAAGATCTTACCCGTTACCCTAAGCCCAGGCAGAAGTTAACACATTTTCTCTTGCCTGGGTCCAGGTATGAGAGTCATCACCATGTTTGTGAGCTGGGCCCAGAAATGAGTCAGAATCTTACCTGTGGTCAGGTATTACAGTATTACAGAGAGTGTCAACACAGCCCAATACAAAGTTGCGTACAGTATAATAGGGCATTATACTGTACGCATGAGTGTTGTGATTTTTTTGTGACCTTTGTACAGTTAGAAAACCCAGAACCATCCCCATTTTCCCAAGCGTAACAGTGAGACAACGTCTCTTCTATTAGCTTGGTCCAAGTATAAGAGACAACACTGTGCCTGTGAGTTAGTCAAGAAATGACTTCCCCTTTGACCTGTGGCCACATCCACATACGACAGTCACGATTCCAACTGTGGTCTGCATCCATATGTGAGATTTATAACCTCACCAGTGGGCTGTGTCTAGGTTTAAGAGTGATAATCCCATTGTTGGCTGGATGTGCCTATGAGAGTCACAATCTCTCCTGCTTGTTGGACTGCATTATGACACAGCTCATAAAACTCATGGACTTTATAAAATATTTATGTCATATTTCCTGTGACCTTTTATAAGGAAATGCAGACCCTTACCTGTGTCCCTAAATCTAGCCAGGGGAGTAAAAAATCTGTTGTATTTGCTGGGTCTATGTATGAGAGTCATCATCATGTCTGCTAACTGGGCCTGGGTATATGTAACAATTTCACTTCAGAGTGTGGATCAGGTAAAACAGTCATATCATCTGAATTCAGGGCCAGGGATATGTCAGCATTCTCCTTGTGTGCAGTGCCATGGCAGGAAAGCCACATCACCTGAGTTCTGGGCTTAGTGATATGTTACAACACATGCTGCGAACATAAGAGGATAGTCACATCGCTTAAATGTTGGGCCCAGAAATGTCACAATTCCCACTGTCGGCATGGCCCAGGCAGGAGGGTAACATCATTTGGGTGCAGGATCCAGCGATATGTTACAATTCTTACTGGAAGCAGGACCCAGGCAGAAGGGAAGAGTAACATCACCTAGGTGATGGGTCTAAAAATATACTATGATTTCCCCTGTGGGCCACACTCAGGCAGAAAAAGATGGTAACATAACCCAGGTGATATACCCAGAGATATGTCCAAATTTCCCCTAAGAAAAGGGCCAAGAGGCCGGGCGCGGTGGCTCACGCCTGTAATCCCAGCACTTTGGGAGGCCGAGGCGGGTGGATCATGAGGTCAGGAGATCGAGACCATCCTGGCTAACAAGGTGAAACCCCGTCTCTACTAAAAATACAAAAAATTAGCCGGGCGCGGTGGCGGGCGCCTGTAGTCCCAGCTACTGGGGAGGCTGAGGCAGGAGAATGGCGTGAACCCGGGAAGCGGAGCTTGCAGTGAGCCGAGATTGCGCCACTGCAGTCCGCAGTCTGGCCTGGGCGACAGAGCGAGACTCCGTCTCAAAAAAAAAAAAAAAAAGAAAAAGAAAAGGGCCAAGAACAGGAGAGTAATATCACCAAGGTGTAGCCCAAATATATGTCACTGTCTCGTGTGTTTTATCCAGGCAAAATAATCAAATATCATGAGCTGGGCCAAGGTATATGTCACAATCACACCTGCAGGAATGTCCAGAGATTAGATTCACAATCTCACATTGGTCCCAACACCAGGTATGGGAGTAAACACTTGAGAGTTGGGTACAAGTTTGCAAGTCAGAATCTCAGTGGTGATCTGGATTCCTGCATGAGAGCCCCAAGACCCCTGCAGACCTTTTCCTGGTAGAATAGTAACAGCCTCACACGTGTGCTGAATATATGAAAGTCATCATCTTTTTCTGTGGAACAGATTCACATATAAGAGTCACAGTTCCAACTTTTGACTGTCTCTGAGCAGAAGATTCAGAAGCTCAGCAGTGACTGGGCTGTGTCCATGTGGCAAAGTGACAATCCTGACTGTTGGCCGTGCCTATGAGAGTCACAGTCCCATCTGTGTGCTGAGCCCTGTTATGACACTCTCTGTGCCACTCAGGAACTTTATAAAATATGCATATGAGTGTTGTAATCTCTGACCTTACTACAAGTAAAAGACCCAGTAGATTGCCTATTACCATAAGACTATTTGGAAGAGTCAAAATCTTTTCTATTGTCTTGGTCCAGGTAAGAGAGTCATCATTATGCCTGTGAGTTGGGCTTAAGTGTATGTCACAATCTCACATATGGGCAGGGACCAGGCAGAAGTTCACATCACCTTAGTGCTAGGCAAGGAATATGCCAATATTTCCCTTGTGAGCAGGGCCCAGGAGGAGAGTTACATCAACTGGGATCTTGGCTCAGTGATATGAACAATTTCTTCTGTAGGCCGAGCCCAGGCAGGAAAAGAGAGTCAACATCATGTAGGTGCTAGGCAAAGCATTATGTCTCAATGTCCCCTTTAATCTTGGCTTAGGCCAGGGAGCAGAGTCATGTCACATAGTTTATGGGCTCATTAATATGTCACAATCTTCAGTGGGGCTTGGCCCAGCTGGGAGTGTAGAGTCACATCTCCTAGGTGATGAACCCAGAGATCTGTCACAATGCCTTCTATAAGTTGAGCCTAGAAAGAAAGGGAGAGTCACATCACTAGGTGATTGGCCCAGAGATATGTAAAAATTTCTCCTGAAGGCGGGGCCCAGGCAGGAGCATCACATCACCTATGTAGCCCAAGTATATGTCACAATTTCAACTATTGGCTGGGCCCAGGCAAAAAAGTAAAAGCAGTCAGGTGCTAGGCAAAGGTAGATGTCACAATCGCACTTGCAGAAAGATCCAGAAATAAAATTTCTAATCTTGCAAATGTCCCAGCTGGAGGTATGGGAGTCAACGTCTCCTGTGAGTTGAGTCTATGCATGCAATTCACAATCTCAACAGTGGACAGGATCCATACATAAGAGCTTCAACTCCACCTGCACACAGTGTCTTAGTAGGGCAGAGACACCCTAGCAGGAATGCTGAAGTTTTGTCCAAGAGCTGAGGCAGGAGAATTGCTTGAACCTGGGAGGTGGAGGTTGCAGTGAGCAGAGATGGTGAGACTGCACTTCATCCTGGGCGACAGAGTGAATCTCCCAGGTTTGAGACTGAGAACCTCAAGAGTGGGCTGTATGCATGTGTTGAGGGTGAAAATCTTAATTGTTGGCTAGGTGTACCTATGGGAGTCACAATTTCACATGTGCACTGGCCTGTTACAACATCTTTGTACCACCCAAGGTCTTTGTAAAATATGCATGAGCATCCTAATAGTCTGTGACCTCTCTACATGTAGAATACTCAGGAGCATACCTGTTGTAATAAGCCTAACTACAATTAAAATCTCTCTTATTGGCTGGGTCCATCTATGACAGTTATCATCATGCCTGTGAGCTGGGCCTAGATATATGTCAATCCCATCAGTGGGCAGGAACCAGGTAGGTGAGTCACGTTACCTTGGTTCTGTGCCAGGGATATGTCACAATACCCACTGTAAGCAGAATGCAGGCAGGCATGTGGGTGCTTGGCCCCGTGATATGGTTTAGTCTTTTCTGTAGACAAGGCCCAGGCAGAAAGGGAAAGTCATATTATTTGGGTGCTGGGCCCAGTGATTTTCACAATCCCCTTTGTAATCAGGGCCCAGGCAGGAGAGAAGAGTCATATCGCCTAGATAATGGGCCTGGTGATATGTCACAATCTTCACTTGGGGCAGGGCTAAAAGGGGAGAGTCACATTACCCATGTGATGGGCTCAGAAATATGTTTCACTGCTGCCTGTAGACAGGTCCTAGGGAACAGAAGTAAGTCACATTCCTAAATGTTTAATCCAGAGGTATGTCACAATACCCCTTAAGGGCAGGGCCCAAGAAATAGAGTCATAGGCTGGGTGTGCTGGTTCACCCCTGTAATCCTGGCACTTTGGGATGCTGAGGCAGGCAGATCGCCTGAGGTCAGGAGTTCAAGACCAGCTGGCCAATATGGTAAAAACCCCGTGTCTACTAAAAATACAAAAATTAGCTGGGAGTGGTGGTATGCACCTGTAATCCCAGGTACTTGGGAGGCTGAGGCAGGAGAATCACTTGAATCCGGGAGGAGGTTGTGGTGAGCCAAGATCGCCCCACTGCCCCACTCCAGCTTGAGTGACAAAGTCAGACTCTGTCTCAAAACAAATAAACAAAAAAAAAAAAAAAGAAAGAAAGAAATAGAGTCATAGACCAGCTTGGGCAACACGGGGAGACCTCGTCGTTAAGAAAAATTTAAAAATTAAGCTGGGCATGGAGGCGTGCTCTTGTAGTCCTAGCTATTGGGAGGCTGAGGTGGGAGGATTGCTTGAGTCTGGGAGGTTGAGGCTGCAGTGAGTCGAGATGGCGCCACTGCACTCCAGCCTGGATGACAGAGTGAGACTCTGTCTCAAGAAAAACAAAACAAAAAACAAAAAACCTTTTTCCTCTCAGTTAGGATCTGGTTTCCATCCTCCTAGTCACCCTTTCAGGTCTTTGCTTCCGTGTAACCTGCTTGGGGCAGTGCTCCTCCCCCAACCTCGGTGTTCCTGTGATACTAGGTACTTCCATTCATTCCATCCATAACAGGGGAAGGTGGAATAAGGAAACCACCTTCACCTTCATTCCCAATTGCAAGACAAATGCTTGGGAGTAGGGTGGTCTTGATTTAAGGATTTAATCTGGTAGATCCTTACAGGCAGTGACAGCAAAGCCTTAGCCAAATCATCAGAAGTGCAAAAGGTCTACTCTGGAGATGGGGAAAATGGAATCCGTGTACATAAGAAAAAGGAGACACAGGGCTGGCTTGTGAGAAACAAGAACGAAGTAAGCCACTGAGAGACGGGACACTGGAAAAGAGAGAAGAAAGAGAGTCAAGAAGGATGAAGGAGCTCTGAGAAGTGAGATGCTCGGTGCTACTGGGAAGAGGATAGAGGGGTGGCTCAAACCCTCATTAGAATCAACTGCTGCTCCCACCAACACCACAGCGACTGGGTGTTTGTTTCAAGAATAGAACAGGGCTGTTCCAGATCCGGGCTGCCGTGAGACCTAACAGGGACCCTTCATGGGGACAGCAAGAAGGTTCACTGACTGACCCAATTCAGAGGAAGGAGGAACCTGACCTTCAAAATCACTATGACCATCAGAATGCCTTAGAAGATCAAAGAAATACTGGAGTGGGTGTGAGACTTTTAACAAATGTGTGCACTCAAACAGTGCAAAGGCAAACCTCCTGGTGGGTAATCAGAATTCAGACCCCACCTCTAGAGAGCTTTCTCTGGCCAGCAGCAGAGGAGGAAGTCAGAGATTCAAAGTAGGCTGGAGATGCGATGCACTTTTGCTGACTTTGAAGATGGAGGGAGCAAATTGAGTAAAATGTGGGGGGACATCTACTTACAGAGAGCGGGTCCTAGCTAGCAGCGAGCAAGGGAACAAGGATCCCAGTCCTACAACCATGAGGAATTGGAAATTGGCAACAACCAGAATGGGTTTAGAAATGGGTTCTTCCCAGCACCTCTAGATGAGAGCCCAGCCTGGTTGATATACTGACTTCAGCGTTGTGAAAACCAAAGCATAGAGCCCAACGGAGTCTTCTGGACCCTGAACCATAAGTTCTACAGGACTACGAGCTAGCAAATGGGTGTGTTCTAAGCCACTACATTTGTGGGGACTTGTTATGGAGCAATAGAAGACTAATATACCTCTCATGTCCTGCCCAGTGGTGACCTCAGCAGCACTTTCTAGGTCTAGGGGACTCATATAATATACTTTTTTTTCAAGACAGAGTCTCGCTCTGTCACCCAGGCTGGGGTGCTATGGCACAATCTCAGCTCACTGAAACCTCTACCTCCAGGGTTCAAGCGATTCTTGCGCCTCAGCCTCTCGAGTAGCTGGGACTACAGGCATGTGCCACCATGCCTGGCTAATTTTTGTATTTTTTCTAGAGACAGGGTTTCGCCATGTTGGCCAGGCTGGTCTTAAACTCCTGACCTCAGGTGATACACCTGCTTCAGCCTCCCGAAGTGCTGGGATTACAGGTGTAAGCCACTGAGCCCGGCCATATCAACTTTTTAAATTATAATTTAATAAAATGAGAAATCAATAGCCAAAGAAAAATTTAAAAACTCACAAATATGTGGATAGTAAACAACATGTTCCTGAACAACCCATGGGCCAAAGAGAAAAACCAAAGGGAAATCAGAAAGTATATTGACAAAAAAAGAAAATAGAAACAACATACAATAACTTCTGAGATACAAAAAAAAAAAGACAAACCCACAAAACAGTTCTAAAACATAAATTTATAGTGCTATATTGCTATATTAAGAAAAAGGAAAAGATGTCAAATAAAAAACATAACTTTAATCCACAAAATACTTGAAAAAGAACAACTAAATAATCCCAGCATTAGCATAACAAAAAAAAATAGGCCAGGCTAGGTGGCTCATGCCTGTAATCCCAGCACTTTGAAAGGCCGATGTGGGTGGATCACCTAAGGTCAGGAGATCAAGACCAGGTTGCCCAAAATGGTGAAACCCTGTCTTTACTAAAACTACAAAAATTAGCCAGGCACGGTGGCACAAGCCTGTAATTCCAGCTACTCAGGAGACTGAGGCAGAAGCATCGCTGGAACCCAAGAGGCAGAGGTTGCCATGAGCCGAGATCATGCCACTGCACTCCAGCCTGGGCGACAAGAGCGAAACCCCGTCAAGAAAGAAAGAAAGAAAGAAAGAAAGAGACAGAGAGAGAGAGAAAGGAAGGAAGGAAAGAAGAAAAAGGAATAAAAATTAGAGCAGAGATAGATTTCATAGATACTTAAAAGACACAAAAAAGATAAGAAGCAGAGAAAGAATTTACATATAAAATGTATCTAAATAAAAAAAATTTCTTTTTTTAAAAAAGAAGAGGCCGGGCGTGGTGCCTCACGCCTGTAATCCCAACACTGTGGGAGGCCAAGGTGGGTGGATCATGAGGTCAGGAGTTCAAGACCAGCCTGACCAACATGGTGAAACCCTGTCTCTACTAAAAATACAAAAATTAGCCTGGTGTGGTGGCTCACACCTGTAATCCCAGCTACTCAGGAGGCTGAGGCAGGAGAATTGCTTGAACTCAGTAGGCAGAAGTTGCAGTGAGCTGAGATTGAGCCATCGCACTCCAGCCTGGGCAACAGGATGAGACTCTGTCAAAAAAAAGGAGTAAATTCTTTTTTTTATTTTTAAGTTGAATGATTGTCTTATTTTTATTTTGTATTTACGCTTACAATAAGCAGGCCCAAAAAATTTATCCTGAATTCATCGTCATTTGATTTCCAGTAGGGTTTGTATTTAGGCACCAGAGGTGTGGTTTTGAGTTTGTAAAAGAGCGTTTGTGGGGGGAAAAAAAAAAGGGCAGAATAAGAGAACCTGATATAAAAAGTCTATGGGGGCAGGGCTCAGTGCCTCACTCCTGTAATCCCAGCACTTTGTGGAGGCTGAGGTGGGTGGATCACCTAAGGTCAGGAGTTTGAGACCAGCCTGGCCAAAATGGCGAAACCTCATCTCTTAAAAATACAAAAATTAGCCAGGTGTAGTGCACGCACTTGTACTTCCAGCTGCTTGGGAGGCTGAAGCAGAAGCATCACTGAAACTCAGGAGGCAGAGGTTGCCGTGAGCCAAGATCCTGTCATTGCACTCCAGCCTGGGCGACAAGAGTGAAACTCGAAAGGAAAGGAAAGGAGAAGGAAAGAAAAAGAAAGAAAGAAAGAGAAAGAAGGAAAAAAGGAGAGAAAGAAACAAAAGAAAGAAAAAAAGAAAGAAGAAAGAGAAAGAAAGAAAAAAAGAAAAAGAAAAAAAGAAAGAAAGAAAGAAGAAAGAAAGAAAGAAAGAAAGAAAGAAAGAAAGAAAGAAAGAAAGAAAGAAAAAGAAAGAAAGAAAGAAAGAAAGAAAAAGAAAGAAAGAAAGAAAGAAACCTATGGGTAGGGAACAGTACACAGTTGGTGAAAAGACTGGTTAGGGCTACAGAGACTGGTCCAGGCAAGATAGCTCTGACTTATAAATGTGTGCATGCAGGCAGATGGGAGGGATGGATGACCCAGAATCCTAGGCTAGTGGAGAAAACGGGTCACTGGTGCAGATTCAAGATCTGGGCATAAAAAGAAACCATGAGTCCTCTGGGCACTTACGTAGCCTATAGGTGGAAAACTCTAGCAACAGAAGTAATTTCAGCACAATTTCTGAAGGTGAAGCCTTGTCATGGGAGGACTGTAGCTACATCACTGCCCAGGGTGCATGGGTGTGAGTGTGCAGGAATCACTTTCTAGCAGCCAGGTGGGGAGAGGAGTCCGCCCTCAGAACTGCTTTCCTTTGAGTTCTCAGTTCCCCCTGAACCCGGATGAGACATGGAATCACAGGACAATTCACAGCGCAACAGCTTGTGTGCTGAAGAATAGAGTCTCCATTCCCCAAAAGACTCACAGTCTCCCTCCAGCCAAGGCTGCAGTGATGTCTTTCTTTTTAGACCAAACACACGGCATTTGCTGACACCAGCCAACTATTCAACACCAACTGGGTGTTCAACAACTCAATTCTGACAGAATCAAGAGTCATCATGGACCCAACCACATCAGGACTCAGTTCCTCAATACAGTCCCCAGTGCACACACCAGTGACGGGCACCATGGGCCCATCTATGCCTATAAGCAGCTATCTATAAATTATGGGCTTTTTATAACTTCTCCCTGAAGTTTAATAATTTGATAAACCTACTCATAAATTTGATAGAACTTTACCAGGTTATTATAAATAATATAATTCAGAAAATGCCAATTGGAAAAAAATGTATAGGGCACAGAAAAGTGGGAGAGAAAGATGGGGTGGATGGTGAGTCCTGGTAAATAGTTACAATTAAGAAAACTCTCTAATGCTTTGTGTTCTGTAAGAACAACTTACTGCAAAGAAAGATCCTTACCATTGTGACTGATGGTCAGGATCATTACCATTGTTCTTCACACACAATTAAATAGTTTTATCTTCAGGGTTCACAAGAAAATACCTGTTAAGCAAACTTTGCTTAAGTTTTTATCTTTCCCCCAGACCCTTGGACTCTGCTCCACCTCCAGTCTGAGCAAACATACAACTCCTCTTCATGTCCCTCCCAAGAACAGGCTGACTTCAGGGTGCAACATTCTCTATTGCATTGATTTTTCCACCCTCCATTCTGCCCTCCTCTCCCACCTTCTTTCTAATCTTTCTTGCTCCTCCATATGAATGACAGCCCTTTTCAGCCTAACTTTGAGACGTATGTAGCTATTATGTTTGGTGCTTCCCCCATTGCAACACTATTAATTTTATTTGAAACAGAGTCTCACTCACTCCAGGCTGGAGTGCAGTGGTGCGATCTCAGCTCACTGCACCCTGTGCCTCCAGGGTTCAAGCGATTCTCCTGCCTTCGCCTCCCGAGTAGCTGGGATTACAGGTACCCACCACCACGCCTAGCTAATCTTTGTATTGTTAGTAGAGACAGGGTTTCACCATGTTGACCAGACTGGTCCTGAACACCTGACCTCAAGTGATCCATCTGCCTTGGCCTCCCAAAGTGCTGGGATTACAGGCATGAGCCACTGTGCCCAGCCACAACACTACTTTAGAATGAAGTTATTTCATACCTACATATAAATTTATTTTATTTGACAATATCTGAAAACAGCCCCAAAACAATAACAATTACATCCTACAGAGGACATCAAAACCCTCCTCCCATCTTGACTCTCACTGCACCTGCCCATAGATCCCCACAGTTGACATGGTGACATATACTTTGACCCAGCTTACAGGCATTACACGTAGGCCCAGTCAAAGAGAGAGATTTAGACTCTCATAGATAGGCCTAGGGCAAGGGGTAAGGTCCTGGGTCTTCTACTTGTATGAAGATCACAGAGGATTATGTCACCCATGCATATCCAATAAACCCCGTGGGTGGTACAGAGAGTCTCATAACAGGGCCCAGAACACAGGTGAGATTGAGAGTCTTGTAGGAACACACAGCCAAAAGTAGTAATTGTCACATGCCCATGTGTACACAGCTCATGATTGAGGTTCTGAATCTCAAACCCAGGGGCAGTTAAGAGTTGTAATTGTGACTCTCATATACGGATCCAGTCCACAGGTGAAGTGGGGACTCTCCAACCAGGATTCAGCACACCATTGAGGTTGTGACACCCCTACTGGGACACAGCTTGGAGAAGGGATTGGGGCTCTCATGAGAGGATGCAATCCACTATTGAGATTGTGACTCATGTACTTGGACCTAAGTCTCAGGAGTTGTTGACTCTTACACCTGGAGTGGGGAAATGTGGGTAATTGGGAGTCCCATTCCTGGGCCTTCCTGCAGATGTAACTGTGACATGCACTTCTACCTAGAACCTTAGTAATTTGCTAGTCCTTCTGGTCTCAACACACAGATATCTTGTGACTTGTACCTGGGCCAAGCACCTAGATGATGTGACTATTTTGTCTGGCCACTTCCTTCAAAGGAATTGTAATATATCTCTTTATTGAGCACCTAGGTGATGTAAATCTTCTTTCCTGCCTGGACCCTGCCCACAGGTAAGGTTATGACATATCACCAAGCCTAGCACTTAATGACATGACTGTCCTATCTTATTTGTGCCCTGCCCTGAAGAAGCATTGTGACATTACTGGCCTAAGTAAAAAGGTAATTCAGGTCTTCTGCCTAGGACGTGTGCACAGGGGGGATTGTGAAATATTTCTTGGCTTGTCAACATGATGATGTGATTCTCCTCTCTTGCCTGGAACTGTTTTACAGTTCTCATCACAACATATTGCTGGGCCCAGTACTGGGTGAAGTTATTCTTCCCCCAGGGCCCAGCCCACAAGTGGCACTGTGGCATCTCTCTAGGCCCATCGCCTAGGTGATGTGACTCTGTTCTTCTAACTGGACACTTTCCACAAAAGGAATTGTGACATATAGCTGGAACCAGCTCCCTGGTCATGGAACTGTACTGTGTTGGCCCTGTGCAAAGGGGGCATTGTGATATATATTGCTTGGCCAAGCAGCTAGGTGATATGACTCTCCTGAATGGGCCCTGCTCTCAGAGAGGATTTTCACCCATCACTTGGCCAATCATAAAAGTGATGTGTCTCTCCTCTGTTGTCTGGACTCTTCTCAAAGTAAGAATTATGGTATATCACTTACCCAGCACCCAGGTGATATGACTCTTATGTCTGGTTCCTGCCCACAGGTGTATTGTGACACATACATGGTCACAGCTCAAAGGTGAGATGATGACTCTCATACTTGGATCCAGCTAAGAGAACAGATTTTAACTCTGATATCTAGGCTTAGGGCAACAGGCAAGGTCCTGGGTCTCCTACTTAAATAAAGGACATAGTGTATTATGATACTGAGGCATATTGTATGAAGCCCGCATGTGATACAGTGTCATAACAGGACCCAGAACAAAGGTGACATTGTGACTGTCATATGCACATCCAGCTGATAGAATTGTCACCCTCACACATAGTCAGTGGTCACTGGCGAGGTCCTAAATCTCACACATAAATGCAATCCAGACTTGGAATTGTGATTGTCATATGTAGATGCAGCCACAGGTGAGACAGTGACTCATTTTTGAACCCAGCTCACAGGAACAGTAATGGAACTAATACCTGGACCCAGTCAATAGCAGAAATTCACAATCCGGGACATTTTCCTGCTAAAGGTATAAGAGTCAACACCTCTTGTGGATTGAGTTCAACTATGCAAGTCAATCACAACAGTGGACTAAATCAATGCACGAGAGCCCAAATCTCACCAACAGACTGTGTTTTGATAGAGGAAGCACAGCCCCCAGGTGTTCTAAATCCAGGACTTGGTGTTATCATCTCATCTGTCGATTGGATTAATGTATGAGATTCACAATTCCAACTCTACTGGCTCTTGGTGTGTGATTCAGAACCTTAACAGTGGGTTCTGTTAATGTGGAAGGGTGACAGTCCTTACTTTTGTCTGAGTTTGCATACAACAGCCACAATTTTCCCTGTGTGCTGGGCTCTATTATGGCACTCTGTAGCACTTGAGGGCTTCATACAACGTGCATGCAAGTCATAATAGTCTGTGACCATCCTGCAAGTTAAAGACCCAGAACCTTAGTTTTTGCCCTAAGACTAACTACAAGAGTCAAAATATCTTCAGGTATGAGTCATCATTCCACCTGTAAGCTGTGCCCATGTGTATTTCCCAATCCCAATTGTGGAGACAGACCACGCACAAGGGTTGCATCACCTGGGTGCTGGCCAGAGATATGTCACAATTGCCACTTTGGGCAGAGTCAAAATCTCCCCTTAGTGCAGGGGCAATTCAGGAGGGTCATATCACCTAGGTGGTGGGCCCAGCGATATGTCACAATGTCCCCTATGGGCAGGGCCAAGGCAGTACAGTTACATCACCTAGAAGCTGGGGCCAGTGATATGTCACAATGCCTCTTGCGGGCAGGGTTCAGGCAGGAAAGAAGAATCACATCACCTAGGTGATGGGTCTAGAGATATTTCACAATGCCTTCTGTAATAAGAACCCAGGATAAAGAGTTATATCATTTGGGTTAAAGGTCCAGTGATAGGTCACAATCCCAACTAAGGATAGGACCCAGGCCGAAAAAGAGACTCACTTCACTTTGATGATTGGCCCAGAGATATTTTGTAATTTCTCCTGAGGACAGGGCTCATGCAGGAGAGAAACATAAATTTTGTGCATGGCCCAGGTATATGTTACAATCTTAACTGTACACTGGGCCAAGACAATACAGTAAAATTAATCAGATGCTGGGAAATGTAATTGTCACAATCACACCTGCAGAAAGGTTTAAGGATAAGATTTAAAACCCCACAAATGTGCTGGCTTCACTTATGACAGTCAACATATCTTGGGATATGTGTTTAAGTACTTGAATCACAACCTCAACAGTGCACTGGCTCTGTGCATAACAGCCCGAACCCCACTTATAAACAGTGTCCCAGTAGGGGAGTCACAGCCTCACAGGGGTGCTGAATCTTGGTGTGAGAGTCACCAACCTACCTGTGGACTGCATTCACATCTGAAAGTCACAATTCCGATTTTTGACTGCCTCTGAGTGTGAGATTCAGGACATTTTACGAAGGCTGTGTTCATGTGAGAGGGTGACAATTCTTACTATTAGCCATGTGTGCATATGAGAGAATCTCACCTGTTTGCTGGTCCCTGTTATGACACTGTACCACTTGCAGGTTTTATATGGCACATGTGAGACTCACCATCTGCTTCGAGACCTTTGTGCTTGCCCAGGCTTTTGTTACAATCCCAAATGTAGGATCACACCCATTGCCCTAAGCCCAGGTGTGAGAGTCAACATCTCTCCAATCTTTAGGTCCAGGTAAGGGAGTCATTTTTGTTCCTATAATCTGGTTACAAAAATTGGTCAATATCCCTCCTGTGGCTCAATCCACATGTGACAGGCATGATCCAACTGTGGACTGTATCTGTCAGTGAGATTCAGGAACTATTTTGCTCTCTCCCTATATAAAGGTGACAATTTTAACAGTCAGCTGAGTGTGCATCCAATAGTCACAACCTCAGTGTTGTGCTGGGCCCTACTATAACACTCTCTGTCCCATCTGAGGGCTTTAGACAATATGCATGTGTGTGGTAATCACCTGTGATTTTTTTTTTTTTAAGTAGAAAAGCCAGAATTTTATTTTTTGGCCTAAACCCAGCTATGAGAGTCAACACCTCTTCTATTAGCAAGGTCCGGGTATAAGAGCCATTGCTGGGCCTGTAAGCTGGACCCAGCTATGACTCACCACCTGACCTTTGTCCAGATCCACATGGGATGGCCAATATTCTAACTGTGTATTGTGTTGTCATATGAGAGTCAGGACCTCACCAGTAAGTTTTGTCAATGTGTGAGGGAGACAGTTTTAATTGTCTGCTGGGTGTGCCTGTAAGAGTCACAATTTTACTTCTGTGCTGGACCCTGATATGACACTCTTTATATCACCCAAAGACTTTATAGAATATGCATGAGTGTGATATATTGTGTGATCTTTGCACATGTAGAAGGCCCAGATCATTACCTGTTTGTCTAAGCCTACCTAGAAGAGTTAAAATCTCTTCCATTGGCTGGGTTTGCATACGCGAGTCTTCATTATACCTGTCAGCTGGGCCTAATGTGTAACCATCCCACCTGTGGGCAGAGACTAGGAGGGAGAGTCCCATCAACTAGGTGCTGGGCCAGCGATATGTCAATATTTTTACTATAGGTAGGGTCCTGACAATAAAATTCACATCTGGGTGCTAGGAAAAGCAATATGTCACAATCCACCCTGTAAACATGTTCCAGGTAGACGACAGTCACATCATCTAGGTGATGGGCCCAGTGATATGTAACCATTTCTCCTGTAAATAGATTCAAGGCAAAAAAGAATCACATAACAAAGGTGATGGGCCTAAAGATATCTCACAGTAACCCCTGTGGACTGGCCCAGGCAGAAAGGGAGAGTCATATCGCCTAGGTGATTGGCTCAGAAATATGTCCCAATACCCCAGGAGGGCAAAGCCCAGGCAGGAGTCACATTATCTAGGCGCTCAATCTAAGTATATTTCACAATCTAAACTGTAGGTGAGGCCTAGGCAAAAGAGAAAAATCAGTCAGATACTGAGTGAAGGTATACGTCACAATCACGTCTGTGAAAAGGTCCAGAGATAAAATTTACAATCTCTTACATGCCCAACTTCAGGATCAGAGTCAATATCTCCTGTGAGTTGCACCCAAAATGCATATTGTGGCACCTCCTCTGTTTTTTCCAAGGAGTTCCAGGCTGTTAGAGCTTGAATATCTGCAATTAATTAAGTTGACTTTTGGGCCAGACACGGTGGCTCAAGTCTGTAATCCCAGCACTTTGGCAGTCTGAGGCGGGCAGATCATGAGGTCAGGAGTTCCAAGACAGCCTGACCAATATGGTGAAACTTGGTCTCTAATAAAAATGCAAAAATTAGCCAGGTGTGGTGATGGGCATGTGCAATGTCAGCTACTTGGGAGGCTGAGGCAGGAAAATTGCTTGATCCCGGTAGGTGGAGGTTGCAGTGAGCCAAGATTGTGCCACTGCACTCCAGCCTGAGTGACAGAGCGAGACTCCATCTCACAAAATAATAATGGTAATAATAATTAAGCTGACTTTTAACTGTGATGCTCTTTTTAAAAAAATTATTTAATTCTCTAATTACTTGACTTTAGCCATGCCAAACTGCCAATATTTCTGACTTTTGAACTTTACTAACATAACCTCCCAGGTGAAATCAATAAGTTATATTTTTGTTTGTTTTGTGACGGATTCTCTCTCTGTCGCCCAGGCTGGAGTGCAGTGGCCAAATGCGGCTCACCGCAACCTCAGCCTCCTGAAACCCATAAGCTTTAACTACGGTTATGAACCTAACCACAAGTGTACAAAGTATTTTCAAAAAGATGGCAAGCAGTTTTTACAAAATCTAGAATCTTCAAAGTAGCTCAGAGAAAGGACAATTCAGGATGGTTCATGGAGGGAAAGCGAATCCACAAATATTCACACAGATATCAAATCACAAATGACTCATTTCCTAAGCCAGAAATTGAACCCTGAACTCGGGCTGCCACTGTGAGACAGCAAAGCCCAGCTACTGAGCTACAGCACTGAGCAGTCTCCATTGGGGTCTCCCAGAAGAAGCCTCCAGCAGCCAATTTTGAGCTTGCAAAGGTTGTTTACTGCTCAAGATCACTTTTATGGATAACTATAACACAAATTTCAAAATTTCTATATGCTGGATGGTAGAAACCAAGAGAAAATACTGCCACATGGCTACAAGGTCAAGCTCTCAAGAACATAAAACAAGAGGGAAACTTCATCCATTTTGTTGTTGTTTGTTTCAGGGACTTCTTCTTTCTTTGTTTTTTAGCTTTTTGAGATGGAGTCTTGCTCTGTCTCCCAGGCTGGAGTGCAGTGGTGCCATCTCGGCTTACTGCAACCTCTGCTTCCCAAGTTCAAGCAGTTCTCCCTGCCCCAGCCTCCTGAGTAGCTGGGACTACAGGCACCCACCACCACCCTGGCTAATTTTTGTATTTTTAGTAGAGACAAGGTTTTGCCATGTTGGCCAGGCTGGTCTTGAACCCCCCCACTCAGGTGATCCACCTGCCTCGGCCTCCCAAGGTTCTAGGATTACAAGCATGAGTCACCATGCCCGGCCTGTTTCAGGGACTTCTGACCAGAAGTTTCAACATGTGATCTTTGGGGAAGATGGTGGCCCAGAGTAACAGAAAAGATAGGAAAGGGAGAGAGAGAAAGAGAGAGAGAGAGAGAGAGAGGGAGAGAGAGAGAGAGAGGGAGAGAGAGAGAAAGCATTGCTTATGGTAAGGCAGGAAAGTTGAGGAGATCAGGAAAACTAGAGAAAGACCCACGCATTGAATCAAAAGTTTAGGTGATCTCTTGTTGGTTGTGAAAGAATCTTTTTTGGCAGTCCCATCTGCTCTCAAGTTTCCCACTTTAGGGAGGAAAAAGCTCCCCTTGTTCCATGATCCTGTACTCATCTAATTCTGTCAGCCACAGTCATCAGCAAAAAATGCAAGGCAGATTAATCCAAAGACAGGGCCAGGCATGGTGGCTCATGCCTGTAATTCCAGTACCTCGGGAGGCCGAGGTGGTGGATCAGCTGAGGTCAGGAGTTTGAGGCCAGCCTGGCCAACATGGTGAAACCTTGTCTCTACTAAGAGTACAAAAATTATCTGGGTGTGGTGGTGGGTGCCTGTAATCCCAGGTACTCAGGAGGCTGAGGCAGGAGAATCGCTTGAACCTGGGAGGCAGAGGTTGCAGTGAGCCAAGATCTCACGATTACACTCCAGCCTGGGCAACAAGAGCGAGACTCCGTCTCAAAACAAACAAACAAACACAAAGACAATAGTGGTTAAAGTTCCATAATGCCAAATCTAATCTTAGCTGAGAGGGACTTTACGGAGAGGGGCCTCTCACCCCCTAAATCTTAGGAAAGACTAACTTTTCTAAGTTGCACCTCAAACACGAGTTTCGTCAAGTGTTCTTGCCTTTTATTAAAAGGGACCTTTTATCTTATCTGTCTTAGGAGACACTCTAACTCCCCTAAATTGGGGTATTAACCCAATCCCATTCTTTA
This sequence comes from Homo sapiens, assembly GCF_000001405.40. NCBI lineage: Eukaryota > Metazoa > Chordata > Mammalia > Primates > Hominidae > Homo > Homo sapiens. The sequence goes on from NC_000007.14 coordinate 64,246,265, forward strand.
CCCAGGTGTGCCATCACTTACAAAAAGTTAGCCAATTGGCGATTCAGTCTATTTCCTTTGGGTTGGGCGTTTCCTTAGCATCATCCTTTTGTGATTCACTGAAAAGAAGATTCCAGAAATGGTCCCAATCCAGAACCGAAGAGTGGGTTCTTGGATCTCGTACAAGAAAGAATGCAGAGCTGGGGGTGGTGGCTCATGGCTGTAACCCCAGCACTTTGGAGGCAAAGGCGGGCAGATCACTTGAGGTCAGGAGTTTGAGATCAATCTGGCCAACATGGTGAAACCCCATCTCTACTAAAAATACAAAAATTAGCTGGGCATGGTGGTGTGCACCTGTAATCCCGGCTCCTCCAGAAGCTGAGGCAGGAGAATCTCTTGAACCCGGGAGGCAGAGGTTGCAGTGAGCCGAGATGGTGCCACTGCACTCCAGCCTGGGTGACTGAGCAGGACTCTGTCAAAAGAAAGAAAGAAAAGAAAGAAAAAGAAAGAGAAAGAAAGGAAGGAAGGAGGGAAGGAAGGAAGGAAGGGAGGGATTTTGGGCGAGTCTGCAGTGCAAAGCAAAAGCAAATTTATTAGGAAAGTAAAGGAATAAAAGAATAGCTACTCCTTAGACACAGCAGCAGTGTGGGCTGCTCAACTAAAAATACTTACAGTTATTTCTTGATTATATGCTAAACAAGGGGTGGATTGTTCATGAGTTTTGCAAGAAAGGGATGGGCAATTCCCAGAACTGTGTTTATCTTCTTTTTAGACCATGTAAGGTCACTTTCTGATGTTGCCATGGCATTCGTTAACTGTCATGGCACTGGTGGGAATGTCTTTCGCATGCTAATGCATTATAATTAGCGTGTAATGATTCCTGAGGACAATCAGAGGTCACTTTCATTCCCACCTTGGTTTTGGTGGATTTTTCTGGCTTCTCTACTGCAAACTGTTTTATCAGCAAGGTCTTTGTGAACTGCATCTTGTGCCAATCTCCTATTTATCCTCTGACTTAGAATGCCCGACCTCATGGAAATGCAGTCCTGTAGGTCTCAGCCCCATTTCACCCAGCACCTATTCCAGATGCAGTTGCTCTGGTTCAAACGCCTCTGACATGGCCACAGAGTGCTGGAATGTGGCTGGTCTGAACTGCAATATGCTAGAAAGGTAAAATACAAGGTTACATTAAAATATTTAGCTTTAAAAATGTATATGCTTTATTAACCCTTACATACTAATCACATATTAAAATAATATTTTGGATATATTGGACTGATTAAATTGTTACAATCAATTTCACTTGTTATTCCACCTGTTTCTTTCTTATTTTGAGACAGTCGCTCTGTCACCAGGCTATATTGCGGTGGCACGATCTCGGCTCACTGCAACCTCTGCCTCCTGGGTTCAGGCGATTCTCCTGCCTCAGCCTCCCAAATAGCTGATTACAAGTGTCTGTCACCATGCTTGGCTAATTTTTGTATTTTTAGTAGAGATGAGGTTTTGCCATGTTAGCTAGGCTGATCTCAAACTCCTGACTTCAGGTGGTCGACCACCTCGGCCACTGAAAGTGCAGGGATTACAACCGTGAGCCTCTGCGCCTGGCCCTACCATGTTTTTTTTTTTACTTTTTAATATTTGGCTACTAGCACATTCAAAATTTACATGTGGCTCATATTTTACTGCAGAGGATTGCCTCCTTTTTGAAATCTCAGGCTGCCTGCATGTATTAGTCCATTTTCACACTGCTATAAACAAATACCTCAGACTGCGTACTTTTTTTTTAAGTGGTTTAATTGAATCATAATTCTACATGGCTGAGGAATCCTCAGGAAACCTACAATCATGACCATGACAGAAGGTGAAGGGAAAGCAAGGCAATATCTTACTTGGTGGAAAAAGAGAACCGGGGATGGGGAACATGCCACATTTTAAAATATCTTGAGAGCTCCCTTACTATCACAAGAACAGCATGAGGATAATCCCCCCTAATAATCCAATCACCTCCCACCTGGTCTCTGCCCGGACATGTGGCAAATACAATTTTTTTTTTTTTTGAGACCGAGTCTGGCTCTTTCGCCCAGGCTGCAGTGCAGTGGCACGATCTCGGCTCACTGCAAACTCCCCCTCCCGGGTTCAAGCGATTTTTCTGCCTCAGCCTCCTGAGTAGCTGGGACTACAGACGCCCGCCAACACCCTGGCTAAGTTTTGTATTTTTAGTACAGACAGGGTTTCACCGTATTGGCCAGGCTGGTCTCCAACTCCTGACCTCATTATCCACCCGCCTCACCCTCCCAAAGTGCTGGGATTACAGGCCTGAGCCCCCACGCCTGGCCATGAATTACAATTTGAGATGAGATTTGGGTGGAGCCACAGAGCCAAACCATATCACTGCAAAGGACCCGCAGCAAGGAAGGTCATAAAATCTGAAATTTTAAAATAATTGTCATTATGTTTTTTCAGTTTATGAATAACTATATTATATACCATTTATAAATGCATATGACGTTATACACAAGGTTAAATGCAAATGTCCTCTAAGGTTGGCCTGGCTCAGATCAGGGAAGAAGGCTTAGCTGTAAAGGCTGCAGCCTAGCCTGTTATTTTTGCTTTGTTTAGCCCAGTGTCTGATCACATTTTTCGTCACTCAGGGCGTGAAGGGTGGGTCCTGAAACCTTATCCAATCAGGGGCCATATATTAGAAACTGTACAATCAGGCATGCAGCTGGAGAGAACAGGATGCCTCCGTAATTTTCCGGGTCCTTTGTGTTTCTCTGCGTCCAGAGCTCCAGTTCTTCTCTTCACTGCTCTGCGTCCTCTGTTCCTAGAGGCCAAGCCACTGTGGCCTTGTGTTCTGCAGGTATCCGCAGATTTATGGCTAAAAGACCGGGATCCCCTGGAAGCCGAGAAATGGTGAGTGCTGGGTCTGTCACCGTGAGAGAGGGGTGAGGGCTGGTTGGAACCGGCTGAAAGTGGCTGTAGCAGGACCCAAACTTCCTCGCAGTCAGCTCCGGAGTCTGAGGACCCAAATCCTCCTTGGCCCAGGTGGGCTGTTAGTCCCCTCGAGCCATAATATGGTGCCTGGGCCAGCGGCTAGGACCCTAGGAATTCTTTTTCCTTTGCAGTGGCTTTGCCCTGGACTGGAGCCCTCTCTGGGCAGCTCTGCACTCCCAGCGCCTCATCTCACCCAGATTGTACAGGGATGGGAAAGTCATCAGGGGAGAATCCCGACTCAGGGTGTGGGATTCATAAGTGGAAAGAGCTGTGGTCCCTGGGGTCCCTAGTTCCTCATTTTTCCTTTTAGAAATGTATGGGAGTCACTGTAAAAATATTAGACAATTTGATCAAAATGTGATTCAAGAATCATAGAGTGCCCAGCTATGGTTTGTGGGTTGTGGTCCATGGGAGAGACTTGAAGAAGTCTGTTATAAGTTGCATGATGAAGCAAACCAAATTCAGTAACTGCTTTGGTAAAGTTATGTCGTTTCCTTATTTGTAAGATCCAGGTGAAAATTTCTTGGCTATGTCATCACAGATTAATTAGCAGTCTGTGGTTGACTAGGCCTGAATTTTTTTCTTCAATATAGTAATTTCCAAGAAATGCAATATTTTTTTTGAGAGGGAGTCTTGCTCTGTTGTCCTTACTGGAGTGCAATGGCACTATCTTGGCTCACTGCAACTTCTGCCTCCCAGGTTCAAGCAGTTCTCACGCCTCAGGCTCCCAAGTAGCTGGGATTATGGGTGCCCGCCACCGTGCCTGGCTAATTTTTGTATTTTTAGTAGAGATGGGGTTTCACCATGTTGGCCAGGCTGGTCTCGAACTCCTGACCTGAAATGATCTGCCCTTCTCGGCCTACCAAAGTGCTGGGATTACAGGCATGAGCCACCGCCCCTGGCCATAAGAGATACATTTGAGTTAGATTTTTTTTTTAAGTGAGAGCTGAGAAAAATCAATCCACCTTAGTCTAATTGCCTGCTGTTTAAATATTTTTATACTCTACAGGAAACTGGCTTTCCCTTGGTTTTTTTTTTTTTTTTTTTTTTGAGACAGATTCTTGCTCTGTTGCTCAGGCTGCAGTGCAGTGATGTGATCTCAGCTCACTGCAACCTCCACCTCCTGGGTTGAAGTGATTTTCCTGCCTCAGCCTCTTGAGTAGCTGGGATTAAAGGCACCCACCACCACGCCCGGCTAATTTTTGTATTTTTAGTAAAGATAGAGTTTTGCCATGTTGGACAGGCTGGTCTCAAACTCCTGGCCTCAAGTGATCTGGCCGCCTTTGCCACTTAAAGTGCTCTGATTACAGGAATAAGCTATTGCAGGCAGCCTGCATTTTTCAACTGTGTCTTTTTTTTTCTTTTTTTTGAGACGGAGCCCCATTCCGTCACCCAGGCTGGAGTGCAGTGGCTCAATCTTGCCTCATTACAACCTCTGCCTCCCTGGTTCAAGTGATTCTCCTGCCTCAGCCTCCCGAATAACTGGGATTACAGGCCTGCACCACCACACCCAGCTAATTTTTGTATTTTTAGTAGAGATGGGGTTTCGCCATGTTGGCCAGGCTGGTCTCGAATGCCTGACCTCAGATGATCCGCCTGCTTGGCCTCCCAAGTGCTGGGATTACAGGCGTGAGCCACCACGCCAGGCCTCAACCGTGTCTTAAACAAGGTCTTAAGTCAGTTTCCCTGTTCCCACAGACTAACTGCCTTGCAGTAAAATATTAAATTTCCAGTTCCATCTGACATTCCCAAATGCCAACTTTTCTTTCTAACTCACATTATTACCTATTTGTCCTTTCTTATATGTTTCAGACACAGTACTTACACTAATTATTTTTTTAAAAGTCATTGGATGACACTTAAAGAGTGCCATTCAATGCTTTGTTAAAAAAAAGTTTCCCGTTTATAAATATTTCACATAAGAAGAAAGCAGAGGTCAGGCGCAGTGGCTCACAACTATAATCCTAACACTTTGGAAGACCAAGGTGCAGATCACTTGAGGTCAGGAGTTAGAAACCAGCCTGGCCAACATGATGAAACCCCATCTCTACTAAAAATACAAAAAAATTAGCCAGGTGTGGTGGTGGGCGCCTCTAATCCCAGCTACTCAGGAGGCTGAGACAAGAAAATCACTTGAATCCAGGAAATGGAGGTTCCAGTGAGCCAAGATCATGCCAGTGCACTCCAGCCTTGACAACAGAGTGAGACCATATCTCAAAAAAAAAGAAAAGAAGAGAAAAGGCAGAGAGTAATCCTCTGACACTGTGTTGTAAAAAAATCTATGTGCCTCTTCTTTTGTCTTGTTCAAGCTCAGACATCTTATCATAATGCGTGGGTTGAGTTTTTTTGGGGGAAACCCTACAGGGTAATGTTTCTTCAGCCACACTTTAGGTTTTTCCTGGTTCTGGGTCTTAGTACTGCTTTGGGATAAACCAAGATACCCACCGTGACCATGTCTGCCACAGTGTCTAGTGAATATCAACCCACCTTGGCCATGTCTGCTGGAGTGTCTAGTGAATATCATCTCCTGAGTTATTTTCTTTTAGAGAACAGCACATGATATGAAGTGTAGCCTTGCAAGAGAAGAGAGCAAACGAATGCCTTGGGGCTGTGAGCAATCTCCTAGTATACTTTTCCTATAAAAAGCTAATCCCTTGCGACATTAGAATTGTCTTTACCCAACTCAGCTTCCATTTCATGGAGACACATTGCTAGTTAGCCAATCATATGCTGGTATTGAGGGAAAAACACAGAAGTAATTTCTGCCCTCTGGATTCTGTCAGATTTGTGAAGGAAAAAAACTATTTCTAAAGGCAAGAAAAACTGACCCCAATAAGATGGTGCAAGAATCTCAAAGTAATTGCACCTGGGGAACTCACCAAGGCACGGTGCAGTGTCTCCTGGAATGGTTGTCATTGAGCATTTCAGTGAGCAGGATGCACGTGGGAGACTCTCAAATGATTAGATAGTTTGACTTGACACATGAGTCAGACGTGTCTGTGTTCCAATCAGCACTGCCACTCCCTGGGTTGGTCACCTTGAAAAGATATTTTCACTTCTTTCAACTTATGTTAGTTAACTGTAAATTGCATTTTATCAGTAGAGCTCAATATGTAACAAAATATTTACAAAGGTCGTGAAAGAGATGAGTTTCAGAAAAAAAATTTAGTCATGTATTCTGTTTGTTAAAAATTTGCATTTACCCTTTTGTTTTTCAGAGTGAGCATAGAAGTTTTCTCAGGTGTGTTATTTTTTGGCTGTGTGATTTCACACAGTATTCTAAGGCTTAGCTTTGTGAATATTACCAAGGGAAATAATATGAAAAATGTCTCTTCCATTATGGCTGTCGGAAATGAATACATTTGCACAAGAAAATGTGGTAGATAACTGGGGAATTACATAGATTCATCAAAACATCAGTGTCTCTTTTTGCAAAATTAATGTGACAGTAAATACTTCTGTTCTACATCCTGTTATCTTATTTTTATTTTTATTTTTGAGACGGAGTCTCACTCTGTTGCCCAGGCTGGAGTGCAGTGGCATGATCTTGGCTCACTGCAACCTCCGAAAACTGGGTTCAAGTGATTCTCTTGCCTCAGCCTCCCAGGTAGCTGGGATTACAGGCACCTGCCGCCATGCCCGGCTAATTTCTGTATTTTCAGTAGGGACGGGGTTTTGCCATGTTGGCCAGGCTGGTCTCGAACTCCTGACCTCAGGTGATCCAGCCACCTGGGCCTCTCCAAATGCTGGGATTACAGGCAAGAGCCACTGCTCCTGGCCCTGTTATCTTGATTTCTGAATTTTATGATAACTTTATGAGATGGGACTGCGCACCTTCTAGGAATTTGGTCATAGTACTAATTACAGAATGTCCTGTTATGGAAATAAGAAAATGATATGTGTATTGTCTGAAAGAGATAGATACTTTTGCTTTTCTCATTGAGCTATAAAATATAAGCACCTTAACATTTTTTCCCTTTGTATAAACACTGTGTTTCAGTAATTTTTCTGAATTTATCTAACACTTAGTTTCAAAAACTAAGTGAACATCTCTGACTTGGAAATTAAAGCCTGAGCCCTGTAACTCCAAGCTAAGGGCAATATTGAGTCTGCAAAAGGAGGTTAATGAAGGCCTAGTCAGTTCTTTCTAGGGAGCCTCTCCAGCAGATGTCCCAGCCTGCTCACACCAGCAAAGGAAGAAGCCTTTATACTGAGATGAGCAACAGAGCCCAGGAAAGCTGGGGACCCACAGGCAGATTCAGTCAGAGTTAGAATAGATGGGAATTGGAAAGACCTTACTTAAAATAAAGGTGTTGCTGTTTTGGGTCAGTTTCTAGACTTTGTAAAATAAAACAAAATCAGATTTAGGTAATAAGTTCTGAATCCCAACAACAGAAAAAAGTACCAGGTATAAGATTTTTAAGGATATCAATGTTTAGGCAGACAAGGACTTTCTTTCATAGAGAATAGCAAACAAATTTAGAAAGAAGGTGGAGTAAGTAAGAATGGTATGATATAAGGGGGCAAAATTAGATTCTAGATCAGAGAATGTTTTACCCTGAAGACAGCATGTTTTTAAGGAAAGACAGAAAATGGGGTTGTATGTTGGCTTAGACTGAAAGTAGCTCAAAGGTCAGAAGCCCTGGGAAAAAAGAAAAATGTAAGCAAAGTTGATTAAGAAGTATTTTGTTTTGACCACTGAAGAAAAGTATTTAGCAGATTCTTTTATAAGAAAAGTAGAAATTTGCAGAGTTTATGTCTGGCTATGTGATAAGTGAGAAAATACAACACCATCTAAGTCATAATGGGGAGAACGTTTCTTTCTGTTAAGCTGTTGCTGAAGACCACAAAGGATGGAGAATTTTATTTTGTTTTATTTTATTTTATTATTACTTTTTTTTTTTTGAGACAAAGTCTTGCTCTGTCACCCAGGCTGGAATGCAGTGGCGCGATCTCAGCTCACTGCAACCTCCATCTTTCAGGTTCAAACAATACTCCTGCCTTAGCCTCCCAAGTAGCTAGGATTACAGGCCCACCATGTCTAATTTTTTGTATTTTTAGTAGAGATGGGTTTTCTCCATGTTGGCCAGGTTGGTCTCAAACTCCTGACCTCAGGTGATCCACCTGCCTCAGCCTCCCAAAGTGCTAGAATTACAGGCATGAGCCATCATGCCAGGCTGGAGAATTTTACTAATCACAGCTATTTACCAAGATTATCCAAATGCCCCATCTTCCCCAACATTTTTTTTTTGTCTTATACATCTTTTCCATTTCACTGTTTCTTGGTTGCATGTTTTATAGTAAACTGGCTAACATTAAGTACAGGATTTTGCAGAATTCTGTGAGTATCTCTATCAAATTATTGAACTTGAGGGAGATTATGGGAGTCCCCAGTTTACAGACAGTAGCTGAGAAGCATAGATGAGTCCCCGGGATTTGTGACAGGCATATGCAGTAAGGGCAATATGATGAGACTGAGCTCTGAATTATGGTCTGTGCTGACTCCAGGTGGTATCAGGATGGAAATGTTAGACAATAAGTTGGTGGTAAAAAGTTGCTTGTTGCCAACCTGGCCAACATGGTGAAATCCCATCTCTACCAAAAATACAGAAATTAGCTGAGCGTGGTGACAGGTGCCTGTAATCCCAGCTACTCAGGAGGCTGAGGCAGGAGAATCACTTGAACTCAGGAGGTGGAGGTTGCAGTGAGCTGAGATCATGCCACTGCACTCCAGCCTGGGCAACAGAGTGAGACTCCATCTCAAAAAAAAAAAAAAAAAAGAAAAAAAATTGCTTCCTAGTTAGCAAACTCCACAGATTTGGTGTCAGAAAAGAGATATTACAGAGGCCTGGCCTGGAGGGGGACTCTGGGTGTCTGGTAAGGTGAGGCTCTGTTCTCCTGCACACAGGCTGTCACACTGCACATTGTCCTGTGATTCTAGGTCTCCTCTCAGGGTGACAGGGGACTAAAAACTTAGAGAAAAGGAATTCTGATAACAGACCTCCTTCTTTCACCGCTACCACCACATGATTCTCACACATTCACAGACCCACTAGACATTGATGCGTCCACACCCCTCCCAGGACTAGGTATCACCCTCAAGTATTCCACCACAGCGCTTTTGCTTTTAGTGCTTCTTGCCAAAATCCCATTAATGTGCCTACACGTTTCCTGGCATATCCCCAACCCCAGACACTGAATCTGCAGTAGCAACCTGTTTCCTCCACCAATGTAGGGATCTGTACCACTTGATCATAGTCTAATCTGCCTGCATGGACACAGGACTAAATCAGAGTATAGCCCCACATGGACCTCTGTCTGTAGTACAAACCAGTCCTATCACTTACCTTGCACTCTTTCCCACCCATGATTTTTTTTATTTTTTTTTTGAGACAGAGTCTTGCTCTGTCACCCAGGCTGGAGTACAGTGGCATGATCTCGGCTCACTGCAACCTCCGCCTCCCGGGTTCAAGAGACTCTCCCGCCTCAGCCTCCTGAGTAGCTGGAATTATAGGTGCATGCCACCACACCCAGCTAAATTTTGTATTTTTAGTAGAGACAGGGTTTCACCATGTTGGCCAGGCTTGTCTTGAACTCCTAGCCTCAGGTGATCTGCCTGCCTCAACCTCCCAAAGGGTTGGGATTACAGGTGTGAGCCACCGCGCCTGGCAGAATTTTTTTTCTTTTACCTTTTATTTTAGATTCAACAGTACATATGCAAGTTTGTTATATAGGTAAAATCATATCATGAAGTTTTTGTGTGCAGATTATTTTATCACTCAGGTACTAAGCATAGTACCCAATAGATTTTTTTTCTGATTTTCTTCATCCTCTGACCCTCCACGCTGAACTGGGCTTCAGTGTCTGTTCTCTTATTTGTGTCCACGTGTTCTCATTATTTTGCTCCCATTTATAAGTGACAACATACAGTATTTGATTTTCTGTTCCTGCACTAGTTTTCTAAAAATGACGGTCTCCTGCTCCATTCATGTTGCTGCAAAGGACATGATGTTTTCCTTTCTTATAGCTGCATCATATTTCATGGTGTGTACATCCACATTTTCTTTATCCAATCTACCATTGAAGACATACAGGTTTATGTCTTGTTTTTCATATCGTAAATAGTGCTGTAATAAACATGTGTGTGCATGTGTCTTTATGGTAGAATAACTTACATTCATTGGTTATATTCCCAATTGTGGGATTGCTGGGTCAAATGGTAATTCTATTTTCAGGTTATTGAAAAATTGCCAAACTGTTTTTCTCAATGGTTAAACAAATTTATACGCTCTCCAGCAGCATATAAGCATTCCATTTCTCCACAACCTCACAAGCATCTGTTGTTTTGGACTTTTTAGTCTGAGTGTGTTTATTTGAATTATTTCTTTTTTCTTCATTAATCTAGTATTTTATCTATCATATTAATTTTTTCATAGAATCAACTTCTGGTTTCGTTGAACTTTTTTTTTTTTTTTTTTGAGACGGAGTTTCACTCTTTCGCCCAGGCTGGAGTGCAGTGGCATGATCTCAGCTCACTGCAAACTCCGCCTTCTGGTTTCAAGCAATTCTCCTGTCTCAGCCTCCTGAGTAGGTGGGATTGCAGGCACCCGCCACCATGCCCAGCTAATATTTGTATTTCTACTAGAGACGGGATTTCACCATGTTAGCCAGGCTGGTCTTGAACTCCTGACATCATGATCCGCCCGTCTTGGCCTCCCAAAGTGCTGGGATTATAGTCGTGAGCCACTGTGCCTGGCCTGTTAAACTTTTTATGGTTATTTATGTCTCACCTTCTTAATTTCAGCTATGATTTTGGTTATTTGAAGTTAGTTTGAAGTTATTTGAAGTTAGTTTGAAGTTATTTGAAGTTATTTGAAGAAGTTGGTTATTTGAAGTTAGTTTGCTCTTACTTTTGGAATTCTTGTAATTATAACATCAGGTTTGTAAATTGAGATCTTTCTAACTCTTTGGTGTGGATGTGTAGTGTTATACACTTTGTTCTTATCACTCCCTTAGCTGTGACCCAGAGCTTCTGGTATGTTGTATTTCAGCTCTAATTAGTTTCAAAACTTTTTTTATTTCTGCCTTAATTTCATTATTTACAAAATAGCCATTTGGAAGTTGATTATTCAATTTTTATGTGATTGTATCATTTCAGATGTTTTTTGTATTGATTTATTGTTCTATATATTTTCTTTTAAAAATTAATGATAGAGAAACATAGGAATAAATAAAAATGCTGTGCTCTTAATCCAAATGCTAAAAATTATTCAACACTTAGTAGCAACTCCCAGAGTATGAAAATTAAATCACATTATGTGTTATTCCCAGCACGGTATTCTGTGACATGCTCCTGAGCACATAGTACCTGCTTAATAAACATTTTATTAGTACATGTGTACACATTTCCCAAGTGCAGACCTACTCAGACATTGCTGCCTTCTGTTTTCTCTGTAAACTTAAAAAAGCTAACAAAAAATATAATATTTCAGGGTGGAGATTGGTTGTCTTTATTTGTACCAGAAGTATTTATATTGTGACAAATGTAGTGGGTGTAAGGGACTCTTTGCTGTGCCTGCTTTCTCTCGCTAATGCTAATAATGTGTCTGGGAAAGCACAATCAGCATTTACAGGGGACTTGTTGAAAAAGCCCATTCCTGGACCCTTTTGGGTCCTGCAGAATCGCTTTGCACAAAGCAGGGCCAAGATTACCAAGTGATTTATAAACTTGAGGGGTTCAAGTTACGTTCAGGAGAGTTTAGTTCAACCTTTGCATCAAAGGAAGGCTGCACTGCCTGCCCTATTTCAGTTTGGTAGGAAGAGGTCAGTGCGGTTCGTGCTCCCATTACTGTAAAGAACATTGCTGGAGTCTGATAGGGGAGGGCAGGGAAAAAGAAACTTATATTTTAGTGGTTATGGAGAAGCTCGTTGTTCTCTGCTCTTAAATCTTTTCAATTATACACAACAAAAATGGGTGAATGTTTTCTGCAAGTCTCGGTCTTTCTGCCGTGGGTGTGTGTGGCGGTAGCAGGTGAATAGGTTGTGCTTTAAAGGCATATTCTCAAGATGCAGGTTTGATATGTCCAGAGCATCTTATCTGAAAATACATTTCAGAGAAAGAGGAGGAAAAGAAAAAAATCACTTTTTCTTGGTGAGCATGTCTCAGATCAAGAGTAGTGTGCGGGCCGGGCGTGGTGGCTTACGCATATAATCCCAACACTTAGGGAGGCTGAAGCAGGTGGATCAAAAGGTCAGGAGTTCGAGACCAGCCTGACCAACATGGTGAAAGTCCGTCTCTATTAAAAATACAAAAATCAGCCGGGCGTGGTGGCACACACCTGTAATCTGAGCTACTGAGGAGGCTGAGGCAGGATAATTGCTTGAACCTAGGAGGTGGAGGTTACAGTGAGCCAAGATTGCACCACTGCACTCCAGCCTGCTCGACAGAGCAAGATGGTCTCAAAAAAAAAAAAAAAAAATGCAGTGTCCACTCTGCCTTTGGAATGCCATGTGTTCGGAACATGCATATGTTTACTTCTCTGCTTGTGCTGTTTATACCTAATGAGTTTGTTTCAATTATTTTTTGCTATTTTTATGATAGTCCAGGGGTTCTGAAAAAAAATTTTTCTATATAGCATAGTCTTCTTTTTTTGTTGTTTTTGTTTTGTTTTGTTTTGTTTTGTTTGTTTTGAGACCGAGTTTTCACTCTTGTCCCCCAGGCTGGAGTGAAATGGCACAATCTCAGCCCACTGCAACCTCCGCCTTGTGGGTTCAAGCGATTCTCCTGCCTCAGCCTCTCTAGTATCTGGGATTACAGGTGCCTGCCACCACGCCCAGCTAATTTTTGTATTTTTAGTAGAGACAGGGTTTTACCATGTTGGCCAGGCTGGTCTCGAACTCCTGACATCAAGTGATCCACCCGCCTTGGCCCCACAAAGTGCTGGGATTACAGGCGTGAGCTACCGTGCCTGGCCACACCATAGCCTTCTAGATATTTTCTTCATCTTGGATTTTTGTATGCCATGCAGAATTCTCACCACAAATTTATGACCTGCGGTATTTAAAATGTTCCCATTGTAGCTGTTGAACATGAGAAGGTGTGGATACTCAAGATTTTTACTGGGGAAACACAGTTGTCTTTGGATATTAAAGAAAAGTGAAACATGTCTTGTTGAAGTTTCATCTGTGTGCTCTATTAGTTCCATGCAGAACAGGATTTAGAAAATGCTAACATAAACAGGATGGCACTTATTACCCAGAAAGTTCTGAAAAAACCTATTAAGAGATACTTGCTCTCTAGGGTGCTAAAGAAAGGCTACTTAATGTTACTATTAAAAATTACAGAACAGGGAAGTTATCTGTATCTTCAACTTTGCATAAAACTGGTGTTTCTTTATAATTAAATTTAGGCCAGGTGCGGGGGCTCACGCTAGTAATCCCAGCACTTTGGGAGGCCGAGGTGGGTGGATCACCTGAGGTTAGGAGTTCAAGACAAGCCTGGCCAACGTGGAGAAACCCCATCTCTACTAAAAATACAAAAATTTGCCACGCATGGTGGCTCACGCCTGTAGTCCCAGCTACTTGGGAAGCTGAGGCAGGAGAATCGCTTGAACCCAGGAGGCGTAGGTTTCAGTGAGCCAAGATCATGCCACTGCACTCCACCCTGGGCAACAGAGTGAGACTTGGTCTCCAAAAGGAAAAAAAAAAGAAAAAAGAAAAGAAAAAAATAGACATGTGCATATTGATGCCCTTAATTTAATAATTTATCATCCAGAAAAGTATCATATCTACAGTGGTATTGTGGAGAGTTAGAGAATACTTCAGTGTTAAAAATTATCATTGAATAATTTTAGTCACTCTTATAAGTGAGAAACACTTCTTTTTACTCTCTAACTTGAGTCAAATAAAAATCTCTGCCTACGGCCACATAGTAAGTGTTTGTGTGTTCATGAGTGTTTTTTTGTTGTTGTTATTGTTTTTCAGGGACTGTTGACATTCAGAGATGTAGTCATAGAATTCTCTCTGGAGGAGTGGCAATGCCTGGATCACGCTCAGCAGAATTTATATAGAGATGTGATGTTAGAGAACTACAGAAACCTGGTCTCCCTGGGTGAGGATAACTTCAATACACAATTCCTAATATATTTCTTTTCTCTCTTTTCTAAAATGTTTTTTGGTAATTTCTGCTTTGCATGAGTGAATTTTAGCTCTCTGATTTGAAGAAAATCTTGGGGATTCATTGGTGTAGAACAAATTCTTCAAGATGTTTTATCTTGACCTGAACTTTTCCCTTTCCTGAGCTTATGTATCTTTCACTCTAGGTTAGTGGCAATTCCAAAAATGTCATGGCATAAAATATCGTTGCCCACACCTTAGAATTCAGTTGCTGCCACCAATTTTTGATTCAGTAGTACTGAGTAGTGAAATTAAGGACCTACAAATTTAAAATATTTTCTAAATAGTTAAAAAGTTCTGTTATGAATCAATATTAATTTTCTAGAATTTTCTATTATATCCTCTTTACTAAGCATAATACTCGTTTGGTAATTAAAGAATTCAGCAAGATTTATGTTACTTTTTTTTCTTAATAAAACAGGTATTGCTGTCTCTAAGCCAGACTTGATCACCTGTCTGGAGCAAAATAAAGAGCCTTGGAATATAAAGAGAAATGAGATGGTAACCAAACACCCAGGTAAGTGAGAGTGGATGAAGCGGATGACACAGATGAGAGGTGCAAAAGTCAAGGAGGAAGCCAGTCCTTAAAATGTGATTTGGGGAGATGTGCTTCCATGGAAAGAGTTTCTAAGAAGCCCGAGTCATTTTTTTTTCTTTTGCTCTCAGATAGGGATACCTTCTGCCCCATGCTTTTAAATTCTCTAAGGATTCTACTTTCGCTTCAGTAATCTTTCTTCAAGTTCACAGTGTGAGCCAAAGTTTTCTTTATGGCTTATCAGAGACTGACTGCTTTACCATTGTTTTGGGGGCATGCTAATATCTGCATATTTTTGAGAAACTCTATGTTAAACCATTAAAAATTTTTTTTTGCATCATGTCTAAAACGTGTGAGAATAGTAGTTTCTGTTTCATTGGTGGTTGTCCGTTTTTCTGCACATGCCATTCTGTTGTCATTACTATAGACTTGAAATATAGTTTAAGGTTTTTTTACAACTTTTTTATTTTTTAATTTTTATCCATGTATTTATTTATTTAGAGGTTGGGTTATGAGACTTGCTGTGGGGGGATATACAAGCAGGATACCTCTTATGTCTTCATTTTACTGTGTTGCATATTTTAGATATAGATTTATAAATAGAATTGCTGTATTGTATAATTTCATTTTTAATTATTCAAAGAACATTCATATTTTTTATGATAGCTGCATCTTTTTTCTCATCAACAACTTACATAGACTTCAATTTCTTTACATCAACATAGTTGGTGTTTTTGAAAAAATTTATATTGGCTATTCTAATTGATGTAAAGTAATTTTGTTTTGTATTGTGATTTTGTTTTGCATTTTTCTATAAATTATTAATTTTGTGCAACCTTTCAAATAGTTCTTCCCATTTGTATATCTTTTTTTATTAAAATTTAGTTTAATCATTTGTCCAATTCTTTCTTTCTTTTTTTTTTTTTTTGAGACTGAGTTTCACTCTTGTTGCCTAGGCTGCAGTGCAATGGCAATTTTGGCTCAGGGCAACCTCTGCCTCCCGGGTTCAAATGATTCTCCTGCCTCAGCCTCCTGAGTAACTGGGATTATAGGAATGTGCCACCATGCCTGGCTAATTTTGTATTTTTAGTAGAGATGGGGTTTCACCATGTTGGTCAGGTTGGTCTCAAACTCCTGACCTCAGGTGATCTGCCCACCTCGGCCTGCCAAAGTTCTGGGATTACAAGAATGAGCCACCGCGCCTGGCTCGCTTGACCATTTCTAAATCAAGTAATTCAGTTATTGTTGTCTACTTCTAGGAGTTGTTTATAAATTCTCAATATTAAGTTTTATCACATGTGATTTTCAAATATTGTCACCCATTTCTTGGGTGGCACTGTCACACTATTAAATGTGTTACTTGATTACAGAAATTTTGAAGTTTAGCCCAGTTAAATTTTCCTGTTCTTCTCTTTGTTGCTCATGCATTTGATGGCATGTCTAAGAAAATGGTGCCAAGACCAATGTCATGTCTTTCCACTATATTTTTTTTCTAAGAATTTCGTTAGTTTTTTTCCAAAGTATTTTGTTTAAAATATTTTTTGTATATGATGCAATTAAAGCATCCAAGTTTATTTTTTCAATGTAGATATCCAGTTTTCAACATTGTCTGTTGAAGGGATTATATTTTCTCCATTGTCTGCTCATGGCAACCTTGTGGCAGATTATTTGCTCATACACAGAAGAGTTCATTGCTGGGCCCCCTATTTTGCTCTATCATGTCCTTATTTGTCTTTGTGTGGATACCACATAGTCATTGTTATTGTTGCTTTTTATTATGTTTTAAAATTAAGAAGTATATTGCCTCTGTTTTTCACGTGTGTTTCTCTAGATATAGTTCAAAATAAAGTTTAAAATTTTTAAACAATATTTCAGGAATAAATATACTTTTGGAATTTTGATACAGATTATATTAAATTTGTTCACCACTGTGGGTTATATTGACATCTTAACAAATTAAGTTGTCATTTAACTATTTTGACCCCTGAGCAAAAATATTAAATTAAATTAAATTATTTGACCTGTGCAAGAATACATTGAAAAGTGTGTTTATTTCCATGTATTTTTGATTTGCCAGTTTTACCTTTTTTCTTTTTAGTTTTATCAGTTTTGGTTAGAAAAAATAGGCTGTATGATTTTGCTCTTCTTAAATTTTTTTTTTACACGGGGTTTCTCACTCTGTTGCCCAGACTCTAGTGCAGTAGCACAGTCTTGGCTTACTGCAGCCTAAACCTCCTGGACTCAAGTAATCCTTCCACCTTGGCCTCCTGAGTGGCTGACATTACAGACATACCCCACCATGCCCAGCTAATTTTTAATTATTTGTAGAGACTGGGTCTCACTGTGTTCCCAAGGCTGGTATCAAACTTCTTGCCCGAAGTGATCCTTCCACCTTGGCCTCCCAAAGTGCTGAGAGTACACCTGTGAGCCACTGCACCTGGCTGATCTTTTGAAATTTGCTAAGACCTATGTATTCTAACAGAACATACCAGGTGCAAATAAAAATATTGTGTATCCTCTTGCTTTTGACTGGAGAGCTCTGTGCCCTCCAAATCTCATGTTGAAATGTAATCTCCAGTGTTGGATGTGGGGCCTAATGAGAGGTGTTTGCATCGTGGAGACAAATCCCTCATGAATGACTTGGTACAATCCCCTTGGTAATCATAGAGTTCTCCCTCTATTAATTCACATGAGAGCTGGTTGCTTAAAGGAACATGGCTATTCCACCTCACACTCGCATCATCTTTCACCATGTGACATGTTTGGTTCTTTTTTGCCTTCCACTATAATTGTAAGCTTCCTCATATCCTCACCAGAAACAGGTGCTGGCATATACATCTTGTACAGTCTACTCAACTGTGAACCAAAGAAGTCTTTTTCTTTATAAATTACCCAGTCTCAGGTTATTTTCTATAGCAATGCAAAATGAATTCATACACTATATAATGTTTTTCAGGTTTTCTGTTTTTTAATTAATTTTTTATTTCAATTTTTTATTTATTATTGAAAGTGAGGTCTTAATGTTTATAATTTTATGCTGCCATTTTATTTCTTGCTTCACTTCTATCAATATTTGCTTTATATATTTTGAAACCCTGATGTTATATATACTTATACATATAGATAGACATAATAGTTATAGATTCCTAGTAAATGGACTTATTTTACCATTATATAATATCAATCTTTGTCTCATGCTAGTAATTGACTCATTTTCTTTTGTGTGTCTATAAAGATTTTTTCTTTGTGCTACACTGGAGATTTCATAACACCTCTAAATGTTACCACAATATTTTTTAAACTGGTAAAAAAAAATGACTTCAGTTGCATAGAAAAATTTGTCCTCATTATATCTACCCTATACATCTTATTGATGTTGATAATTATATCTTTTTATGTTTTATGATTATTTTTATGCTTATATCTTTGAAATTTTAAAGAATAACTAAAAATGTTTTCTGCATGATCACAATAATACCACAGATTTTTATTTTTTGTATATGCATATGTTTTTCAGAAAGTTATATATTTTCATATGATTATGTATTTTTTTCATCATGTTATTTTAAGCGGCAGGACCTCTTTTCAGCATTTTATTTAGGGCACATGCAGTGCTTATATGCTTTTCCAGCATGTGTTTATTCTGGAAGATCTTTATTTTTTCTTTATTTTGTAGTATATTTTTGCTGCATTTATTATTCTCACCATGAAGATTTTTTTTCAGCACTTTGACCATTGTACACAGTTCTTTTCTGACCTGCAAGCTTTCTGTTGTCAAATGTGTCAGAGGACTATGCTTATAAATAATACCTCACTTTTATCTTATAGCTCCCAAGATTGTCTTCTGGCTAGTGACTTTTGAAACTTTGTTTAAATATGTGTTATGGATCTTTTTGTGTATATCCTAGTTTGTTTAGCTTCTTCATTTCTTACATTATTTTTTTCTTACTTCTAAATTTTTTCACTTATTCTTTTTTAATTCCATGATTGTTTTGTTTTTATTATTCCAAGCCTATTGTTGATATTCTTATTTTTCTAATTTTATTTAGGTGTCTGGTTTTCCATTTTTCTCACTGAGCATAATATGGATTATCTTATGTTTTTAAAATTAATATATGCCTCTTTATTTTTGTAGTTGCTTTTTCAAAATTTTTGATTTTTTTGATTAGACCATGTTGTCTTCATGTTTTGTATACATTGTAATCTTTGGTTGAGATTTAAACATTAACATAAAACTACCTTTCACGATCTTTATAATGCAGCTCTTTCTTGGCATAGCCTGAAACCAATTTTCTTTCTTGGCTAGAGATTCACAGAGTCTCTCAAACATGTTCTCAGGATGTGTCTTGTCTGCAATTTTGTATTTATTTTTCCATTAAAAGACTTCTCCATGTTTCTTCTTACCAGTAGGTAGCTACTTTCCACACCTATTTTCTATCCATGTACTACAGTCTTTCTGCTGTTGTAACATTCACCTTTGATCTCAAAAGACTTAAAGGTGTCATTTCAAAGCATACTACCATTTGATTCAGCACTTTCTATCATGGAAGACAGAAAGGCCTCCATAAGCCAAAAATAAAGATATAGGTGCCAGTATTTTTCTGGTCTTTTGTAATAAAAGCCAGTTTACTCCTAAAGACACCATGTTCTTCTATTGGGGATGAAGAAGGGCTGTGTTGGGTAAATGTATCAGACTTTTCTTTTCTGTCTATATGGCTCTTGGTATTGTGCCCACCTGGTGCACACACTTTATTTATAAATTTCCAGCAAAGGTATTTTGATCACTATGTTTTTGTTACATTTATACACCTATGAAGGAATTATGGCCTGTGGTAATTTGATATGCCATTTTGCTAAAGTACCTTGTATAATTTTATATATTCGATTTGTAAAGTATATCTATCTGGGTGTAGTAAGTGAAGTAACTTGTGATTTTTATGTCTTTCAGTTATGTGTTCTCATTTCACCCAAGACCTTCCGCCAGAGCTAGGCATAAAAGATTCACTCCAAAAAGTAATACCAAGAAGATATGGAAAAAGTGGACATGACAATTTACAAGTAAAAACATGTAAAAGCATGGGTGAGTGTGAGGTGCAAAAAGGAGGTTGTAATGAAGTTAACCAATGTTTGTCAACTACCCAAAACAAAATATTTCAGACTCATAAATGTGTCAAAGTCTTCGGCAAATTTTCAAATTCCAATAGACATAAGACAAGACATACTGGAAAGAAACATTTCAAATGTAAAAAATATGGCAAATCATTTTGCATGGTTTCACAACTACATCAACATCAGATAATTCATACTAGGGAGAATTCCTACCAATGTGAAGAATGCGGCAAACCCTTCAACTGCTCTTCAACCCTTTCTAAACATAAAAGAATTCATACTGGAGAGAAACCCTACAGATGTGAGGAATGTGGCAAAGCTTTTACCTGGTCCTCAACCCTTACTAAACATAGGAGAATTCATACTGGAGAAAAACCCTACACATGTGAAGAATGTGGCCAAGCCTTTAGCCGCTCCTCAACACTTGCTAACCACAAGAGAATTCATACTGGAGAGAAACCATACACATGTGAAGAATGTGGCAAAGCCTTTAGCTTATCCTCATCCCTCACTTACCACAAGAGAATTCATACTGGAGAGAAACCCTACACATGTGAAGAATGTGGCAAAGCCTTTAACTGCTCCTCAACCCTTAAGAAACATAAGATAATTCATACTGGAGAGAAACCCTACAAATGTAAAGAATGTGGGAAAGCCTTTGCCTTCTCCTCAACTCTTAATACTCATAAGAGGATTCATACTGGAGAGGAACCCTACAAATGTGAAGAATGTGACAAAGCTTTTAAGTGGTCCTCAAGTCTTGCTAATCATAAGAGTATGCATACTGGAGAGAAACCCTACAAATGTGAATAATGTGATAAAGTCCAGCCTTCAGACCTTATAATACATAAAATAATTTATACTTGAAAAAATCACTACAAGTGTAAAGAATGTGGCCAAGCCTTTAACCAGTTCCAAACCTTTATTGTACATAAGATAATTCATATTGAACAAAAGTCTTATAAATGTAAAAAAAAGTAACAAAGCCTTTAAGCAGCCCTCAAACCTTAAGGAACCTAAGAGAATTTATTTGAGAACAAAAAATTTTTGAGATGAAGTCTCACTTTGTCACCCAGGCTGGAGTGCAGTGGCATGATCTCAGCTCACTGCAACCTCTGCCTCTTGGGTTCAAGCAATTCTCCTGCCTCAGCCTCCTGAGTAGCTAGGATTACAGGTGCATGCAACCACACTGGCTGATTTTGTATTTTTAGTAGAGATGGGGTTTCACCATGTTGGCCAGGCTGGTCTTGAACTCCTGACTTCAAGTGATCTAACTGCCTCTCAGCCTCCCAAAGCCTAAAAGAGTTTATATTAGAGAGACTCTATGAAGGTAAAAAATGTGACAAAGCCTTTAAGCACATCTCAGGCCTTACACAATATCAGATAATTCATTTTAGAGAGAAACCCTACAAAAACAAAAATGTAGTTAAAAGCTTTAGCTTTTAACTAGTCTTGAACCCTTATTCTACATTAAGAAAATTAATACTGAAAAGAAACCCTACAATAAGGAATATGGAAATGTCTTTAAAAAGTCCTCAAATTTTTGTTTGAATAAATGTAAGATAATTGATATTGGAGACAACCCCTGCAATTGTAAAAAAAAAAAAAATGTGGCAAAGCCTTTAACTGGTTCTCCATCCTTATTAATTAAAAATTTTATGCTGGAGAGAAACTCTACATACATAAAAAATGTAACACAGCATTTAACCACACCTCAAACTTTCTAACAAAGAGAAATCATCCTGTTGAGAAACTCCAGAAATGTGTTAAATGTGGCAAGGCCTTTAAATGGTAGTCACACATTAGGGTAGGTAAGATAATTTATACTGAAGAAAACTCCTACAAAAATGAAAAATGTGGCAAAACTTTTAACAAATTCTCACACCTTATGGCACAAGAAAGCATTTATAACCAGAGAAAAATTGTACAAATACAAAGAATGTGAAAAGCCATTAATATCTGTTCACATCTTAATATCAGAAAGTTTATACTTAATAAAAGCATTATAAGCCAGGTGTGGTGGCTCATGACTGTAATCCCAGCACTTTGGGAGGCCAAGGCAGGTGGATCATGAGGTCCAGAGTTCAAGACCATCCTGGCCAACATGGTGAAACCCCATCTTTACTAAAAATAGAAAAATTAGCCAGGCATGGTGGCATGCACCTGTAATCCCAGCTACTTAGGAAGCTGGGGCAGGAGAATTACTTGAACCCAGGGGGCGGAGGTTGCGGTGAGCCGAGACTGGGCCACTGTACTCCAGCCTGGGCAACACAGCAAGACTCCATCTCAAAAAAAAAGTATTATACATGTGATTACTGTAAAAAGACCTTCAGAAAATATAGGCCTTTAAAGTAAGGACTGTTTATTCTGAAGACAAACATTTCAAACATAAAGAGGATTGTAGTACCTTTACTTGTAATATAGATTTTATTGTACACATTTTATATTAAAGGAAAACCCTGAAGCAGATGCTCAAACTTTGGTGAACGTCAGAGAATTTATATTTGAGAGAAAGCCTGAAAATGTAATGAATGTGAAAGAACATTTGTTCAAAAACTACAGCTTAGAAAACACCAGTTTCTACTAAAAAATATTTTTGCAGATGTAGCAAATGGGGAAAATATATTTAATCAAAAATTAAGTCTATATAAACATTTGAGAATTCACAGTAGAAAGAATGAAGGCACTGAAACTTCAGACATTACACTAAATCAGGGTGCTAGTTATAAAAATGATCCAAAGCTAACATTATATACATTTTAACGAAGTAGTTTTTTTTTTTGGAGATTTATAATTACATCCGAGGTATGCTTCTTTTTCTGTAAAAAAAATATACATTTTCTGAAAAGCAAATAATAATGTAACCCAAGTCTCGAGTTACCTCATGTTGATTCTTTCTTCCCATTGTTTGTGAAAGTATTTGATGAATTGTTGCATCAGAGATATGAGAGATTATTTTTTATAGGTGTCCATTATTCATGAACTTTCCTATGAAAGAGTAAGGACATTAGGTTGTAACATGCATAATGAAAAATCTAAATGAAGAGGCTCTTTGTGGTTGACTTATAAAATTGTTTTAGTGACGTATAAGGTGGGTGTTCACAGTAATATTCTGAATTCTAGTGAGAGGAAAACCTTTCAATGTTAGTAATAAATTATTTTATCAATTGTACCTTTGTGTAATAAAATGCAATAAATTTAAAATTTTTTAAAGATTATGTATGAACTTAATTTTTTCATTAAACAAAATTGTTTTTAATGTGTTAAGACTTGTGCTTTGAAAGAAGGGTTGATTTGCTATCAATTTTAACGTGTCCCATCTTACTTAAGGTTCTAGGTTAAAGATGGTAACAATATAGTATTTGTTAATGTAGGGGAATGACATGTCTAGTAATCTCTTTTTTGCCAGTGTGTGTTTGTTTGTTTGTTTTGAGACAGAGTCTTGCTCTGTCACCCAGGCTGGAGTGCAGTGGCGCAATCTCGGCTCACTGCAACCTCCACATCCTGGGTCCAAGCGATTCTCCTGCCTCAGTCTCCCAAGTAGCTGGAACTACAGGCACATGCCACCACACCTGGCTAATTTTTGTATTTTTAGTACAGATGGGGTTTCACCATGTTGGCCAGGCTAGTCTCGAACTCCTGACCTCAGGTGATCCACTTGCCTTGGCCTCCCAAAATGCTGGGATACATGTGTGAGCCACCATGCCTTGCCTGCCAGCGGTTTTAGACTGCAAATAAGTTGAAGAATTTTGTTCCCATAGGTCAAATTTGTATTCTTTTTTATCTTATTTAAAATTTTTTTAACTTTTGTGGGTAGATAGTGTGCATACACACTTATGGCATGTATGAGATATTTTAACACAGACATACAATATTTAATTATAACAGCAGAGTAAATGAGGTATTCATCACCTCGAGCATGTATTTATCCTTTGTATTACAAACAATCAACTTTTAGTTATCTCAGTATGTGCAATTGAATTATTAACCATAGGGTCATTTTGTGATCATAAAAATTACATGAGTATAATTAATATCCATACATTTCTGAGTTGATTATTTTTTTAAATTTGTTTTATATATTTTTTACATGTGACCTCTCTGCTGACAAACAAAAACAGACTTTTAGTTTTTATTTACATAGAGTTATATATACAAATATACTAAAGATACACCAGCTGGGTGCAGTGGCTCATGCTTGTAATCCCAGCACTTTGGGAGGCTGAGGTGAGTGGGTCATTTGAGGTCAGGAATTCAAGACAAGCCTGGCCAACATGGTGAAACCCCATCTCTACTAAAAATACAAAAATTAACTGGCCATGGTGGTGCGTGCCTGTAGTCCCAGCTACTCAGGAGGCTGAGGCAGGAGAATCGCTTGAACCCGGGAGGTGGAGGTTGCAGTGAGCTGAGATGGCACCACTGCACTCCAGCCTGGGTGACAGAGTGAGACACCATCTAAAAATAAATAAATAAAAGATATACCTTAAGTGTAAGAAAGTTATGTAGCAAGTGAGTGTGTTTGTGAGTTTGTATGCATTTTCAGAAGAAAAGAACAATATTGAAACAAAAAAGATCATTTTAATAAGGTGGATAATTAACTAGAAACCAAGAAACCTCAGAGATTCTGAAAAAAATACATACATATTCTGTGCCCTGTATTGAATTTGTAACTTTAAGATCTTATACACCCAAATCTTATCTCAAATTGTAATCCCCACATGTCAAGGAAGGGACTTGGTGGGAGGTGATTGGAATATGGGGGTAATTTTCCCCCATGCTGTTCTCATGATAGTAAGTGAGTTCTCAAAAGATCTGATGGTTTTATAAATGGTGGTTTTTTCTGCTTTCCTGCTCTCTTGCTGCCTAGTGAGGAAGGTATTTGCTTCTCCTTTGCCTTCCACCATAATTGTAGGTTTCTTTAGACCCTCCCCAGCCATGCAGAATTGTGAGTAAATTAAACCTCCTTTCTGTATAAATTACCCATTCTTTGGTAGTATCTTTATAGTAGTGTGAAAACAGACTAATATAGAAAATTAATACTGGGAGTTTGGGGCACTGCTATAAAGATAATTGAAAATGTGGAAGTGAATTTGGAACTGAGTAATAGGCAGAAGTTGAAAGTTTAGGGAGCTCAGAAAAAGAAATGTGGGAGAGTTTGGAACTTCCTAGAGACTTGTTGAATGCTTTTGACCAAAATGCTAATAGCCATATGAATGATGAAGTCCATGTTGAGGTGGTCTCAGATGGAGATGAGAAACTTATGTTTAAAATGGAAGCAGAATATAAAAATTTGGAAAATTTGCAGCCTGACCATGACGTAGAAAATAAAACCACATTTTTTGAAAAGAAATTCAAGGCACTGCAGAAATTTGCAAAAGTAAAGAGAAGCTGAATGTTGATAGCCAAGACAATGGGGAAAATGTCTTCAGGTCATGTTAAAGATCTGAGGCAGGTCCTTCCATCACAGGCCAGGAGCCCTAGGGAGAAACAATGGTTTCATGGTCGAGGCCCAGGGCCCCACTGCTCTGTGAAGCCTCAGGACTTGGTGTCCTGCATCCCAGCTGCTCCAGATCCAGCTGTGGCTAAAAGGGGCCAAGGTACAAGCTTGGGTTATTTCTTCAGAAAGTGCAATCCTCAAGCCTTGGTGGCTTCCGTGTGGTATTGGGCATGTGAGTGCACATAAAACAAGAGTTGAGCTCTGGGAACCTCTGCCTAGATTTCAGAGGATGGATAAAAATGCCGGGATGTTCAGGCAAAAGTCTTCTACAGGGGCAGAGCCCTCATGGAGAACCTGTAATAGGGCAATGCAGAAGGGAAATGTGGGGTTGGAGCCCTCATGCAGAGTCCGCCCTGAAGCTGCCTACTGGAGCTGTGAGAAGGCCTCTATACTCCAGACCCCAGAATGACAGATCCACCATGAACTTGCACTGTGCACCTGGAAAAGCCACAGGCATTCAATTCCAGTCCATGAAGGAGCTGCTCAAGGCCACGAGGGCCCACCCCTTGAATCAGCATGGCCCAGGAGTGGGACATGAAGTCAAATGAGATCATCTCAGAGCTTTAAGATTTTATTACTGCCCCGTTGGAATTCAAACTTGCATGAGGCCTGTAGCTCTTTGGTTTTGGCAAATTTCTCACATTTGAAATGGAAGAATTTATCTAATGCCTGTACCCCCATTGTATCTTGGAAGTAACTAACTTGCTTTTGATTTACAGGCTCATAGGTAGCAGGGACGAGACTTTGGAGTTAGACTTTTGGGTTAATGCTAAAATGAGTTAAGAGTTTTGGGGACTGTTGGGAAAGCATGTTTGGTTTTGAAATATAAAAAGGGCATGAGATTTGGGAGCGGCCAGGAGCAGAATGATACCCATCGTGTTTTCATGATAGTGAGTGAGTTGTCATGAGATCGGATGGTTTTATAAGTGGTAATTTTTCTGCTCTCCCTCTCTACTGCCACCTAGTAAAGAAGATACCTGCTTCTCTTTCACCTTCTGCCATTATTGTAAGGTTCTTGAGGCCTCCCCAGCCATGTGGAACTGTGAATCAACTAAACTTCCTTTCATTATAAATGTTCCAGTCTTGGGTAGTATCTCTACAGCAGTGTAAAAAGAGACTAATGCACAAATATAAGATAGGACTATCTGTGTACTAGATGCTTCATAATTAGCCATAGTTATTCCTGCTTGATTTTCTTTGTAACACTCAATCACAGATGGAAAATATTCATGATGAAAATATAACATTGATTCTGCATGTGCAGAGGACATCAGTTCTTAGGTTGCAAAATGGCCTCTCTGAATTTAAATAAAAATTCTACTTTTTAAATTTTCTGATTATCTTTTGTTTTGTGACTTTTTATGTTTATCCTAGTGATGTGTCCATCACAGCCCTTCCCATTTATTTCTGTGCTATGGCTACAGCTTTCTCACTGTTCTCTCTGTGCCACATCATTTCACACAGTACTTTGTAGGTTCTGATGAGAAAATTGGAATTTTTTAATATGGTGAAAAACTGTGTTAAACTTGGGAGTTTCAGCTTATTTATAGCTTCTCAGTGTAGCTTCCACATAAGTTAATTGAGATAAGAGGCATACACTGTCCACAGGTGAGACAATTAAGTCAGATAGCACTATTTGTCTTTGTAAAAAAATTTTTTATTAGATTCTAAGACAAACTGAAGCATATACAAAATTATTTAGAAAATATATCTTAGAAATCTGAGGCAGGTGGATCACAAGTACAGGAGAGTTAATATTAACGGATAATTATTAAATGTAATTTTACGATATATTTATAGCACAACTTAAGTTTTCATGCAGGATCTTGTATTTTTGAGTGTGAATGTTAAATGTTGCAAATAAAATGAGCTCTATGAATTTAAAAATTGGAATAATATTTCCTTTTCATATTAATGTTACATATTATGAACATATAATGTTTCATATTAATGTTACAATCTTGAGAGATTTTTCTATTATTTTATGATTATTTTTTAGTGGGTGAGATTCAGTCTACAGTTTTCACTTACTCACCTAACCGTAGCCAACATTTTGGTCATTTTCTCTGGGAAAATTTTGGAGATTATGGCAGATTTAGATTAAAACAATTACTCAGTTATTTTTCATGCAAAGATGTTTATTGTGTTCACAGAGTGACCAATCATGTGACAGGTGGCAACACCTGATTTTTAGTGTCTTCCACTACATTGCCGTCAGCACCAGAAACTAAAGGTTTCCAAGCGAAAGTAAAAGCCCTGAAGTATATTGGCTCCTCCCATGTTCTGCTGGACCCAGAATATGCTGTAAATATCCGAGTTTCTATTGCTATTGCTGACAAGTTAAATAACAGAAACAGCACAGAAAAACTGAGTTATCTTTAAGTTCTATCTAGGTGATGGTATTAATATTGTAATTGCTTATAAGATAGCAAGAATTGGCCAGGTGCGGTGGCCCACGCCTGTGATCCTGGCACTTTGGGAGGCTGAGGTGGGCAGATCACAAGGTCAGGAGTTCAAGACCAGCCTGGCCAATATGGAGAAACCCCATCTCTACTAAAAATAGAAAAAATTAGCCGGGCATGGTGGTGCATGCCTGTAATGCCAACTATTCAGGAGGCTGAGGCAGGAGAATTGCTTGAACCCAGGAGGCGGAGGTTGCAGTGAGCTGAGATCGCACCACTGCACTCCAGCCTGGGCGACAGAGTGAGACTCCATCTCAAAAATCAGAAAACAATAAAAAAAAAGAATTACTCTGTTTGGTCTAATGCAAAGTAGTTATTTCTCTTCTAAATGTAAATGGTAAATAGGGTTTCTATGATCATAAGCATATAAGGTATTTTAAGATGATCACTAAGATTAGAACAAAATTCATAGGCTTTTAGCAACATAAATTTTAATTTTTTTCTAATAGAAGTGAAGAAGCAATAGAAATAAGTTGTTAAAATGAGTTCAAGGAAACTACACATGTGGTCATTAAATAATATTTAAAACCATGTTGTAAGTGACTGGTTAGTAATTGTAATTTGTTTCATTTTAGTCACTGAGAAAACAATATGCTTTAATCATTCTATATGAAAAAGTATTCTTTTTTTTTTTTTTTTTGAGACAGAGTTTCGCTCTGTCACCCAGGATAGGGTGCAGTGGCGTGACCTCAGCTAACTGCAACCTCTGCCTCTCAGATTCAAGTGATTCTCCTGTCTCAGCCTGTTGAATAGCTGGGATTACAGGCACGTGCCACCATGCCCAGCTAATTTTTGTATTTTTAGTAGAGACAGGGTTTCACCATGTTGGCCAGGCTGGTCTCGAACTCCTCACCTCGTGATCTGCCCATCTCGGCCCCCCAAAGTGCTGGGATTATAGGCGTGAGCCACTGCACTTGACTGAAAAAGTATTCTTATATTAGTGTTTTCAAAACTTTCAGAAACTTTAGACCACTCAATGAATAATGATGTACATTTAGATCACAAATTTTAAATAAAATAATAGGCTTATTCTAGCTTTTTTTTTTTTTTTTCAGATGGAGTTTTGCTCTGTTGCCCAGGCTGGAGTGCAGTGGTGTGATATCGGCTCACTGCAACCTCTGCCTCCCAAGTTCAAGTGATTCTCCTGCCTCAGACTCCCAAGTAGCTGGGATTACAGGCACCGGCTATCACACCCAGCTAATTTTTGTGTTTTTAGTAGAGACGGAGTTTCAATATGTTGGCCAAGCTGTTCTCGAACTCCTAACCTCAAGTAATCCACCTGCCTGGGCCTCCCAAAGTGCTAGGATTGTAGGTTTGAGCCACTGCACTCAGCTTCATTCTAGCTTTTAATATAAAAGATATTTTTCAAAAGTACCATTAGTGACTCTTTTAAGTAATGGGAGGAATAAGGTCATTAGAAACCATTTACCAACCAAAATATTTGTGATAGGCTTTGTTTTGAGCCCTTTGAACCCTAAATGAAGTTCTCTATACTATCTAGGGGTGAAAAAAGTTGTTTTTAAATTCTGCTTCATTTCTAATAAATTAGAAAATTCAAAGCAAAAATGTTAAATAAAAAATGGAAAAAAAAATTGAGTGAGAGGGGGCTGGCCATAAGGGCTAATATTAAAGCTCGCTATCTGGTGGTCCCTGATTACATCCTGGTTCTGCCACTTATGGGCTGTGTGACCTGGAGACAGTTTCTTGACATCTCTGTGCTTGACTCTTCAGCTGTACAGTAAGGATAATACTGCCTAAATCCTAGGGTTTTGATAAAATTAAAGCAATTAATACAAATGAAGGTGTCAGAAGAGTGCCCAGCATAGAGCGAGTGTACAGAAAATTTATTAGCTCTGGTGATTTGTAAAGTTTTTTAGATCAGGACCAATGTTAAGCCTGGGATCAACAAGGTGGCCACACCAGGGGGTTGTAATTTATGTTCATTTTAATTGGTCAGTTTGGGATTATAATAGTCGATGGATATTTTTAATACTATCCTTGGCAAATTTTCATATATTCTCATACAGCATGAATATAAATACTAAAAAGAGATCCCTCATCTTGTTCTGCTCTTTACCACTCTAGTAACACTAGAGAATAAGCACTTAAATGCTGAGTGTTGTCAGTTTTAAAATTAGAGAAAGAGGCAAATTGTTTTCTGATCTATTTGTTTAATAAATTCTTTTTTGCCAGCTAATTTTTTATGTTCACTTTATAAATTTAAAGGTAGTTTAAAATATATATTTAAATAACTTTATAAGTGAAGAAAATCATTTATGTTGAGAAGATTTTACTTTAAACAGTTGCTTTAGAGTCTGTCTTTGAAAGTATTCTATTATCAAATAAGGCCAGGCACAGTGGCTCACGCCTGTAATCCGAGCACTTTGGGAGGCTGAGGCAAGTGGATCTCCTGAGGTCGGGAGTTTGAGACCAGCCTGACCAACATGGAGAAACCCCGTCTCTACTAAAAATGCAAAACTAGCTGGACATGGTGGCACATGCCTGTAATCCCAGCTACTTGGGAGGCTGAGGCAGGAGAATCGGTTCAGCCTGGGAGGCAGAGACGGCAGTGAGCCGAGACTGCACCATTGCACTCCAGCCTGGGCAACAAGAGCAAAACTCCGTCTCAAAAAAAAAAAGAAAAAGAAAAAGAAAGAAAGAAAGAGAAAGAAAAAGAAAGAAAGAATTGTATTATTCTGAACAGTAATAATTAACATTTTATTATTGAGTGGTAGGTTCAGACTATTCACAATATCAAAAGTTTACTTATCTACATCACTAAGTAAGCAAGCCATGTGTAATTAAAAATATATGTATATTTTCCTGAAATTATAAGATATGAAGAAACATTTATTTCTCTGGCCCAGTTTTTTAAAGTTAATTTAAAAAAAAACATGTATTACTAGTATATTTGGTTGACTAATCAAAATTGTATACATTTATGGGGTACAGAGTAATGTTTTGATATATGTATAAAATATGAACTAAGTCAATTAACATATCTATCACCTCACTTACCTAGCATTTTTTGTGGTGAGACATTAAAACTTACTGTTAGTTATTTTGAGATATACAATACATTATCATTGACTATAATCACTCTACTGTGCAATAGATCTCAAAATCTCTTTGTCCTGTCTGTAAAACTTTGCATTCTTTTATCAACAACTGCCTCTGGTAACCAATTATTCCACATTCTACTTTGTAAATAACAAATACAACTTTATTAGATTCTACATACAAGTGAAATCATGCAGTATTTTTCTTGTGTGTCTGGGTTATTGTACTCAGCAAATATTCTCTAAATTTATCCTTATTTTTTCAATTGACAATATTTCCCTCTTTTCAAGGCTACATAGTATTCCATTGTGTATACTATTATTCTAAACGTATATACCACCTTTAAAATAAAATTGTAATTCAAATATATATTCATCTATTGGTTGGAAAACTCATGTGTAATGGAAAAATATTTGTGTGAAAGCATGTATCAACATAATTCAGCATATAAATATCTCATTAATAATAGCTAATTTGTACTGAGCACTAACAATAACACTATACATGTGTTAATAAATTTTGTTGTCACATTGATGTGGTCTGGCTGTGTCCACACCCAAATGTAATTTTGAATTTTAGTTCCCATAATTCCTATGTGTCATGGGAGACACCTGGTGGGAGGTAATTGAATCCTGTGGTCAGTTTCCCTCATTCTGTTCTCATGATAGTGAGTGAGTTTGCATAAGATCTGCTGGTTTTTATAAGGGACTTTTCTCCCTTTTGCTCAGCACGTTTTCTCTTCTTATCACCATACGAAACAGGATGTGTTTGCTTCCCCTTTCATTATGATTGTAAGTCTCCTGAGGCCTCCCCAGCCATGCTGAACTGTGAGTCAAATTAACCTCTTTCCTTTATAATTTACCTAGTCTTGGGTGTGTCCTTATAGCAGTGTGAGAATGGACTAATAGACACAGTAACCTAATAACAAAGGTATTATGAGCCTCAATTTATAAAGAAAGAAACAGAGCCAGAGAGAGAAATAACTTGCTCACAATAGCAGAGCCAGTATTAAAACACAAGCAACTTTGACTCCAGGGATAATACTCTTGAATACAACAATAAAAACCCTTTCAAACAGAAAAGAAGTTACCTTTAACATCCATTCTTAAAAATTTGACAAAAATTAAAAAGGATACATTTGTATTGTTATATATGTATGTATGTGAATATATAATATAAATGAAAAATACTTCATATAAGCCAGAAAAAGATAATTATTTTAATGAATAAAATTGGAAAGCAGTGAAATTATTATTCGCAGATGATATCTTTGTTTACTTAGAAACACAACAAAAGCAACTGAAAGGCTATTTTAGGTATCTATTCAGGAGGGTAGGCAAAATTCTCAGATGACCCTCAGGTTCCCACTTCAGTGCACACCTGCTGTGTATCCTTTTCTCCTGAGTGTGAGAAAATGTGTGTGACTGTGGTGGGACATTTTTCACGTAATTAGGTTACTAATGTATTGGCTTCCTGTTTATCATAAGAGAAATTATCTTGATTAGACTAAATTTAATCGGAGGTGTTTTTAAAAGAAAAAGCACCTCATGGAAAAACACCCCTGCTTCCCTGAAATTAATCAAACTTCTAGGTAAGCCATGTTGTAAGCTGCTTATGGTGGCCACATGGCCAGGGATATATTTGTATACTGCCTCCATTTCTGCCTTCAACATGTTGCTTTCTGTAGGGATAATTGGAGGATCTCATGGCAGAGAAAAGAGAAGAGATCTCACTTATGCAAGAAATAATCACCCTTCATCTGGGACAGCTTAATAAAAACAGAGGCCAGAACATGACCACATCGATGGGAAACAAAGGCAACTTGGTTGAAAGGGCTCACTGGCATTAGGAAGCAATGTCTACGCAGCTGAAGTAAATGATCAGCCTCTGGGATACCAGTAGTCTACCAACAAGGCTGAATTCATTCTCATTCTGATTAAATTAGCATTTCTGTTCCATTCTGTTAACTCAGTTTTACATAATTCATGACAAAAATACCAGGCAGACCAGTAAGTACTCTCCTAGAATTGAACTTATCGTGAAAAAGCATACCCAATTATTTAATTTCAACACTGGAAAATGTTGAAAAAATAATGAACTTATCAATAATAATTTGACATTGAAATTTCAGAGAATTCTACTCTTCTGTAATAGAATATCGAACTTTGAACATCTTAACATATTTCTTGAATGCACAAATTGTGATGTAGATCATTTCTCTTTTAGATTAACACAATAAGACTAACAATTAGAGAGAACATTTGAAATAAAATAACAGTCATCAGAACCACATCTTTCAATGCCTTGGCATAATTGCCATGCTCTTTGAAATGGTCAAGAAGCAAAGACAAGATTTTGGCTTTGCCCAATTATTAAGTACTTGACCTTTTAAAATCTAATATCCTGGCTAAAAAATTAGGAGGGAATATTTTTTAGGTGGCTGCCTACAGTGTCAAAGGCAATATGAGAAGAATTTTGATAGTTAGGCAGGAAAATGCATATTACATACCCACACTACTCTTCTCTGATTTGCTTTAACATTGAAAGATTGGAAACTGCAAATCTAGTCCCTCAATTGAGGGTAAATTAACAAAGGTTCATGTCTCAGCTGAGCAAGTTATTGTATGAAACTTATAGGTAACAGATGTCATTAGCTGCAAAAAACAAAATAGTATGACTACATTCAGTAACAATCTAGCCATGCAAATGATAGACCAATTAGATTAGTATCCTAATAGTGCATGAAAAAAGAATTTATGTGCAATATTGTGACCCTCCCCCAAGCACTTTTTCTGTCTCCTTACAGAGATACCAGTTTTTCCTGAATGACTCAGGGTGAATACTGGGAACTGAGAATGCTCAGTGTTCAGAGTTGATACCGGGAACATAGTTAACCACATTTCTTCTATGTTATAAAGAAATTTTATGAATCTTACTCTGCCCCAGAAAGGCTTTTAGCAAAAGATTGTTCATGTATAACACTCTATTTGGATTCACGGAAATTTTAAATATTCCATTTAAGTCAGAGACACTGAAATGTCAACCAAATTTCATAAAACATATTTGAATGAGATCAAGCCTTTCTTAGCTAAGAATTTTATTTCATTAGTACATTTAGAGGAAAATAATAAATGTGTGTACTTTAGGCCAGATCACAGTGTTTGCCACATGGGAACGATTCAGACAAGTGCTCTTCATCATTACTCTTAAAGTAGCACTAGCAAAACGCCCATTTCCTGGCACCAGCTGGCCTGTTTTTCACTGATATGAAGTGCAGAAGGCATTGAAACAGTGAAGAAGGGTGATATAAATGGAATGAAGTACAATTGTTAATAAAAAGTAGCATGACCCATAGTTAACCCGGACCACACACAGACTACTCACCAGTTGTCAGGGAGTCAAACACGTGTATCTGTGGACCAAACCGATGACACTTCTCCACACCTACCAAAGGGAATTGGGTTCCCACATGCACTTAGGAAAAAAGAAAGACCACGTGGGCACCAGATATTGGGTGAAATTCACCCCCGATATTTCACGTGGGTCCTTTTCTACTTTCCCCTAAGTGTCGGCTGGTCTGAGAAATAAAGGGAAAGAGTACAAAGAGAGAAATTTTAAAGCTGGGTGTTGGGGGGAGACATCACATGTCGGCAGGTTCCATGATGCCCCCCAAGCCACAAAACCAGCAAGTTTTTATTAGTGATTTTCAAAAGGGGAGGAAGTGTACGAATAGGGTGTGGATCACAGAGATCACATGCTTCACAAGGTAATAAAATATCACAAGGCATATGGAGGCAGGGTGAGATCACAGGACCACAGGACCGGGCGAAATTAAAATTGCTGATGAAGTTTCAGGCACGCATTGTCATTGATAACATCTTATCAGGAGATAGGGTTTGAGAGCAGATAACCGGTCTGACCAAAATTTATTAGGCGGGAATTTCCTCGTCCTAATAAGCCTGGGAGTGCCACGGGAGACCAGGGCTTATTTCTTCCCTCCGCTATGACTGTAAAAGACAGCCATCTCCAAAGCGGCCATTTCACAGGCCTCCCCTTAGGGATGCATTCTCTTTCTCAGGGATGTTCCTTGCTGAGAAAAAGAATTCAGTAATATTTCTCCTATTTGCTTTTGAAAGAAGAGAAATATGGCTCTGTTCCGCCCAGCCCACAGGCAGCCAGAGTTTAAGGTTATCTCCCTTGTTCCCTAAACATTGCTGCTATCCTGTTCTTTTTTCAAGGTGCCCAGATTTCATATTGTTTAGACAATTTGTGCAGTTAACGCAATTATCACAGGGTCCTGAGGCAACATTCATCCTCAGCTTATGAAGATGATGGGATTAAGAGATTAAAGTAAAGACAGGCATAGGAAATCACAAGAGTATTGATTGGGGAAGTGATAAGTGTCCATTAAATCTTCACAATTTATGTTCAGAGATTGCAGTAAAGACAGGCATAAGAAATTATAAAAGTATTAATTTGGGGAACTAATAAATGCCCATGAAATCTTCACAATTTATGTTCTTCTGCCATGGCTTCAGCTGGTCCATCCATTTGGGGTCCCTGACTTCCCGCAACACTGAACCTTGGTGTGAGAGTCACCATCCTACCTGTGGACTGCATTCACGTATGAGAGTCACAATTCCAACTTTTGACTGCCTCTGAGTGTGAGATTCAGGACGTTGTAAGGAGGCTGTGTTCAGGTGGGAGGATGAGAATCCTTATTGTCAGCCAGGTGTGCATATGAGAGTCAGAATCTGACCTGTTTGCTGGTTTCTGTTATGACACTCTCTGTACCACCTGAGGGTTTTATATGGCACATGTGAGACTCACAATCTGCTTTGAGACCTTTGTGCTTGCCCAGGTGTTTCTTACAATACCAAATGTAGGATCTCACCCATTGCCCTAAGCCCAGGCATGAGAGTAAACATCTCTCTTATTTTTGGGTCCAGGTAGGAGAGTCATTTTTGTTCCTGTTATCTGGTTACAGAAATTGGTCAACATCCCTCCTGTGGCTCAATCCACATGTGACAGACATGATCCAACTGTGGACTGTGTCTGTCAGTGAGATTCAGGAACTCACTATTTTGCTGTCTCCTATGTAAAGGTGACAATTTTAACAGTCAGCTGAGTGTGCATACAATAGTCACAACCTCAGTGTGGTACTGGGTCCTATGATGACACTCTCTGTACCATCTGAGGGCTTTACAGAATATGCATGTGTGTGGTAATCACCTGTGATATTTTTTAAAGTAGAAAACCCAGAACTTTATTTTTTGGCCTAATCCCAGCTATGAGAGAGAGCCAACACCTCTCTTATTGGTGGGGTCCAGGTATAAGAGTCATCACTGGACCTGTAAGCTGGGTCCAGATATGATCCACCATCTGACTTTTGGCCAGATCCACATGGGATGTGACCAATATTCTAACTGTGTATTGTGTCCTCATATGAGAGTCAGGACCTCACCAGTAACTTTTGTCAATGTGTGAGGGAGACAATTTTAATTGTCTGCTGGGTGTGCCTATAAGAGTCACAATTTTACTTCTGTGCTGGATGCTGATATGACACTCTTTATATCACCCAAAGGCTTTATAGAATACGCATGAGTGTGATATATTGTGTGATCTTTCTACATGTAGAAGACCCAGATCATTGCCTGTTTTTCTAAGCCTAGCTAGAAGAGTTAAAATTTCTTCTATTGGCTGGGTTCACATATGTGAGTCTTCATTACACCTGTGAGCTGGGCCAAATGTGTGACCATCCCACCTGTGGGCAAAGACTAGGCTGGAGAGTGGCATCAACTAGGTGGTGGCCCAGCGATATGTCAATATTTTTACTAAGGGCAGGGTCCTGACAATAAAACTTACATCTCCTGGGTGCTAGGAAAAGCAATATGGCACAATCCACCCTGTAAACATGTTCCAGGTAGAAGACGGTCACACCATCTAGGTGATGGGCCCAGTGATATGTAACCATTTCTCATGTAAACAGATTCAAGGCAAAGAAGAGTCACATAACATAGGTGATGGGCCAAAGGATATCTCATGGTAACCCCTGTGGACTGGCCCAGGCAGAAAGGGAGAGTCACATCGCCTAGGTGATTGGCCCAGAGATATCTCACAATACCCCGGGAGGGCAGAGCCCAAGCAGGAAAGTCACATTATCTAGGCCCTCAACCTAAGTATAATTTACAATCTAAACCGCAGGTGCAGCCTAGGCAAAGAGAAAAATCAGTCAGATACTGAGTGAAGGTATATGTCACAATCACACCTGTGAAAGTGTCCAGAGATACAATTTACAATCTCTCACATGCCCAACTTCAGGATCAGAGTCAACACCTCCTGTGAGTTGCACCCAAAAGGCAAGTAACAACCTCAACAGTGGACTGGATCCGTGTTTGAGAGCCACAACTCCACCTGCAGACAGTGTTCCACTAAAAAAGTCAAAATATCACAGGGGTGCTGAATCTTGGTCCAAGAGGTGTATGGAATCCATATATGATGGTAACAATGCCAACTTTGACTGCCTCTAAGTGTGAGATTCAGAACCTTAACAGTGCACTGTGTTCATTTGGAAAGTGACCATAGTGTTGGCTGGTTGTGCATATGAGAGTAACAATTTCATCTGTGTTTTGTGCCCTTTTATAATGCTCTCTGTAGTACCTGAGGGCATTATAAGGTATGCACAAGAGTCACAATACTCTCTGAGATTTGCATGCTTGTGTGGACACATGATCTTACTGATTACTTTAAGCCCCGAGGGGAGAGTCAACATCTGTTCTATTTGCTGTGCCCAGGAATGAGATTTATCACTGTGCCTGTGAGAGGGGTCCAGAAATGAGTCACTATCCCACCTTTGTGCAGATCCATATATGACCGTCACAATATCAGCTTTGAACCGCACCCACAAGAGATTTAGGACCTCAGCAGTGATCACTGTCTGTGTGTGAGGGTGACAATCTTAATTTTTGACTAGATGTGTATATGAGATTAACAATCTTAACTCTGTGCTGGGCCCTGTTTAGACCTACTCTGCCTGTACCACCTGAGGGAATTATACCAGTTATACCATATGTTAGGGTTTCATAGTCCTCTGTGACCTCTGTACAGGTAGGAAAAGCAGGACCTTACCCATGGTCCTAAGTCTAGCTATGAGTCAATATCTGTCCGATTGGCTTGGTCTAAGCATGAGAGTCAACACCATGCTTGTAAGCTGGATCTAGAAATGACTCACCATGCAGCCTGAGGCCAGATCCACATATGACAGTCACAATTCCAACTCTGGACTGCATCCATGTGTGAGAATCAGAATCTCACCAGAGCGCTTTGTCCACGTGTGAAGGTGACAATTGCGATTGTTGGCTACATGTGTCTACAAGAGTCACAATCGCCCCTGTGTGCTAAGCCCTGTTTATCACTCTCTATACACCCCAAGGGCTTTATAAAATACATGTGAGTGTCATAATCTTTTGTGACCTTTTTATAATTACTAGACCAAGGCTTTTAGTTGTTGCCCTAAGCCTAGCTATTAAAGTCCAAATTTCTCCTATTGGCTGGGTCCATGTAAGAAAGACACCATCATGACTGTTGCCTGGGCCTAGATATAGGTCATAATCCCACCTGTGGGCAGAATCAGGGAGGAAAGTCACATCACCTGAATGCTGGACCAGGGAAATGTCAATATCCTTCCATGGGCAGGACCCATGCAGGAAAGTTGTATCACCTTTATTGCTAGGCTTAGTAATATGTCACAATGCCCACTTAGGAAGAACCCAGTCAAGAGCCATATCACCTTGGTGCTTAGCTTAGCAATATATCACAATCCTTTGTGTAGGCAAGGCCCATGCAGGAAAGGGGAGTCACAACACCTAGGTGCTGGGCCCAGTACTGTGTCACACTCCACCCTGTTAACAGGGCCCAGTCATGAGAGGAGAGTCATACCACCTAGATAACATGCCCAGATTATATGTCACAAATCTTACTGGAGAAAGGGATAGTCAGGAAAGTAGAGTCTCATCACCTAGGGGATGGTCTCAGAGATACCTTACAATGCCTCTTGTGGGCAGGGCCCAGGCAGGACAGTCACATCACCTAGGTGTTTGGGCCAGGTATGTCACAATCCCAACTGTTGCCTGAGCTCAGGCAAGACGGTAAAGTCAATCAGGTGCTGGGAAAAAATTATATGTCAGAGTCACACCTGCAGTAAGGTCCAGGGATGAGATTCCCAGTCCCACATATTTCCTGGCTCAAGGTATAAGAGAAAACACCTTTTGTGAATTGTATTTAAGTACACAAGTTACAATCTCAATTGTGGACAGAATTCATGCATAACAGCTCCAGCCTCACCTGCAAACACTATCTCATTAGGGCAGTCACAGCCTCACAGGTGTGCTGAGTTTTGGTATAAAATCATCATTCTACCTGTGAACTGCATCCATGTAACAGATTCAACTTACAATGGATGTGGGAGTGATACTCAGAACCTCAACAATGGGCTGTGTCCATATGGAATGATGACATTCCTCACTGTATGTTGTGTGTGCACAGAAGAATCACAATGTCACCTGTGTGATGGGCCTTTGTATTATACCCTCTGTTCTACTCAAGAGCTTTTTATTTTTTATTTTTTTAATGCATGAGAATGAAAACCTGCTCTGAGACCTTCATACTGGTATAAACTCATGATCCTACATATTGCCCCAAGTTCAGGTATGAGAGTCAACGTTTCTCTTATTTGTTGGGTCCAGATATAAGAGTCATCAGTATGCCAGTAAGCTGGGTCTAGAAATTTGTCACCATCCCACTTGTGGATGGGTCCATATATGACAGTCACAATTCCAACTGTGAACTGTTTTTGTGAGTGACATCCAGGACCTCATGAGCAGATTCACATTTAATAGTTACAATCCAAACTGTGGCCTGTGTACACATGAGTCACAGTCTCAATTTTGACAGGAGCCCTGTTTTGACACTTTTTGTACCACCTGAGGGCATACAATATGCATGAGTGTTGTAATTCTCTGAGACCTCTGTAAAAGTGGGAAATCCAGTACCTTATCCATTGCTCTAAGCCTAGATACAAAAGTCAACATCTCTTCTATTAACTGGGAGCAGGTATGAGAGTCATTGAGATGCCTATGAGCTGGGTCCAGAAACGAGTCACCTTCTGACCTATGGCCAGATCCACATATGACAGTCCCAAATTCAACTGTGGACTGTTTGCA
This sequence comes from Homo sapiens, assembly GCF_000001405.40. Taxonomy (NCBI): domain Eukaryota; kingdom Metazoa; phylum Chordata; class Mammalia; order Primates; family Hominidae; genus Homo; species Homo sapiens. The sequence continues at coordinate 64,286,297 of NC_000007.14, forward strand.
CATGTGAGATTCAGGACCTCACCAGTGGGCTTTGTCCATGTGTGACAATCCGAATTGTTGGATAGTGTGCCTCATATGAGAAGCACAATTTTACCTCTGTAATTAGCTCTGATATGACTCAAGTATTTTATAGAATATTTATGAGTGTCATAATCCTCTGTAATTGTGATACATTTAGGAGACCCAGAACCTTACTGATTGTTCTAAGCTCAGCCATGAGAGTCAGAATCTCTTCTATTGGCTGGGCTCTCATATGACAGTCATTATTATTCCTGTGATCCGTACCTAGGTATATGCCAGAATCCCACCTGTGGGCAGAACCAGGCAGGAGAGTCACATCATCTGAATACTGAGCCAGGGGTATATTAGTATCCCCCCCTGTGAGTTGAGTGCTGGTAGGAAATTCACATCACTATGGTGCTGGGACCAGTGATGTGTCAAAATGACCCCTGTGGGCAGAACCCTGGCTGAAGGTTTACATCACAGAAGTGCTGGTCTCAGCAATATGTCACAATCCCCTTGTGAACAGGGTCCAGGCAGGAGATGATAATCACTCCTCTGGAAATGAGACCAGAGGTATATCGCAATGCCACCTGCAAGAAGGGATTAGGCAGGAGGGTCACTGTACAGAGGCTATTGGCTTAGGCATATGTCACAATTCAAACTGTGGGCTTTATTCAGGCAGTATAGTCTAATCAGTCAAGTTCTGGCTGGGAAAAGTTATTATGTCACAATCACACCTGTGAGAAGGTCTAGGAATGGAATTTACATTCCTGAACATGTTCTGGGTCCAGGTATAAAAGTACACACCTCATGAACTTTTACAAACCTCATGTGTCCAAGAATGCAAATCACAATTTCTTTGCTTTTTTATTATTTATTTATTTTAATATTTTATTTTTTTTGGAGACAGAGTTGCACTCATGTTGCCCAGGGTGGAGTGCAGTGGCATGATCTCGGCTCACTGCAACCACTGCCTCCTGGGTTCAAGTGATTCTCCTGCCTCAGGCTCCTGAGCAGCTGGGATTACAGGTGTGTGCCACCACACCCAGATAATTTTTGCATTTTTAGTAGAGACGAGGTTTTGCCATGTTGGCCAGGCTGGTCTTGAACTTCTGACCTCAGGTGATCCACCTGCCTTGGCCTCCCAAAGTGCTGGGATTACAAGCATGAGCCACCATGCCCAGCTGCACATCACAATTTCAACAGCAACTTGAATCCACGCATGACAGCCAAACCTCAGACAGCACCTATTAGGAGAGTTAGAGCCTAACATAGGTGCTGAATCTTGGTCAGAGACTCATCGTCTCCCCTGAAGGCTGGATCCACATATAAGAGTAAAAATACCAACTTCTGACTGCCTTTGGGTGTGAGATTCAGAACCTCAACAGTGGGCTGTGTCTATGTGGGAGTGTGACATTCTTTACTGTTGGCAGTGTATGCATATGAGAGTCAAAATCTCAGCTGTGTACTGGACCTTGTTATACTACTCTTTGCGTCAAGTGTGGCTGTATATATGTGTAAGACTTGCAATGCACTCTGAAACATTTGTGCCTATATGAACCCATGATCTTACTCATTTCTCCAAGTCTAGGGATGAGATTCAACATCTCTTCTATTGACTGGTTTAGATATGAGACTCATTGCTATGCCTGTGGGCTAGGTCCAGCAATAAGTCACCACTTAACCTGTGGCCAGATCCACATATGACAGTCAAAATTCCAACTGTAAACTGTGTCTATTAGTGACATTCAGGACCTTAACTGTGGGCCCTGTCCATGTGTGAGATTGACAATTTTAACTGTTGGCTATGTGCTGGGCTCTGGAATGACATGTTCTGTACCACCAAAGGGCATTATAGAATATGCATAAGCTTCCTCATACTTTGTGATCTTACCAGAAGCTGGAGACTGAAGACATTATACATTGTCATAAATCCAGCTAGAAGAGTCAAAATCTTTTCTATTGGTTGCACCCATGTATGATAGTCATCATCATGCCTATGAACTGGACCCAGATATATGTCACAATACCACCTGCAAGCAGGGACTAGGAAGGAAAGCCACATCACCTGAATACTGAGCCTGAGTAGGTCAATGCCCCTTCTGTTGGAAGAGTCCTGGCAGGAAGGTGACATCATCTGGCTGCTGAGCCCACTCACATGTCACAATGCCCTCTGTGGGCAGGACCAAGGCAGGAGAGTCAAATGATCTGGGTGCTGGGTCCAGCAGTATGTCACAAATTACCCTGTGGACAGAGCCCAGGAAAAAGAGGAGACTCTCATGACTTAGGTGATGAGCACAGAGATATATCATGATGTTCTGTGAGAAAAGGGCTCAGAAAGAACAGTTGCATTACCCAGATGTTTGGCCCAGGTGTATGTCACAATCCCAGCTATATATAGGCACTGCTAAGACAGAAAAGCCATATCACCTGGATGCTTGGCCCACTGATTTGTCACAATCCCTTCTGTAGGCAAGATCCAGGCAAAACAGACAGTAACATCTGCTAGGTGCTGGGCCCAGTAATTTGTCTCAATTCCCCATGTAAGAAGGTCCAAGGCAAAAGAGGAGATTCATATCACCTAGGTGATAGGCCCACGGATATGTCCAAATTCCAAATGGGGGTGGGGCCCAGGCAGAAGAGGAGAGTCATGTCACCTAGGTGATGAACCCAGTAATACGTCATAATGCCCCTGTGGGCTGAGCCCAGGCAGGAGAGGAGAGTCACATTAGCTAGGTGATGGCTGCATAAGATATTTCTAAGTCACCTCTGAGAGACTGGCCCAGGCAGGAGAGTCCCATCACCTATGTGCTTGGCCTAGGTATATGTCACAATCCCACATTTAGTCTGAACCCATGCAGAAATGTAAAATCAGTTAGGTGCTGGGCAAAGGTATGAATCAAAATCACACCTGCAGAAAGGTCCAGGGATGAGATTAACAATATTGCATATGGCCTGGCTCCAAATATAAGAATTAGCAGCTCTTGTGAATTCTGTCCAAGTACCTGAGTCACAACCTCAACCGTGGACTAGATCTGTGTATGAGACCCCCAACCTCATCTGCAAATAGTATCCTGATAGGGGAGACACAGCCTCACAAGGGTGTTTGATCTTGATTCAGAAGTCATCATCTTACCTGTGATCTGGATCCATGTATAAGAATCACACATCCAACTTTCAATTGCCTCCAGCTGTGAGATTCAGAACCTCAACAATGGGCTGTGTCCATATGGAAGGGTAATAATCCTTACCATCAGCTGAGTGTGAAAACAAGAGTCACAATTTCATCTGTGTGCTGGGCCCTGTTATGAAATTCTCTATACCTCCTGAGAGCATTGTATAATATGTTTGCGTGTTGTAAGGCTCTTTGACTTTTGTACAAGTAAGAAACCCAGGACATTACCTGCTGCCCTAAGCCTAGTTACTGAAGTAAACATCTCTTCTATTGACTGGGTCTTGGTATTAGAGTCCTTACCATGCCTATGAGCTGGGACCAGAAATGAGTCACCATCCCACCTGTGGCCAGATTTACATGTAACAGTCACAATTCCAACTGTGGACTTAATCAACATGTGAGATTCAGGAGCTTACTAGTAGGCTCTGTCCACATATGAGAGTGACAATCCTAATCTTCTGCTGGGTGTGCCTATGAAAGTCACAATTTCACCTGTGTTCTAGTTTGTATTATGATGCTGTCTGTACCAGCCAAGGACTTCATAATATATGTGTGTGTGTAGGAACCTTCTGTAACCTTTCTACAAGTAGGCGATTCAGGACCTTATCATTTGCCCTAAACCTATCTATGAGAGTCAAAATCTCACCATTTGGCTGGTTCTACATCTGAGAGACATTATAATTTCTGTGTGCTGGGCCTAGGTAGCAGTCACAATTCTACCTGTGTGTGAAAAGAAGGCAAGAAAGTCATATCACTTGGGTGATGGGCCATTGGTATGTCACAATTCTTTCTGTTGACAGTCCATAAAAAGGAGTTACATCACCTGGGTGCTAGGCTCAGTGATAGGGCACAATGCCCTGTGTAGGCAGGCTACAGGCGGGAGAGTCACATTACCTGGGTGCTTGGCCCAGTGGCATTTTTTTTTTTTTTTTTTGAGACGGAGTTTGGCTCTGTCACCCAGGCTGGAGTGCAGTGACTCGATCTCGGCTCACTGCAAGCTCCACCTCCAGGATTCACACCATTCTCCTGCCTCAGCCTCCTGAGTAGCTGGGACCACAGGCGCCTGTCACCATGCCTGGCTAATTTTTTGCATTTTTAGTAGAGACAGGGTTTCACCATGTTAGCCAGGATGGTCTCAATCTCCCGACCTTGTGATCTGCCCACCTTGGTCTCCCAAAGTGCTGGGATTACAGGCATAAGCCACTGTGCCCCGCCCTGGCCCAATGGCATTATAATCCCTTATGTAGAAAGGGCACAGGTAGCAAAAAAGAGTCACATTACCTAGTTGCTTGGCTCAGCTATATGTCACAATTGTTTTAGTTAGCAGGGCACAGCCTATAGAGAGCCACATCACAAACTGGTGAGCTCAGTGACATGTCAAAATGCTTAATGGAGGCAGAACATAAGCAAGAAAGTAGAGTCAAATCACTTAAGTGATGGGCCCAGAGACATGTCACAATGTCCCCTATGGGCTGAGCCCAGGTCAGAGACTCACATCACCTAGGGGCCTGGTTCAGGTATATTTCATAATCTCAACTCCAATTGTTGGCTAGGCTTCCACAGGACAGAAAAATCAATCAGCTGCTGGGCAAAAGTATATGTTACACCTGCAGGAAGGCCTGTGAATAAGATTCATAATCCCACACATTTTCAGGGTTCAGGTATAAGAGTCAACACCTTCTGTGAGTTTTGTCCAAGTATGTGAGACAGAATCTCAATGGTGGACAGGATCCCTGAATGAGAGCCTCAACTCCATCTGTGAACAGTATCTCAGTAGGGTAGCCATATGCTCACAGTTGTGCTGAATCTTAGTTTGAGAGTCACCCTCCTAACTGTGGACCAGATCCACATAGAAGAGTCACAATGTCACCTTTCATCTTCCTTCAGATGTAAAATTCAGTGGGCTGTGTTTATGTGAGAGGGTGTAAGTTCTTACTGTTGGCTGGGTATACACACAAGGGTAACAATCTCACCTGTGTGCTAGGCCCTGTTATTACATTCTTTGTACCACAGAAAGCTTAATAGGGTATGTGTGAGAGTTTCGGCCTGCTCTGAAATTTTAGTGGTGGTATAATCCCATGATACTACCCATGGCCTTAATTAAGCCCAGGCACAAGAGTCGATACTTCTCTTATTGGCTGGATTCAAGCATGAAAGTTATCACCTTGCCTGTAAGCTGGGTTCAGAAATGAGTCACCATCTTATTTGTGGCTGGATCTACATATAATAGGTACAATTCCAACTGTAAACTGTGCCTACAAGTGAGATTCAGGATCTCACCATTGGTCTCTGTCCATGTGTGAGGGTGACAATCCTGTCAGCTGGGTGTGCATAGGAGAGGAATAATCTTATCTCTGTGTTGGGTCCAGTTATGACACTCTGTGTACAGCCTGAGGGCTTTATATGATATCTTTTAGTGTCATAGTCTTCTGTGTACTTTGTACAAGTAGGAGACTCTGGGCATACCCATTGTTCTAAGCTTATCTACAAGAGGCAAAATCTCTCTATTGTCTTAGTCCAGATATGAGCGTTATTACCTTACCTGTGTTTTGGGCCCAGATATATGTCACAATTTGAACTCTGGGCAGGAACCAGGAAGAAAAATCCCATCACCTAGGTGCTGAGTACAGCAATATGTTAAAATCCTCCTTACTACAGGGCTCGCCCTGGCAGGAGAGTCACATCGCCTAAGTGCTTGGCCCAGGTGTATGTAACAATCCCATCTGATGCGTGCTGGGCCCACACATGAGAGTCACATTACTCAGATGTTAGACAAAGGTATATGTCACAATCACACCTTCGGTAAAATCCAAACATGAGATTCACAATCCAGCACGTGTCTCAGCTCCAGGTATGAGAGTCAACATCTCCTGTGAGTTGGGTTCAAATACATGAGTCACAATCTTAACACTGAACTTTATTTGTGCATGAGAACCCCAATCACACCTGCACACTATGTCTTGGTAGAAAAACCACAGCCTATTAGGTGTGTTTAATCCTGGTATCAGAGTCACCATCCAACCTGTGGACTGCATTCATATACAAGGATCACGGTTCCAATTTTTGACTGTCTCCGGTTGTGAGATTCAGAACCTCCACAGTGTGCTGTGTTCACGTGGTAGACTGACAATCCTTCTGTCAGCTGGGTGTACATATGAGGGTCACAATCACAGCTGTGTGCTGGGCTCTGTTACAACACTCTCTGTACCACTGGAGAGCTTTATATGATATGCATGAAAGTTGCAATCAGCTCTGAGAACTTCATTCTGCTATGGACCCATAATCTTACCTGATTTTCTATTTTGAGGTACAAGAGTCAACATATTTTTTTGTTGGCTAGGTCCAGAGATGAGAGTCATCACCATGCCTGTGAGCTGAGTCCAAACATAGGTAACAATCCCACCTGTGAGCACTGACCAGGTAGGAGGGTCATATCACCTGGGAGCTGGGTCAGGAATATGTACCCATTGTTCTAAGCCTAGCTACGAGAGCCAAAATCTCTATTGTCTTGGCCCAGGTAGGAGAGTTATTACCTTAACCTGTGTTTTGGGCCCAGATATACATCACAATTTGAACTCTGGGCAGGAACCACGAAGAAAAATCACATTATCTAGGTGTCCCCTGTGGGAGAGGTCCCGGTAGGAGAGTAACAACTTCTTGGTGCTAAGCCAAGTGAAATGATTCAGTGCCCCCTGTGGGCAGGGTCCATACAGGAGGGTAGAGTCACATCGCCTAGATGCTGAGTTCAGCAACATGTAAAAATATCCCCTTAGGGCAGGGCTCATGCAGGAGTGTCACATCTTCCAGGTGTTTGGTCCAGGCATATGTCACAATCCCTCCTGAAGGCCACACTTGGGCACAAAAGGAGAATTACACCACCAAAGGGATGGGCCCAGAGATGTCACAGTGCCTCTGTGGGCAGGGCCCAGGTCACATCACATGGATACAGGGCCCAGGGATATTTACAATCCCCACTGGGCACGGCCCAGGGAAAATGTCATGAGCCACATCACCAGGTGCTGGGCCCAGTGATATATTACAATCCCCTCTGAGGACAGCATCAAGGCAAGAGTTACATCACCTAGGTGCCTGTGCCAGGTATATGTCACAATTCTATTTGTGGGATTAGCCCAGGCTAAAGTGGCAAATCACTCAGGTGCTAGGAAAAGGTATATGTCAAAATCACAACTGTGGGTGTGAACCAGAAAACATGTTACAACACCTGGTGCTGAAGCAGGGATATGTAAAAAGTATTTCTGTTGGCAGGGCCTAGGCAAAAAAATAACATCTCTTGGATGCTGGGCCCATTGATATGTCACAATTACTTTTGTGGGCTGGGCCTAGGTAAAAAAGGAGGGTCATGTGGCCTAAGGGACTGGGTCCAGGGATATGTCACAATTCTCCTCGTGGGACCCATTCAGGAGAGTCACAGCACTTGGGTGCTGAGCTTAGAAATATGTCATGCCAGGCGCCGTGGCTCATGCCTGTAATCCCAGCACTTTGAGGTGGGTGGATCATTTGAGGTCTGGAGTTTGAGACCAGCCTGACCAACATAGTAAAATCCTGACTCTACTAAAAACACAAAAAAATTAGCCAGGCATGGTGGTGCATGCCTGTAGTCACAGCAACTTAGGAGGCTGGGGCAGGAGAATCACTTGAACCTGGAAGACAGAGGTTGCAGTGAGCCGAAATCACACCACTGCACTCCAGCCTGGGTGACAGAGCAAGACTGTGTCTGGCGGGGAGAAAAAAGGAGTACGTCACAATGCCCTTTGTTGACAGGTCCCAGACAAAAGAGTCACATCACCTGATAGTTGGGGCCAGTGATATGTCACAATTATCCATGTGGGCAGGGCCCAGGAAGAAAAATGACAGTCACATCACCTGAGTGCTGAGCCCATTGATATGTCAGAAGTCTTGCTGTAGGCAGACCCTATGTAGAAGAGGAGAATCACATGTCTTAGGTGCTGGGTGCAGTGTAATGTCACTATCTTTCTGAGAGCAGGGCCCAGGCACATCAATTACACCTATTAGGTTCTTGGCCAAGTATACGGCACAATTTTATTTGTGAACTGGACCCAGTCTGGGGAGTCAAATCACCACATGTTGGGCAAAGGCATATGTCACAATAACACTGTGGAAAGGTCCAGTGATAAGTTCCATCATCCTGCCCATGTCTTGACTCCAGGTAAAAGATTCATCATTGTGCTTGTAATTTGGTCCCAGGTATATGGCACAATACAACCTGTGGGGAGGGAAAGGCCAGAAAAGACACATCACTTGGGTGCTGGTCCAGAGACATGTCACAATCCCCCTTGTAGGCAGGACCCTGGCAGAAGAGTCACATCACCTGGCTGCTGGGCCCAGTGATATATCAAAATCCCCCTTGTAGGCAGAGCTTAGGCAGGAAAGGAGACTCACTTCACCTAAGTAATTAGCCTAGACAGGTGTCACAGTGGCCCTCATGGGCATGGCCAAGGCAGGAGAGTGACATCACCTTGGTGCTGGGCTCAGCAATGGGTCACAATCTCTCCAGTGGGCAGGGACCAGGCAAGAAAGGGAATCCCATCCACCTAGGTGCTGGGCTAAGTGATATGTTCCAATGCTTCCTGTAGGAAGAACTCAGTCAGGAGAGTCACATTATGTGGGTGCAGTACCCAGCTAAATGTCACAATGCACTCTAAGCACAGAGCCAAGGCAGTAGAATGAAGTCACATCACCTACATAATGAACCCAGAAATAAGTCACAATGCTCTTTGTAGGCAGGTACCAGGCAGGGGAGTCACAGCACCTGGGTGGATGCTGGTCACAGTGAAATGTAAAAATGCCCTTGGCAGGCAGGGCCCAGGAAGGAGTTTCACGTTACTTAGGTGGGTGGCCCAGGTATATGTCACAATTTTATGTGTGGGCTGGGCCTAGGAAACAGTCAGATCACTCAGGTTCTGGGCAAAGGTATATTTCCCAATCACACACTTGGGAATGTACAGAAATGAGTTTCACAGTTTCACACGAGTCCTGGCTTCATGTATGAGAGGCAACCCCTCCTGTGAGTGGGGTTCAAGTAAAGGAGTTACAGTCTCAACAATGCACAAATCCATGCACAACAGCCCCAATCTCACCTGCAGATTGTGTTCTGATAGGGAACTCACAGCCTCACAGGTCTGCTGAATCATGGTTTGAGAGTCACCAAACCACCTGGAAACCAGATCCACATATGAGAGTAACAAATCCAACTTGCAACTGTGTTTATGTGTGAGATTAAGTGCCACATTCATAGGCTCTGTTTATGTGTAAGAATGAAGAGCCTGTAGGCTGGGTCTGCATATGAGAGTCACAATCTCAGCTGTTAGCTAGGCCCTGTTATCAACTCTCTGTATCACTGTAGGTCTTCCTATGATAGTCCTGAGTGTTGTAATGTTCTGTAAATTTTATACAAGTAAGAGACCCAGGACATTACCTGTGGCCCTAAGCCTGGCTACAAAAGTCAAAATATTTCCCACTGGCTGTGTCCAGGTAAGAGAGTCATCATTGTGCCTGTGATCTGGACCCAGGTATATGCCACAATTTCACCTGTGGGCAGGAACAAGGCAGGAGAGTCACATCACCAATGATATGTCACAATGCCCACTGTAGACAGCGCACAGGCAGGAGAGTCACATCATCTGAATTCTTGGTTCAGCAATACATCAAAATCCCTTCTGTAAGTAGGGCCCAGGCAGCAAGAAGAGTCACATTACCTAGGTGCTGAGCCTGGCAATATGTCACAATGCTCCCCGATAGCAGGGCCCAGGAAAGAGCAGAGTCATATTGCACAGCTGATTGGCCCAGAAATTTGTCACAATCTCCACTGAGGGCAGGGCACAGGAAGAAAAGGAGAGTCACATTAACTAGGTGATGGGCCCAGCCAAATGTCACAATCTTTCCTGTAAGCAGGGCCCAAGCAGGATACTAGAATCACATGACATAGGTTATGGGCCCAGTGATATGTCACAATCCCTACTGAGACTAGAGTCCTGGAATGAGAGAAAAATTACACCACTTCTTTGATGTGCCCAGAGATATGCCACAATGACCCCTTTGGGCTTGCCCATGCAGAACACAAGAGTCACATCATCTAGGTAATAAACCCAGAGTCACATCACAATTTTTCCTGAAGGCAGGGCCAAGGCAGGAGAGTCACATCACCTAGGTTCTTGGCCCAGCAATATGTCACAATCCCTTCTAAATGCACAAGCAGGAAAGAAGAGTCACATAACTTAGGTACTGGGCACAGAAATATGCCACAATCCCCAATGGAGGCCAAGACAAGGCAAGTCAGTAGAGTCACATCACATAGGTGATAAGTCCAAAGATATGTCACAATGTACCCTGTGGTAAGGCCCAGGCTGGAGAGTTACATCACCTAGGAACTTGGTCCAGGTATATGTCACAGTCCCAACAGTTGGCTGAGTTCAAACAAATTGTAAAATAAATTAAGTGCTGTGTGAACATATACGCCACAATCACACCTGCGGGAAGGACCAGGAATAAATTTCACAATTCTACATATTTCCCAGCTTTAGGTCTGAGAGTCAACACCTCTTGTGAGTTGCATCCAAATACACGAGACACAGTCTTAACATCGGACAGGATCCGTGCATGAGAGCTCCATCTCCACCTTCAAACAGAGTCCCCATAAGATAGGCACAGCCTCACCAGGGTGCTGAATCTTGGTCTCAGAGTCACTATCCTACCTGTTGACCAGATGCATGTATGTGAGTCAAACTTTCAACTTTTCATTGCCTCTGGGCACGAGATTCAGAACCTCAACAGTGAGCTGTGTCTATATGGGAGAGTGACTATCCTCATTGTTGGCTAGGTATGCATAGGAGATTCACAATTTCCTCTATGTTTTTGGCTCTGTTATGACACTCTTTGTACCATCTGAGATCTTCACACAACATGCTTGAGAGTGGAATTCTGCTCTGAGAACTTTATGTTTTTATGGATCCAAGATCTTACCCGTTACCCTAAGCCCAGGCAGAAGTCAACATAATTTCTCTTGTCTGGGTCCAGCTATGAGAGTCATCACCATGTTTGTGAGCTGGGTCCAGAAATGAGTCACAATCTTACCTGTGGTCAGATCTGCATATGACAGTCACAATTTCAACTGTGAACTGTGTCCACAAGGCAAAGTCAGGATGTCACTAGTGGGATCTGCCCACATGTGTGGGTGACAATTCTTACTGTCAGCTGGCTGTGGGTATGAGAATAAGTCTCAACTTTGTATTGGGCTGTGTTGACACTCTCTGTACCACCACAGGGCATTATACTGTATGTGATTTTATGTTGTATGTGTTGTGATTTTTTTTGTGACCTTTGTACAAGTAGAAAACCCAGAACCATCCCCATTTTCCCAAGCGTAACAATGAGAGTGAACGTCTCTTCTGTTAGCTTGGTTCAAGTGTAAGAGACAACACTGTGCCTGTGAGTTAGTCAAGAAATGACTTCCCTTTGACCTGTGGCCAAATCCACATACGACAGTCACGATTCCAACTGTGGTCTGCATCCATATGTGAGATTTATAACCTCACCAGTGGGCTGTGTCTAGGTTTAAGGGTGACAATCCCATTGTTGGCTGGGTGCACCTATGGGAGTCACAATCTCACCTGCGTGTTGGACCGTGTTATGACATAGCTTATACCACCCAAGGGCTTTGTAAAATATTTGTGTCATAATCTCCCATGACCTTTTATAAGAAAACCCAGAACCTTACCTGTGTCCCTAAGTCTAGCCAGAAGAGTAAAAAAATCTGTTGTTTTGGTTGAGTCTATGTATGAGGGTCATTATCATGTCCACTAACTGGGCCTGGGTATATGTAAAAATTTCACCTCTGGGTGTGGATCAGGCAAGAGTCACATCACCTGAATTCTGGGCCAGGAATATGTCAACATTCTTCTTGTGTGCAGTGCCATAGCAGGAAAGCCACATCGCCTGAGTGCTGGGCTTAGTGAGATGTTACAACGCCTTCTGTGGACATAAAATGATAGTCACGTCACTTATATATTGGGTCCAGAAATATGTCACAATTCCCACTGTTGGCATGGCCCAGGCAGAAGAGTCACATCATTTGGGTGCAGGATCCAGCGATATGTTACAATCCTTACTGGAAGCAGGACCCAGGCAGAAGGGAAGAATCGTGTCACCTAGGGGATGGGTCTAAAAATATATCACAATTTACCCTGTGGACAAGGTTCAGGCAGAAAAAGATGGTAACATAACCTAGGTGATAGATCTGGAGATATGTCCAAATTTCCCCTAAGAAAAGGGCCAAGACAGGAGAGTAATATTGCCAAGGTGTATGGCCCAAATATATGTCACTGTCTCATTTGTTGGTTTTATCCAGGCAAAATAATCAAATCTCACAAGCTGGGCAAAGCTATATGTCACAGTCACACCTGTAGGAATGTCCAGAGATTAGATTCACAATCTCACATTGGTCCCAACACCAGGTATGGGAGTAAACACTTGTGAGTTGGGTACAAGTTTGCAAGTCAGAATCTCAGTGGTGACCTGGATTCCTGCATGAGGGCCCCAAGACCCCTGCAGACTTTTTCCTGATAGAATAGTAACAGCCTCACACATGTGCTGAATATTTGAGAGCCATCATCTTTTTTTGTGGAACAGATTCACATATGAGAGTCACAGTTCCAACTTTTGACTGTCTCTGAGCAGAAGATTCAGAAGCTCAGCAGTGACTGAGCTGTGTCCATGTGGCAAAGTGACAATCCTGACTGTTGGCTGTGCCTATGAGAGTCACCATCCCACCTGTGTGCTGAGCCCTGTTATGACACTCTCTGTGCCACTCAGGAACTTTATAAAATATGCACGAGTGTTGTAATCTCTGATCTTTCTACAAGTAAAAGACCCAGTAAATTGCCTATTTCCATAGCCTATTTAGAAGAGTCAAAATATTTTCTACTGTCTTGGTCCAGGTAAGAGAATCATCATTATGCCTGTGAGTTGGGCTTATGTATATGTCACAATCTCACATATGGGCAGGGACCAGGCAGAAGTTCACATCACCTGAGTGCTAGGCAAGGAATATGCCAATATTTCCCATGTGAGCAGGGCCCAGCAGGAGAGTTAAATCAACTGGGATCTTGGCTCCATGATATGTAACAATTTCTTTTAGGCATAGCCTGGGCAGGAAAGGAGAGTCACATCACATAGGTGCTGGGCACAGCAATATGTCTCAATGTCCCCTTTAATTATGGCTTAGGCTGGGGAGCAGAGTCATGTCACCTAGTTTATGGGCTCAGTAATATGTCACAATCTTCAGTGGGGCTCGGCCCAACCGGCAGTGTAGAGTCACATCTCCTAGGTAATGAGCCCAGAGATCTGTCACAATGCCTTCTGTAAGCTGGGCCTAGAAAGATAGGGAAAGTCACATCACTAGGTGATTGGCCCAGAGATATGTAACAATTTCTCCTGAAGGCAGAGCCCAGGCAGGAACATCACATCACCTATGTAGCCCAAGTATATGTCACAATTTCAACTGTAGACTGGGCCCAGGCAAAAATGTAAAAGCAATCAGGTGCTAGGCAAAGGTATATGTCACAATCATACCTGAAGAAAGATCCAGAAATAAAATTTCTAATCCTGCACATGTCCCAGCTGGAGGTTTGTGAGTCAACACCTCCTGTGAGTTGAGTCTACACATGCAATTCACAATCTCAACAGTGGACAGGATCCATACATAAGAGCCTCAACTCCACCTGCGCACAGTGTCTTAGTAGGGCAGACACACCCTAGCAGGAGTGCTGAAGTTTTGTCCAAGAGCTGAGGCAGGAGAACTGCTTGAACCTGGAAGGCGAAGGTTGCAGCGGGCTGAGATCATGCCACTGCACTCCAGCCTGAGTGACAGAGCGAGACTCTGTCTCAAAAAAAAAAAAAAAAAAAAAAAAAAAAAGAGTTATAATTTTACCTGTCAATCAAATCCCCATATGAGAGTCACAATTCCAAATTTTGACTGCTACCAGGTGTGAGATTGAGAACCTCAAGAGTGGGCTGTATGCATGCATTGAGGGTGAAAATCTTAATGATTGGCTGGGTATGCCTAGGGGAGTCACAATTTCACATGTGCACTGGCCTGTGACAACATCTGTGTACCACCCAAGGTCTTTATAAAATATGCATGAGCGTCCTAATAGTCCGTGACCTCTCTATATGTAGAATACCCAGAAGCATACCTGTTGTAATAAGCCTAAGAGCAAAAATCTCTTATTGGCTGGGTCCACGTATGACAGTTATCATCATGCCTGTGAGCTGGACCTAGGTATATGTCACAATCCCATCAGTGGGCAGGAACCAGGTAGGTGAGTCACGTTACCTTGGTTCTGTGCCAGGGATATGTCACAATACCCACTGTAGGCAGAATGCAGGCAGGCGAGTGACATCATGTGGGTGCTTGGCCCAGTGATGTCTTAATCTTTTCTGTAGAAAAGGCCCAGGCAGGAAGAGAAACTCTTATTATCTACATGATGGGCCCAGTGATTGTCACAATCCCCCTTGTAATCAGGGCCCAGACAGGAGAGAAGAGTCATATTGCCTAGACAAAGGGCCTGGTGACATGTCACAATCTTCACTTGGGGCAGGACAAAAAGAGAAGGGTCACATTATCCATGTGATGGGCTCAGAAATATGTTACAATGTTGCTTGTAGACAGGTCCTAGGGAACAGAAGTCAGTCACATTCCTAAGTGATTAACCCAAAGGTATGTCACAATACCTCTTAAAGGCAGGACCCAAGAAATAGAGTCAAAGACTGGGTGTGGTGGCTCACGCCTGTAATCCCAGCACTTTCGGAGGCTGAGATGGGCAGATCGCTTAAGGTCAGGAGTTCGAGACCAGCCTGGCCAATATGGTAAAACCCTGTCTCTACTAAAAATACAAAAATTAGCCAGGCATGGTGGTGTGCACCTGTAATCCCAGCTACTCGAGAGGCTGAGGCAGGAGAATCGCTTGAACCCGGGAGGCGGAGGTTGCAGTGAGCTAAGGTCACGCCACTGAACTCTAGCCTGGGTGACAGAGCAAGACTGTCTCGGGAAAAAAAAAAAAAAAAGAATATATTACATGAGTCCCCTAGACCTAGAAGGTGCTGCTGAGGTTAACACTGCACAGGGCATGAGAGGCATATTAGTCTTCCATTGCTCTGTAACAGGTCACCAGAAAATTAGTGGCTAGGAACACACCCATTTATTAGCTCATGGTTCTGTAGAACTTATGGTTCAGAGTCCGGCAGGCTCCACTGGGCTCTCTGTTTTAGTTTTCAAAACGCTGAAGTCAGAGTAGCAAACAGTCTGGGCTCTCATCTAGAGGTGCTGGGAAGAACCCATTTCTAAACCCATTCTGGTTGTTGCCAATTTCCAATTCCTCATGGTTGTAGGACTGGGATCCTTGTTCCCTTGCTCGCTGCTAGCTAGGACCCACTCTCTGTAAGTAGATGTTTCCCCACATTTTTCTCAAATTGCCCCTCCATCTTCCAAGTCAGCAAAAGCACATCACATTTCCCTCCTACTTTGAATCTCTGACTTAGAGAAAGCTCTATGCTCTCAAAGGCCTGCATAGTTAGGCCAGGCCGACCTGGATAATCTTCCTATCTTGAAACATAACACAATCACGGGACTGAAATCCCATCATATTCAGAAGTTCCCGAGATTTGGACATCTTTGGGGAATTTTAGAAATTCTGTCTACTACAAGAGCTAGGACTCAAAAAAGAGGCTTGGAATCCTAACTGGCAGGTCTTTGACAGCAGCCAAAAATCCAAATGAGACTTCAGTGAGGGTAAAAGTGGGGTCTGAATTCTGATTACCCACCAGGAGGTTTGCCTTTGCACTGCTTGAGTGCACACATTTGTAAAAGGTCTCACACCCACTCCGTTATTTCTTTGATCTCCTAGGGCATTCTGATGGTCATAGTAATTTTGAAGGCCAGGCTCTTCCTTCCTCTGAATTGGGTCGGTGAACCTTCTTGCTGTCCCCATGAAGGGTCCCTGTTATGTTCCATGACAGCCCAGATCTGGAACTCAGTCCAAACAAGCCTGTAATCCCAGCAATTTGGGAGGCTGAAGCGGGTGGATCACCTGAGATCAGGAGCTGAAGACCAGCCTGGCCAACATGGCAAAACCCTGTCTCTAGAAAAAATACAAAAATTAGCCGGGCATGGTGGTACGTTCCTGTAGTCCCAGCTACTCAAGAGACTGAGGCAGGAGAATTGCTTAAACCCAGGAGGCGGAGGTTGCAGTGAGCCGAGGTCGCGCCATTGCACTCCAGCCTGCGCAACAAGAGGGATACTCCGTCAAAAAAAAAAAAAAAAAAAAAAAAAAAAAAAGAGTGTTTTACCATTTATTAGGAGGGCAAAAGTTTTATTTTCATCCATATTTGCGTTGTATTTTAATGCACAGCAGGAACTTATAAGAGAAAACCCAGAAAAGTAATTAGGGTAAGTCTGGGCGCTGTGGCTCATGCCTGTAATCCCAGCACTTTGGGAGGCTTAGGCGGGGGGATCACCTGAGGTCAGGGGTTTGAGACCAGTCTGGCCAACATGGTGAAACTCTGTCTCTATTAAAAATACAAAAAGTTGGCTGGGCATGATGACAGGCGCCTGTAATCCCAGCTACTCAGGTCGCTGAAGTAGGAGAATCTCCTGAACCCAGGAGGCAGAGGTTGCAATAAGCCAAGATTACACCATCGCACTCCAGCATGGGTGAAAAGAGCAGGACTCCATCTGTCTCAAAAAAAAAAAAAAAAAAAAGAATAGAATAATCACACCTGCAAAAAGTAAGTGGATTAGCTTTACATAACAAACTTTAAAGGTGAGGACTGGCCAGGCTCCGTCCCTCTCCAGCTCACTCAAAAAAACTAACAATTATCAAGGGTAAGAAATAGAAAAGGGAAGGCCCAGCTCCAGCTAGTTTCCACCCTCCCCATGAGGCTATTTTTTTGCCAGTTTTGTATCGACAAGAAGAAAATGGAGTGAGAATGAGATCTGTACCCTTCGGGACTCTGGCAGTGAGAAACAAAGTAGAATATGAGATATGCTTAAATATCCTAGAGAAAGATTTCTAGGTTAAGATTTGAAATGCTCCAAAAACTTGTGTGGTGTTAATGAAATGACTCAACCTCTGGGTGTCAGTTTCCTAACCTGTAAAATGGGGATCTATGCCTACTTCATCAAATTGTTGCCAGAGTTAAATTCTTTTTTTTGAGACAGAATCTCGCTCTGTCGCGCAGGCTGAAGTAAAGTGGCACAGGCGTGAGCCACCGCACCCAGCCTAAATTCACTAATATTTAAAAATGGTGGTTACTGCAAGTGTCCACATTATTAATAAAATAGTATCAGTGGCTGGGTGCAGTGGCTCATGCCTGTAATCCCAGCACTTTGGGAGGCCGAGGCAGACGGATCATCTGAGGTCAGGAGTTCGAGACCAGCCTGGCCAAAATGAGGAAACCCTGTCTCTACTAAAAATACAAAAATTAGCTGGGCATGGTAGTGGTGGGCACCTATGGTCTTAGGTACTCCAGGAGGCTGAGGTAGGAGAATCACTTGAACCCAGGAGGCAGAGGTTGCAGTGAGCCAAGATCCTGCCACTGCACTCCAGCCTGGGCAACAGAGCAAGACTCTGTGTCAAACAAAACAAAACAAAACAAAAAGGTATCAGACTTCAAAATATATAAAAGAGATAATATTGATGAGACCAAAGACACAATTCCCAGATTCATAAAGAGTCCAGCAATATCCGAATGAGAAGACTGACAAGTAAGTTGAATTCTTCACAGCTCCACTGGAGAGAATGAGCATGGGGGCTCTAGCAAGATAAGTACCTGGCCAATGTCCAGTCACTAGTCTAGTAAGGGTAGAATCCCTAAAGACCCTGGGAAATACAGTTAAACAACAGGCTAACAGGAAAAAAAGTGGAACAAACCACACAACCCAGCAGATACTACCAGGAATGGGAGAGCAGAGGAGGGTCAGAGCCACAAAATCTAACCAGAAGACACCAAATTGCAAGGAGCTCCTGCTCCGTGCACAGCAGCTGTGGCTGCATCAGGACCAATCTTCTCAGACAGCTGCCGTGAGATGGCTGACAGCACAGTGTCTTTGCAGCCACACACCAAACAGCAGTGCATCTAAACACAGGTCCCAAGACTCCTCTCCGTTAATCCTCATTTTAAAATGATGTGTAGGTTCACATTACAACATTCCCTTTCAACACTTGTGAGCAAGTGTAATCAGACACCCTTACCTAAAGAGGGAACAGGGAGTAGGGTGAGAATACTGAGGGATAGGGGAGGGATGCAAGCACTTTACCACACAGACTGTGACTAAGGGCCTTACTTTTAAAAAGAGCAGCACCCAGCTGGCGTGGTGGCTCACGCCTGTAACCCCAGCAGTTTGGGAGGCCAAGGAGGGTGGATCACCTGAGGTCAGTAGTTTGAGACCAGCCTGGCCAACATCATGAAGCCTTGTCTCTACTAAATATACAAAAATTAGCCAGGCGTGATGGCAAATGCCTGTAAAGCAAGCTACTTGGGAGGCTGAGGCAGGAAAATTGTGTGAACCCGGGAGGCGGAGTTTGCAGTGAGCCGAGATTGCACCACTTCACTCCAGCCTGGGTGACAGAATGAGACTCTGTCTCAAAGAAAAAAAAAAAAAAGACTAGAGCCCCAGTATTGTGCTGTCATCTCCCTATACTTCCTCATCTTGCCACCTGCATAGATGACACATGGTTTCTCTTCCTTTCTTTACAAAGGCAGTGACGAATCTAGGTGTAATTAATCCTGAAGTGGTAAATTCTTCACAAGTTTCGCAAGTACAGTAATAGATTTCCATGGTCACAATCATGTTTTCCCATTTTTTTTGATAGTGTACCACATTCAGAAATCACAAATGAAAAACTATTGGAATGTGTGACATGAATGAACTATCACTTCCCTGTAGATTAACACCCGGGTTATTACAGATTAGATATAAAAACAAGAAAGCTTGTACCAACTTTCTGAAAGTAACTTTCTTTTTTTTTTTTTTTTTTTTCTGAGATGGAGTCTTGCTCTGTCGCCCAGGCTGGAGTGCAGTGGTGCAACCTCAGATCACTGCAACCTCCACCTCCTGCCTCAGCCTCCCATGTAGCTGAGATTACAGGCACACACCACCATGCCCAGCTAATTTTTGTATTTTTAGTAGAGATGGGGTTTCACCATGTTGGCCAGGCTGGTCTCAAACTCCTGGCCTCAGGTGATCCACACGCCTTGGCCTCCCAAAGTGCTGGGATTACAGGTGTGAGCCACTGTGCCCCGCCAAAAGTAACTGTTTCTGAGTACTTAGTATTTTAGGGACATCAATTATTAAGAGGCTACATGGAAGCAGAAGTGCTCCTGGATGTTTCCACTATCTAGACAGAACATTTCAACAGATCAGTCCCAGCAAGTTCAGTTCCATCCCTGACTGCAGAAGGTCATGAGCTTTCCATCCAAAGCAGAGATGTTAAACCTCACAGGTTCAAATGCCTTCCAAATGATCTACACCTTGAAAGTTGCTCCCACAAAGCTGGAGTGCCATCTGTTCCAGAGAGAGCTGGTCACCATCTATGTCTTTGAGACACTGGCCAGTCAGGTCTAAGGTGAGATGAAGCCATGATCACATGTGTAAAATATCAAAACAATCATTACCTTTAGGTTGATTTTTGGAGGCCTAGCCCCTTAAATGGGTTGGTAAAAATGGCCCACCCAGACACATGCCTGGAAACACTGGGGCTTTCTCCTCTGCTTTTAGCAGATCCCGGGTAAGCCAATAATTACTCTCCCTCATGTCTCGACTTCTACTTCCACGAAAAAGGGGTCAGTGAGGTTGACATTTTCACCAAACCACAGCCCATGTTACCCACTGCAAAGCTCAAGTTGTTTACGGGCGGCCCAGGCAGCAAATTTCTCCCAAATGCTGCTGAACTGGCGCTCTGCCTGGAGTAAGCAGAGGCCGGTGGCACAATGTACAATGTCTCAGACAGCCATCAGGCCAGTTTCTGTAGTAGTTTAGGAAAGCAGGCGGCTCCATGGGCTGAAGGAGGCGCGATGCCATGGAAAAACCAGCGGATAAGGATAAAGAGAGGAAGAGCTGCTCAGCCGGAGGTAGGACCTGCCAGATTTGGGCAAAAGCCCAGATTTATCCCTTATATCTCTCTCCAAACTCACTCCCCATGGAGACAGGGCAGCAGGGGGTGAGCGGGCAGCACTGCTTTGCCAGGTCCACACCACCCTGCCCCTCCCACTGAGCCCGGTGCCTGCTGGAATTGTAGTCCTGCAGCCAGGCGACCAGAGAGCCGGGAGCCGTTAAGAGACTACAACGTCCCCGCACGCCCGGCGAGGTGCGCAGCGCCCTGCCTCTCTTTCTTCTTCTTTCTTCTTTCTTCTTCTTCTTCTTCTTCTTTTTTTTTTTTTTTGAGACAGAGTCTCCCTCTGTCGCCCAGGCTGGAGTGCAGTGGCGCGATCTCGGCTCACTGCAACCTCCGCCTCCGGGGTTCAAGACTGCCTCAGCCTCCCGAGTAGTTGGGACTACAGGCGCCCGCCACCACGCGCGGCTAATTTTTTGTATTTTTAGTAGAGACGGGGTTTCACCGTGTTAGCCAGGATAGTCTCGATCTCCTGACCTCGTGATCCGCCTGCCTCGGCTTCCCAAAGAGCTGGGATTACAGGCGAAAACCACCGCGCCCTGCCGCCCTGCCGCCCTGCCGCCCTGCCTCTCTTTCTAAAGCTATGCCCAAACCCCGAGCCCGGAGCATGCCGGGATTGTAGTCCTGCAGTCCTGCAACCTAGGGACTGCGAGAGGTTAAGAGACTACATCTCTCAGCATGTCTAGCTAGGCGCGCACCGCCGTGTCCCCAGGGCTTCGCACCGCCCCCAGACTTGCGCATGCTGGGATTGTAATACTGTCGCCTTGCCACCAACGGGCTACGAGCGGTTAAGAGACTACAGCTCCCAGGATGTACGGTGATGGCACCCGTTTGGACTCCGCCCCTCTGCGCGTCTAGAGCTGTTCTCCCGTGCGGAGGGGATCCTGGCTGTTCCCAAATCTCGCCTGCCTGCGAGGAGCCAGCGTGGCCCGGGCAGCTGATCTCAACCTGTGATTGTGACATCACCCCTACCTGAGGAAGCCTCTTCCAGCCTGCTCAAGGTTGCCGTAGTTAGGTTTACCCTCCCTTCCTTCCCTCACCCCGTCCTTTCCCTCATCCCTGCCCCTTCCTCTGTCCCACGCGGCTTTCAGACATGCATAGTGCAGCCCCTCAGTAAAGGTGCAGCTAATGGCCCGTGGGCCTAGCAGTTGTCAGGCCTTTTGGGAGCCCATGATGGGAGCTCCCTGGTAAGTGAAACCGTCAATTAACTGCCTAAAATGACAATACCCCGTCTCTGGTATCTTTGCACTTGCCTCTTCAAAGCCACCTTTTCCTTTCTCTCTCTCTGGACTGTCACAGATCCTCCTCTGTACCCCAAGAACACCCCATTGGATTTCCGGGCTGGCTGCTTGGCCTACACACCTGGGTCAGGCCTCTCGCAGGGATGCGCCTGCCACTGTAATAAAGAGGAGAAAACGTCACACGGGAAAGGCCTGACTCCTTCGTACAATCAGAATACTCAACTGCACAGAGAAGGGACCCCTTTAAGCCACTTTGGGAGCCACATCCACCACTCTGTGACTCCCACACAGGCTGGTTCCCAGGTATCAGGTGTCCTAGTGTTAACACGGGCCAAAAGGACAAAACAGGACCCTAGGTCCTTCCCAAAACATTAGGAAAGTTTGTGTACTGAGGTAATGTACAATGTCTTTTTGCCCTGAATAGGGCTCCCTTAAAAACTCTTTTAATAATCATTTTTAAATATATCTCTGGAACCACTTTTAGTAATTTGCTGAAGGAACATAAAAGTAATTACCTTAATTCATGTTTTTCTTTTAGTTTTTCAGATTAACTAAGTAATTCATATTGTACATTTCTGAAATTGAAGTACGCACAGCTTCAATTCTGTGCAGGGAGGATGCAGCAGGAGAGAATATCCTGGGCACATCTTTCTGGAGAATCACTTTTACTACAAGATTTGTAAGAAACAAATTTATTTCCAAGGTAAGAAATTAAAACTCTAAAACAAGGCTAGAAAGTCATCTGCCTTTAATAACCCTTAGTCATCTGTGCCTGATATGTGAGACTTTCTCCAAGATAAATCTCTCAAGGATAACCTATTTTCCATCATTATAATTAGTAAAAATTAGAAATTTTAGAAAGTCAATTGGAAGCCCTGTCCTGCCAGTTTCTTAAATCACAATGTGGCCTTTGTACGATTTTACTTGGATTTTCTTTTTGGAATCTGTTGACTGCTTGGATATAAAATGTGGGGTTTTGACAAATTTTTGCAAGTTTTCAGCTATTGTTACTTTTGCACCCCATTTAATTTTTCTGTCCCTTCACTCTTTCTAGGACACAATCTGCCCACAGATTGTAAGACTCTGTTCATTTTCTTCAAACTTTTTTTACTCTTTTTTTCAGATTGAATAATTTCAATTGTTCTGTCTTTTTCTAATCTATGAATCAACCTAAAAGTACTATTTAAAATTTCATTATCTTTCTATTTGGTTCTTTTTAATAATGTGCATTTCTCTGCTGAGATTCCACATGTATTCATTCATTATGAGAATTTTTTTTCTTCACCCCATGACTATAGTTTTAATAGCTGCTCTCAAATACTTGACTGCTGATAACAACATCTTGGACATTTTGGGGATAGCTTTTAATGCCTATGTTTTATCTTGTGTATGGATAACATTTTTGTGTTTCTTCTCATGTCTCTTAAATTTTAAAATTGTATTTTAAAAACTGTAAATAATACTTATAGAGACTCTGGATCCTGTTGTATTCCTTTGAAGAGTGTTGTTAGTTTTTGAAGAGGGAGTTAATTTGGCTGGATTCAAATTCAAATGCCTGTCTCCCTTTCCGTGGGCACAGCTAAAATTATCATTCGCTTCTTATCCCCACATATATCATATGTATGATATATAGATGTGTGTTTCTATATAATATATGACATTGTATCCAGATTTTACCATTATTTGTAAGAGTAGTGTTCAACAAGCTACTCCACTATTACTGAAAGCCAAAACCTCAATTTTATATTCTTTTTGGATTTTACATAAATGACATTATATAGTATGTATACTTTTACATATACTTTCTTTTGTACATCATATTTGTAATATTCATCAATCCTGCTGTAGATATGTAAGTACTGAGATTACAGGCATGAGCCAACGTGCTCAGCCTAAAATATTTTAGGAGGTTAAGGTGGGAGGATCACTTGTGGCTGGGAATTTTAGACCAGCCTGGGCAATAGAGTGAGACCCTCTCTCTACAAAAAAATTAAAAATTAGCCAGGCACGGTGGCATGTGTCTGCTATTCCAGCTACTCAGAAGACTGAGGCAGAAAGATCAGTTGAGCCCATAAGTTCAAGGCTACAGGAAGCAATGATTGCACTCCTGCACTCCCATCTGGGTAACAGAGCAAGACTCTGTCTCTTAAAAAATAATATAAAAATTTAAAATAATTTTATACATTATGTTAAAATACACATAAAATTAACTATTTTAACCATTTTAAAGGTTTCCATTGAGATGAATTAAGTACACTCATTATTTTGCTACCATCATTTCCATATATAAAAAGCATATTCCATTTTTTGAAACTGAAACTGTACCCATTAAACAACTCCTTATTCTCCCTGTAGCCCCTGGGAAACACTCTCCTACTTGGTGTTTTCTATGACTTTAACTACTCTTAAGTACCACATATGAGAAGAATCATATAGTAAAGAAATCATGAGGAAGAATGATAAAAAATGTATCACATGCTTATTAATTTTCAATAAAAACACCAACAGAGATCAGTAGTACCTGTTGATTATAAATAAACAGATAAATGAGAAAAAGGAATTGGCAGTGTGCATTGTATTTATGACAATGGGGCCTCAAGTACCATAGCAGTGAGTCCTCTGCCCCAGGCACAGGGCTGGTCAGTGGTGGAGCTGGAAGCCCAGTGTAGCTGTCTGACACCCGGATCCCATGCCTAACCCAAATGTCACTGAGCCCTAAGGCACTTCGCTCCTGCTGGTCCAGGCAGTGTCCCCTAAGATTCATCATGGCATGTTCTCCATGGCCTTAAGGAGTTGCTGGCCTACTGGGATAAGCGATCCAGCTGGCAGGACAGGTTGTAGCTACAAGTCATAGAGGCAGATGTGAGGTCTCTATGTAGGAGTCACACCCCTAGTCTCCTTCCCAGTGCCTGCCCAGCTGGAGTGCTGGGCCCCCGGGGTCACCATGCAGCAGGGCCTGACACTGACCAGGGAGCCATGGCCACAGGCTCTTGGCAGCTGGCCCAAAATAAATATTCTCCATAACCTCTGCCGATCTGCTGGACCCTCACCTCTCAGTCTCACTGAGCCACTCCGTTAACTGGAGGCAGACCCAAAATTGCTCCACAGGCTGAAGGTGATAATTGTCTACAGCCAGCTGAAGCAGCTGCATCTCCTGGAGAACTTTGATCTCCTGCAGCTAAAGGGGGGGACAAGTGGAAGATGCGGATAGGAGGGTCCAGGAGACAGGGGATTATGAGATTTCAGGGGACAGGCCTCGAAGGGACACCCAAAAGTGAGTAGTCATCCCCATCACCACCCGACAGCACAGGGTGTTGCCTCCATCCTGGACACATTTTCCAGTTATCTGGTGATGGGAAACCCTGCCAGAAAGGATTATATGGATGGGAGTGAGCCTGGGATGGGCAGGGCTGGAACCAGAATCCTGAGGCTTGGGAGAAGAGAATCAGGACTACACCCTTAGATCTCAGCACTTGGCAAACTTCCTCTCATGAGAGCGTCACGGCTGCCTCTGTGAGCTGAGGTATCAGGCCCCTCTTCCCTATGAATGTTGAAGATTCCACACCAGCCACCAGTCCCTGTTCCCTGAGTGATGAAGCTGCAGAGCTGTCTGCTTGCAAAGCCCAGTGAGGTTTTGCCTGAGCTGGACTCAGACTCTCCCTCAGATGGTGCCAATGGAAGGATAGTAAACTTAGGCCTCTCCAAGGGCAGGCAGCTCGTATGTGGCTGAGCACTTTTGTTTTTTGTTTTTTGGTTTTTTTTGAGATGGAGCCTCCTCTGTCACCCAGGCTGGAGTGCAGTGGCATGATCTTGGCTCACTGCAAACTCCGCCTCCCAGGTTCAAGCAATTCTCTGCCTCAGCCTCCTTAGTAGCTGGGATTACAGGTGCCCACAACCACGCCCAGCTAATTCTTGTATTTTTAGTAGAGACGGGGTTTTGCCATCTTGGCCAGGCTGGTCTTGAACTCCTGACCTGGTGATCCACCATCCTCAGCCTCCCAAAGTACTGGGATTACAGGTGTGAGCCACCGTGCCTGGCCTGGCTGAGCACTTTTTTAAATGGGAGCCCTCAGTTTTTATGTCTGTCATCAAAGAGAGTTGGGGTGGGAGGTCCCTGAGCCTCAGCTCCCATTGTCCCCTTTGAACCCCAGAACCTGCTGCAGACCCAAGTCCTGCTTTGTGCACATCCCCTGCCCCTGGTGGCCCTGGCAGTAATGCAGTATGAAGAGTGTGGGGAGGGGACCTAGTCAGGGTCCAAGGGGCCTTTCTGATGACCATTGGCTGACTTCTAGGGAAATGTAACACCCAGAAAGAAAAGGAAGGTGAGCAGCTGGGGCAACATTGGGAGAGAGTGGGGAGGTGAAAGTCAGCAACACCCTGTGCTATCAGGTGGTGATGGGGATGAGTATCCACTTTTGGGTGTCCATTCAAGGCCTGTCCCTGAAATCTCATAAGCCCCCATCTCCTGGACTCTCCTATCCACATCTTTTACTTGAAAAAGCCAAAGACACGCAGCTGCCTCTCTCCAACTCTCTCCCCTCTTCCTAGCTGGCCTCCAAAAACATGAAGCACTCCCTTATTAACTCTGTGGTGAGATTTTAACAAGTCACAATGTTATGTGGTCCCTAGCTCCACCGTTTCCCAAATCCACTCAGCCCAGCTCTTCCAGGCCTTTACTCTGATTTCTCTTATAGAGGCATTTCAGGGACTGTTGCCACAGGAGGGAAGGGCTGAGGGAGAAAGGCCCCTTGCTCTTTTGATGTGGAGGCCTCCAGCTGGGAGGGAGGAGCTCTTCCCTCTGAATCCCTGGAGCTCTTCCCCATCACAGGTACCTGCCTTTTTGCTGCTTTAGCCTCATCTGGGCTTTCTGTGGTTTCTTCTCTAGGGTGGCCAACTTGGGTGTCTTCCTCTGCCAGGGTCAAGGACAAGGTCAGTGATATTATGCTCCCTTCACCCAGTTATGCCCAGTTACATTGACCTGGTACCCTGGATAACTGGTGTGAGTCAAGCTGGTCCAGTGCTCCTGCCACCTCCAGTAAACTCTGATTCTAGATTCACTCCCTGCTGCAACACTCACTGTGTGTGGAACCTTGGGCATGCAGCCAGGCCTCCCTGAGACTGTTTCTCAACTTGAAAGTGTGATGGGAACCACACCTACCTCACTGGGCCTCGTGAGGACTCAGTTATATGTAGCCGTCACCATTGTTCTCATCATCATCTCTCTCAGGAAGAGCCAGGCACAAGCACTCTCAAATTTTTCTCCTTTGAAGCTCCTCATTACCCTGTGAGGCTCATCATCCCTACATTTTTTAGATAAGAAAACAGAGGCCCAAAGAGGGCAGTGACTTGCCCAGGGCTCTACAGAAGAGGCCGGCTCCTCCCCACACCTGGAGGCCCTGACCTAGCTGACTTTACCCCACAGCCCAGCACTATCCCTGACTAGGGTCCCATCTTGGTTCTCCATGCTTGTTTAGGTCCTCAGGCAGGCTCAGCTTTGGTGGGAAAGAGACAGGGTGTTTTGGGAGGCCTGGGCGAGTGGCACCTCTAACCAATCTGCTAGGCCCTCACCTCTCAGTCTCACTGAGACACTCCATTAATTGGAAGCAGACCCAAAATTGCTTCACAGACTGAAGGTGATAATTGTCTACAGCCAGCTGAAGCAGCTGCATCTCCTGGAGGACTTTGATCTCCTGCAGCTAAAGGGAAAGACAGGATGCTGAGACAGGGCCTGCAGCATACACATAACTATAATTCAGAATGTAATATATACACACACACGAAAATATAATCAGAAAGTGATATAATCTTATATGCAAGGTTAAATACAAATGTCTCTCAGGCAGGGCCAGGCCCCCAGCACAGGGAGGACTCGCCTGAAAACGCTGCAGGCAAAAACCTGTCACCCTTGCCTCATTCAGCCCAGTGTCTGATTACATCTTCTGTCACTTAGGATTGAAACGGGTGGGGCCTGGAGCCCTAGCCAATCAGTGGCGCCAGCGTGAAACTGTCCAATCAAGTGCGCAGCTACAGAGGAAGAGGCGGCCTCTTCAATATGGCGGGGCCTTTGTCTCCTAGCTTCCGGGCTCTGATCCTAGTTCGCGTCTCCACTGTTCCATCTCCTCCGTTCCTGGAGTTCCTCGGTGACTCTACTATAGCTTCTGTTATCCTGTGACCTGCAGGTACTGGGAGATCCATAGGGAGGACGGCGGAACATCTGGAGGCTGGGAAATGGTGAGTGCGTGGAGTGGGTGTCCCGAGAATGGGGAAGAGGCTGTTTGAATCCGGCCGGAACCGGCTGCGGTGGTATCTGGGCCTTCTCGCGGTCTGCTCTGGAGTCTGCATCCCCGAGTCCCCGCGGGCACAGCTCAATCCTCATTTCCCTCCATCGCAGATTAGGGGCTGAGCCAGCAGCCAAAACGCTACGTCTTGTTTTGTCCCTAAACTCGAATTTCTCCCCAGCTCAGATCCCTTCCTGGGCAGCTCTGTGCCGCAACCTCGAGTCTCCCTCCTCCAGATTGTGTGGGGGTGTTGGGAGTGTCATAAGACGGGAATTCTCATTTAGGGTCTGGAGTTCCTCCGTGGAAGAAGCAGTGGGCCGTGGGGTCCCTAGTCCCTCCTTTCTCCTTTTAAAAATAAAATCATGGCCCTTTTTTAAATTTATTTATTTTTGAGACAGTGTCTCACTCTGTTGCCCAGGCTAAAGTGCATTTCGGTTCACTGCAGCCTCCACCTACTGGGCTCAGATGATCCTCTCACCCCAGCCCCCCAAGTAGCTAGGACTAGAGGGGTGCGCCACCACGCCTATTTTGTTTTGTTTGTTTTTGTAGAGACAGGCTTTTGCCATGTTGCTCAGGCTGGTCTCGAACTCCCCGAGCTCAGGTCTCAGGTGATCCGCCCGCCTCGGGCCTCCTAAAGTGCCGGGATTACGTGCATGACCCACCACCCTAGCCTAAATTGAGGCAACTTTAGGATATAATTTGGATGTGTTTTCCAGCCCAAATCTCCTATTTAAATGTAATCCCCCATGTTGGAGGTGGGGCCTGGTGGAAGGATTGTGGGCCCGGATTTCTCACGAATAGTTTAGCACCATTCCTCTTGGTATTGTCCTCTCAATAGTGAGTGAGTTCCCTGAAGTTCATCATTTAGAAGTGTACAGCACCCCACCTTGCCTCTTTTTCAAGCTCTTGCTTCACCTTCATCCATGATTTTAAGCTTTCTGGGTGGGGCCTCCCCAGAAGCAGACGCTGGTGTTATGCTTTCTATGCAGCCTGTGGAACCATGAGCCAATTAATCCTCTTATAAATTACCCAGTCTGAGGTATTTATAGTAATGCCAGAAGCGATTAATACAAATAGTTTACTTGCACAAACAGTAATTTATCAATCAGAGAACACCCAGCTATGATTTGTTGTTTGGGGGCTCAAAGGAGGGTCTTGGAACAAAAGGTTGTTTTTTTTTTTTAAGAGGTATGAGGAAGCAAACCAGATTCAATATTTGATTGGTTACAGTTACGTATTGCATTTGCAGCCCTCCGGTGGAAATGTCCTGGTTATGTAATTAGAGCTTTTTATTGGCAGCTTGTGGTTGGTTAAGCCTAAGTTGTTTTGTTGTTGTTGTTGTTGTTTCTCAAAGTTAATAATTTACCAGAAATTCCTTCGACGTAGTTAGGTTTCCTTAGGCAGAATCCCAGGGCACCATGGCCACTTCAGCCTAATTGCTAGCTATTTAATTATTTTAATGCTCCACAGGGTCGTTGGTTTTCTCTGCATTTTTCAAATGTTTGGCAAGCAGGGTCTCAAATCTAAAACTGTTCTCCCAGCCTAACTGTTCTAGGGACTGTATAAAATTCTAAATTTCCAATTTCTTTCCCACATTCCCAAATGCCAACTATCCCTCTCCAAATCACATTATGAACTATCAGTTCTTTATTTAATTTTAAAACGGATGTGGCATTTTGTTTATTTTTGTTTAACAGAGCCGTGGGTGGCTCTTTTTAATATATTAGTCTGTTTGTGCATATTTCACAGGACAGAAAAGCAAAGAGTAGTCACCTGACACTGCGCATCTCCTCTCATCTTCTCTAGGCACGCGCGCCTTCCCAGAATGTCTTTGGATCCTTTGCAGGGTGATGTGTCCTCAGTCACTCTCCTGTGTTTTCCTGGTCCAAGTATTACAGCTTTCTGGGGATGATCCAAGATACCCACAAGGACCATATCTCTTGGAGTGTCTAGCAAACATTAGCCCCTGGGTCATCTCCTTTCAGAGAAGAGCCTGAGGCATTGGGTGGAGCCTCTCAGGGGAGCAGCTGGATGCCCTCGTGCTGAGAGCAGTTTCCTGATTCACCCTTCCTCTAAAAAGCTAACTGCTTTAACATTAAGATTTTTTTCCCCTCAATCCTAGTTTTCATTTCTTGCAGACACATTGGTGGTCAACCAATCAGGTGCTGATATTGAGGGGAAAAGGCACAAATGCATCTTGCCCTCTGGTTTCTCTCAGGCTTGTGAAGGAGAATAACTGTCCCAAAGTACAGGAAAGATCCACTCTAGTGAGGGAGTGTATAAATTTGCAAAGCAAAATACACATCTGCCACACAGGGGGCAAGTGCAGTATCTTTTGGGAGAGTGATGATCAAGTACTTTAGTGAGCAGAATGGGGGTGGGAGAATCTCTCAAGTGATTGACACATGAGTCTAAAACATTTGTGTTCCAGTCAGCACTACTTCTCCCTGTGTTTGTCACCTTCAATATATATGTTCAGTTATTTCAACTTCAGTTTTTCATTAATTGTATAATGGATTTTATCATTAGAGCTTGAAAGATTAAAAAAAAAATTTTCTAAAAGAAAAGAGGTAGATTTTAGAAAAAAATAGTTTATATTCCATTGGTTGAAAATTCTCATTTACCTTTTATATTTCCCACAGTGAGTGTAGTAAGATTCCGCGTCTGTTCTATTTAGCATGATTTCAAACAGAATCCCAGGGCTTAGCTTTGGGAATGCTACCTGGGAAAAGACAGAGGAAATGTCTCTCTCATGATGCCTGCAGAAAAATAAATACATTTCTACAAGAAAGTGTGGTAGATTAACACGTAAATTACAAAACATTCATGAAAACATCAGTTTCTCTCTTGTGCAGGGTGGAGAATTTGTGACAGTGGCCAACTCATTTTTTTAAAAAATTTCTACTTTGTAGGAAGTATTTATGTGTACACAATAAAAAGATATTTCCCACCATACATACATATCTTTGCTCAGGTAATATATGTAACCTAAAGCAATATGATTGTCTAGTATAATCGTAGCCAGTGAATCAGTAGCTTTTTTTTGAGCTGCAATGGATGTAACAGTTTTATCAGTAATTTTTTCTAAGCTTATAAAAATATTTTTAATCATGTGTTCATGGGAGGTGACACCTCACCAAGGCAAAAACATTTTTTTCCAATAAAATGAATGAAGCTGTTTTTTGAAAGCCAGGCAGATAATTAGCAGATTTTTTTCAAATAGAATCTTAATCTAAAACAGATTGGTGGCCATGCCTGTGGAAAAGTTAGAGAGAATTTGTCCAGTACTGGGTTTTTTCAGAGCTATGTAGAGAGAGCAGTGACCAGATATTTTAAAAGACATTACCCTTCAATTTAGTGGCACAGGTACTGGCCAAGAAAATCTAATATGGTTCCTTCCAACAAATTTGGAGTAAATCTTCTTCATAAAAGTAGAAAATCAAATTTTATTTTTATATTATTAATATTAAAGCTAACCTTAGGAAAGCATTATAAACAGATGTATTCAATCTCAATCAGCTTTGACCATACAAGATTTCTGTAAACCTTTTATAACCCCTTAAAATTTTATTTTTCTCTTTCTCCAGCTTTCTATATCCATTAAGTTTACCTCATTTTCTTTATCTTTTTTCTCTCAATTTTATGTATTTTTTAAATAACCTCTAAACTCAGCAAAATTGCCGTTTCTTTAAGAAAAACCACATTCTCACATCTGTTTCTAAAATATTTTTTTTTCATCAAGAAACACATTTTCTTTGTACTGTGTATGTAAAGTTGTTTCTCTCCTTAACAATAGTTTTAGTTACGAATCTTGGGCAGAATTTTAATTTTTAATAATCTTAATTTATAGTGAAAGCCTGAGAAGTAAGCAATTTTAACTATTAGTCATGAACTAAAATTTTATAAAGATATATTTTCTAATTTTTAGAAACATAGGATTTTAAATGGAAACATTTTTAATGTGGAATAGGGCATACTAACAGATCTAAATATCTTTGGTTTCTGTGAAGAAACCAAAAATATTTAGCTTAAACTTGTATTTAAAAATTAATATCTTAGCATTTTGTCTTACTTGGAGATAATTTAGATGTTTAATGAATAGCCATCATTTAATGTAGCTTAGCAACAGTCTACGAGTGTAGTTTCCATAAAGATTTGAGAAACTATTTAAATTAAACACATTACAAAACAATCAGTATTGTAAGTTTATAAACTTTTGTCCCATTTACATGCTTTATTTATTTATTCTTAACAATTATTTTTGTAAAATCTCATGAAACAGACTAATATACTCATCTAAAGTTAAACTTCCTATTATCCATTTTTATATTACCATGTTGGGCAAGTATCATAAAAGCAATAAAGTTAAATATATACATATTTTGCTGAGAAGTCAAAAGACTTTTTTAAAATTAAACTAACAATATTAAACTAGTCATGTTTACCAAAAGATTTACTCAATTCACATATTCTTAAAAATATTGGGCTTATTTTTTTAATTCATGACCAGTTATCTTTAAGTTAATTCAGTACCATGTAGATAATACACAAAGACATTTATAGACATATATATACATGTAGACACAACATATAACTTACTCATGTTTGTATCTAAAAGCCCTAGAGAGGGAGTTCATTGTAAAAGGGAGTAGAGCTTCAGACCTGAAAAGAAACTGTTTACCCACAACTCTGGGGGCTTCATGAGGAAAAACAGAGGTACCCTGCCAAAAAGGAGAAGCCTGTGGCACTTTATCTGTGCTCTTCAAGGGGTCTCAGGCTGCTAGAAGTTTCCTTTAGTTGTCCTCTATAGTGACAAAAGGTTTTAAGTGGAACATGAGACAGATAGAAGTAAATGGAAGAATTAATTCCAGAGGAGACAGTTTGAGAAGACTTTGTTTTCCAAAGAGCCAGTAAAGTTTTACATTATCCTTGCAAAAATCATGTCGGCAAGAGAAGAAACGGACACATAGAGATGCTAGTCTAGGGAGAGAGAAATTCAGTTAACTAAAGACCTTATATGGGAAAACCATAGGCCTCAAATACGTATGTATATGTATGTGTGTGTGTGTATATATAAAATATGTGTATGTATGTATGTGTGTGTGTGTATATGTATGTGTGTGTGTGTATGTGTATATATATATATATATATATATATATATATATATATATATATATATGCCTGACTAAGCCTGACTGTCAATTCTAAATAAATGGACTTTTGACTGTAGAGCTTTTAAATTTTTTAAAATTAGATTTTACCCAGGTAAATAGAAAACATTTCTTCCCTTTTTTTTTTTTTTTTTTTTTTTTGAGACAGAGTCTTGCTCTGTTGCCCAGACTGGAGTGCAGTCGAGCGGTCTTGGCTCACTGCAACCTCTGCCTCCTGGATTCAAGCAATTTTCCTGCCTCAGCCTCCCAAGTAGCTGGGATTACAGGTGCCTGCCACCACGCCTGGCTAATTTTTTGTATTTTTAGTAGAGACAGGGTTTCACCATGTTGGCCAGGCTGGTCTCGAACTCCTGACCTCGTGATCTGCCTGCCTCGGCCTCCCAAGTGCTGGGATTGCAGGTGTGAGCCACTACGCTCAGACAAAAACATTTCTTTACTTGTCTTTTTCTTTCTAAAATTTATCTTTTTCTTTCTAAAATTTACATCAAGAAGGAATTTTGGAGATGGGGCATTTTTGTTTACTGGAGGCCTAGGGTAATCACTATTCAAAGCTGTTTCTCTTTGAAATTTTTCAGTAAATAGTTTTCTTTTTTCCAAACCACAGTATATGGTTTTATTTAGTTCCAGAGAGAAGACTAAACAAACAAAACAACAAAAGTTTCTATTACACTCTAAATATAAACTGAAATTTTAAATTAAAGGGATACCTGAACTAGTGACTAAAAACCAACACAAACATTCATGAGGCCAAATCCAAGAAATCCTGTATGACTTTAAAACTTCAGAGAAATAACAAAAAAATTGTAGCTCTTCTGTAATCAAAACTTCTCCTAAGAACAGCTTACTGCAAGTGGGTTGCAATCTATATTTTCAGGCCACATTTTTTAGTATCTCAGCTTCTCAGTTTACCATCTACCCACAAAGGCCAGACACAAGATTTTAAGAAATGGTTGGTAAAACAGGAGAATGAAAGCTGTCTATGGGAGTAGACAAGTTTACAAATGTGGACTCCAGAAGGTCAAGAGCAAAAATCAAATAATAAAAACAAATACATTAGTAATTAATTATTATGTATGTAATGTTTTTTTGCCTAAGCTAGAGATAATTCATTGAGAAATAAAATTTTGAGGTTTGGTCTAAAAAAACTTCAATTTTTTTTTCTCCAATTTGATCTCAGCTAGAATGCTGTTTTGCTAATTCTCTGGATGTTAACATTTCAAATACATGGTAAGATTTACATCTCCGAGAGACTGAGAAAAGACTGGAAAAAGTTAAAGTATGTATTGTAAATCCTGCAGCAATCAAACAGGCATTTTGAACATTTAAAAGGTTTTTTTTTGAGGAAGTGAAAGAGCCCTCTTAAAATGTACTTTGAAATCTCTTATTAGAATGTAGCCAGGCAAAACAGAAAGAAGGCCTTTCATTAAATTTCATTCTAAAACCTGCCGTTTCCAATTGTGCATGGAAATATATTAATTTAGAAATGTCATAAGACCTTCATTTTTGTCATTGCATTTTGGGGTCATCTGAAGTCATGTCGGTACATTTACCCAGGCATTTGCAAGATGAAGCTCCATAGGTATTATACATAAGTTCAGCTTATGTTTCTAAGGCATGTTACCTAGAAGGAAAAGAATGGTTTTGATGATCAGTTTTCCATAATTTAGAAACTTTTCAAAGGTGATCATGGCCAGAGCAGTGTACCAGGTCTAAGTGTGCTGTGTATGAGCATCACTCCTCAAGGTGTCACCCAAGAGTTGCTGATTATAGTGCTGGGTGAGCAATGCTTATGTTTACTTCCAGCTTAGTTAAAAGTCTCTGCAGGTGTTTTTCTTTTGGGAGGACCCTGTGAGACTGGTACAAAGCATTGAAAATCATCCTAACACCTCTACAAAGTCTCTAGTTGCCTAGAGCACCCAAATGAGTCAGTTAAAGAAATTGCCTTTTATCTTTGGGATGAGAGAATTCACTCCCATGCACCTTTTGCTTTGAAGGTCCCAAAAAGTCAAGTTCAAATTAGAAGCAATAGAAAACAGCTGTGTTTTTTAAAGCATGTTACCTAATTTTAGAACAAAAGAAGTAAAACCACCAGGGCTAGACTGCCAGTATTATGACCCAGATTTTCTGTCTTGAGACAGTAGCAGAGAAAGCAGTTAAAAATATTGAAATTAAAATCTCCTGACTTTAGCCAAAAATGGAAATATTTTTTCTAGAAAGTGAGGGTTGAAAAGAACAGCTCAAGCAAAGTCTTGACCTCATGAAATAGTAGGGAGATCTGAATTCAGGAGGACTCACCCCTTACACTCAACAATGTACTGGGAGCTGGAAGAATACAAGGGGTTCTCATTGACTAGTTTCTGAGTTCAAGAGGGATGTTGGATGGTTGGGGGTGTCCCTCTGAATCCTGCTCACAGCACCAGAAATATCAATCCAAAGGAAGAAGCAGGGGCAAAAAAATAAAATTTTAAAGAATTTACTTCAGCCAAGGTGAGGACAGCTGCCTGGAAGACTCAGATGCATGTTACCTAAGATATGAACTTTGGCCTTTTTAATACGGTTTATAAAGTAAGAAGCAGAATAAGTAGTCAGCCATTGTCAGGAATTCTCGTTAGTTTGCAGAAATAACATTGATTAGTGATAAGCTGTATGTTGTTGAACTACAGTCTGAATTTAGCAATGAAATAGCTGGATCATATAATTCTATGTTCTAAACATAGAAGAAGGTACATTTTATGGTTTTTTTTTTCCAAGAAATGTCCACATTGTTTTTTATAGTGGCTACACCATTTTACATTTGCACCAGGAGTTAAAAATCATTCTAATTTCTCCCTCTTCTTTTTACCGCTTGTTCTTTTAGGGATTATGCTGTTGTTTTTCATATAATAGCCATTCTCATGTGTGTGAAGTGGTATCTCAATATGATAGAACATCAATTTTTATATTTATTTTATAAAGTTTTATTTTTTATGCTGCCACTATGCTAAATCTTGGTATTTGTCAAATCTCTTGAGTTTCTAGGTATAGTATATCATCTACAAATAGAAATTATGTTTTTATTTTTTTCCTTTGGGAATCATGTTTGATAATGCTATGTACAATATGCCAAGCACTGTTCTAAGAAGTGTTAAGATAGTAACATCAAAATACATTGTGAGCAGGAGTGAAGATACAGACATTTCTAAAATTACGGCTGAGAATGTGACAAAAGACATCTAATAGAGAAGAAAGTTCGCTTTAAAAAGGACCTGAAACTTATTCTCACAATTAAAAAGTCAACTTTTATAAGTTACACAGCCTCTTTGTGTCTCACAGCTCTTATTTGTGAAACAGATAATAATAACAGATTATTTATCGTTGAGTATATTAAGAGACAGAAGTAATATCCTGACTTGAAAATTAAAATATTTATTAGTGTAATTAACTGAGATAACAGTAATAAGAATATGTCAATTATTGGAACAGATTAGATAATAGTTTAATAGGACCATCAACATTTTAATTCTATAAAAAATGTATGTCTTTCTGTTTACTCTTTACAAAACTACTTAGTCACTCTCTATTACTTAATTACTAAAGCCTCCTAATTCTTAGTAAGGCCTTTCTAGGGCCACCTAAACTTACAGTCTTTAACCACACTGTTTATGGATTCCCTTCTTTAGCGCCTTCTTTTTTTCCTTATCTTGCCTGGTGCAAACCACAGTTTTGCTCTGCTTTTCTGTCTTATGTGTTTGTATAAAGACATCTGCCTTTATGTAAATTCTAACCAATTACAGCTGTGACATTTTCCTCGAAACATGTAAATTCTGTGAGTTCTTTTTTATTTGAAATCTCTTGTATCTTTACCATATTATGGGCACTCATTTGAAGTAATAAATATTTTTTAAAAATACCGGATAAGAAATTTTGAAACACAGTCAACAAATATTCATAACAAATATTAAACTACAGTTGCTTATTGAGCATGAAACACTTGTGATTACATTTCAATAGGTTCTGTGCTCTCAAAGTATGTTTTAAAAATTTATTTTTTTCAATTAAACTTAAGCAGTATATTGTTTTTAAAAGTAAAACAAAAAAAAATACTATTCACAATAGCAAAGACATGGAATTAACCCACATTGCTTTCAACAGTAGACTGGATAAAGAAAATGTGGTAGGTATATACCATGGAATACTATGCAGGCATAAGAAGGAAAAAGATCATGTCCTTGACAGGGACATGGATGGAGCTGGAAGCCGCTATTCTCAGCAAACTTAACACAGGAACAGAAACCCAAACGCTGCATGCTCTCATACTAATAAGTGGAAGCTGAATGATGAGATACATGGACACCTTGGGGGAACAACACACCCTGGGGCCTGTCAGGGGGCGGGGAAAGCATCAGGAAGAACAGCTAATGGGTGCTGAGCTTAATACATGGGTGATGGGTTGATCTGTGCAGCAAAGTACCATGACACACATTTACCTGTGTAACAAACCTGCACATCCTGCATATGTACCCCGGAACTTAAAAGTTGATTTTTTTAAAAAAGTAAAAAAATAAATACCTAAAAGCAGGGGGTATTTGTGGTACAAAAATTCATAGTAAACACATACCAACTATTTGAAAACATAATCTTATCTCTTAATGCAGTTATATTCTGCTTTATTACTTACATATTATAAAATATGGATTCATGGCATAATTGTCAAAGGCTTCCATCTATTCCTACCACATATCCATTTTTGCTGATTTTGTTCATTTTCTTTTTTTGTTTTTGATTTGTTCATTTTCCAACAAAGCTGGGATAAAAACATCTTCATGCTCATGCTATAATAACTTCTCACAATATGCCCTGGGTTACTCAAAAGAAAATGGAGTTGTTTTGCTCATGTTTTTGACACTTGAGTCAATCATCAACAAATAACATAAGAGGAGCCAAGGACATGTGCGTGCCTGTGAATCACTCAGCAAGTGTCAGGCAGGCCCCGGGCTGAAGGGAGACTCCAGGTGTCTCAGAAAAGGGAGGTTCTGCTCTAGTGCACACAGACTGTCACACTGTAAATTGTTCTGTGATGCCATGTTTCTCCCAGGGTCAACAGGAACTGAGGACACATAGGAAGTGAGTTAAGAGGGCAGACTCCTCCCATTTAGCTACCAGTATGTGATTTTGCCCCCCCGGACACATGCACACTATATAATAATGTGCTCACAACCCTCTTAGGACAAATCTCCATGCTCACATTTCAGCCAGATACAAGTGCCTAGAGGACTTTAGACTTATCCCTGTCCTCAGACGCTAAATCTGTGGCAACAACCTGCTCCATCCAGTCAACTGGGCTTCTGAGTCACCTGATCATAGTCTCATCTACCTGCATAGACACAGAAATAAGCCAGAGCCTAACCCTTTCTGAGCCACTATCTGTAGCACAAATTAGTCTTTCCACTAACTCTGGACTTTCCCCTGCCCATAGGTCCTATGAAACTAAATAATTCAAAATTTAAGCTGTTTGATACTCTAAATTATTCTGGGTCTTAAAGGAATGTAAGTACAAAATCTGGGTAATATGACAGGCAGCAGTAACAAGGCAGCTGTAACCTTTGTTT